>NC_000001.11:61675047-61978077 GCF_000001405.40 Homo sapiens | reverse complement strand
AAATAGTCAATCAGAGGAGGCACAAAGTGACTTCTGGGTATTAGTAATGTTTTATTTCATTACCTGGATGGTGGTTACATGGGAATATGTTCTTTGTGAAAATACAGCAAACTATAGTATAGTTTTCTGTTTGTATGTATTTCAATCAACTTATTTTTATTAAAAAAATTTTTTTAAGTTTTTTTTTTTTTTTGAGTCTTACTATGTTGCCCAGGCTAGAGTACAGTGGCTATTCACAGAGGCCCCATCATAGTGTACTAAGCCTCAAACTCCTGGCCGCAGGGATCCTCCTGCCTCAGCCTCCTGCATAGCTGTGGGACTACAGGTGTTCACCACAGCACCCAGCTAATAAATTTCTTTTTTAAAAAGAGATGTAAAATACTGTAATGCCAGCCGGCACAGTGGATCATACCTGTAATCAGTGTTGTGGTTGAATCTGGGAGAAAAAGTCTTAAATGGAGCCCCCCACTCAACCCCTCATCCCTGGGGGGACTCTAGGACGCGTCTACAAAACACCTAAATTGGAATATCATTGCTGTAAACAACCTATCAATTAACCTTTTTAATCTTCTTTTTAAAATTCTACTATTATTTCCTTTTTCTTACACTGGGAAAGATGAATTAACCTTTTAAACCTTCCACCTTATTTCTTATCACCTACCCACTAATCCAAAAAATTTCCAGTTTGGGCTGGGCACAGTGGCTCACGCCTGTAATCCCAGTACTTTGGGAGGCTGAGGTGGGCCAATTACTTGAGGCTAGGAGTTCGAGATCAGCCTGGCCAACATGGCAAAGCCCCATCTCTACTACAAATACAAAAAAATTAGCTGGGTGTGGTGGCACACGCCTGTAATCCCAGCTCCGCGGGTGGCTGAGGTTGGAGAATCCCTTGAGCCTGGGAGGTGGAGGATATAGTAAGCCATGATCACGCCACTACACTCCAGCCCGAGCAACAGAGTGAGACCCCATCTCTAAAAAAACAAGCAAACAAACAAAAAATACTATCATGTGAGGACCTTGTTTGAATCTGATTTGAACAAGCCAATTGTAAGAATATTTTTTGAGACAATAAATTTAATTACAGACTATATATTAGAAAAACCAAAAAATTATGATGTTAGGAAAATTAATGGTATTATAGTTATATGTTTAAGAGATGCATGTGTATGAATAAAATGACATAATGTCTGGGGATAATTTGAAAATATTTCAGTAAAGAAAAATAAAAGAAAATATAAGGAATAGGTGAAACGAGTATAGTAAAATCTTGGTAATTACTGAACCTGGGAGAACATATGGGAGAATTTGCTGACTATTCTCTTTATGTTGGTAAATGTTTGAAAATTTTCACAACTAAAAAAACAAAACAAGTCCGGGCACACTGGCGCATGCCTGTAATCCCAGCACTTTGGGAGGCTGAGGTGGGTGGATTACCTGAGGTCAGAAGCTCGAGACCAGCCTGGCCAAGATGGAGACACCCCATGTCTACTAAAAATATAAAAATTAGCCAGGCATGATGGGTGGGTGCCTGTAATCCCATCTACTTGGGAGGCTGAGGCAGGAGAATCACTTAAAACCAAGAGGCAGAGGTTGCAGTGAGCCGAGATTGTGCCATTGCACTCCAGCCTGGGCAACAAGAGCAAGACTCCATCTCAATAAAACAAACAAACAAACAAAAAAACCCCTCACAACAATGCTATAAGTATAACCATCCCATCTTACAGATAATGAAGCTGAGGCCAGTGGAGGTTATGGAACTTGCCTAAACTCAAAGTAAGTAATTGGTAAGATTTGGGTTTCAGGTTTGGGTCTGTCTCACTTCAAATCCTGTGTGTTTACCCATCAACACAAAGAAAATAAAGAAGCACGTTATGTTCACTTCTGCTAGAGTAGCAGAAGGAAAGCCTAAAACCTTCCTCAGCCCTTTTGGAATCGACAATTTAAGGCGAGACATGGAACACGTATAGGCAATCCCCAGAGCTGAGCCTTAGGAAGCATGGCTGCAGCACACACAGGATGACTTGAAGAGGGGACAAAGAGACAGGAAGACCAAGCATGACTATAAAAGTAGACTGGTGGAGAAAAAATTAGAGGCAAAATTAGCATGTGGTAATAGAAAATAATTTGAAAGCCAACAGGCTTTTGAACTGTTTAGAAGTCCAAAGTAAAGGAAGCTGAAGGCTAACAAGGAAGCTGTTATCTGATCCTTAGAGGCATGGAGTGAAACACAAGCAGGTGAGAATTTACTTTGGGCTGATGTATGGTATCCACAGACAGCTGCAGCCGAATGTGGCTTGGAGCTCAGGAATGAAGGAGACGATAAGCCTGAAACTCCTGCTAGGACCAAGTGGACAGAGGTTCTAAACACCTGGACGAGGCAGAGATACTGAAATGCTTTGAACAGTGTTTGGAGATGAATTACCACTCGACAGTGGGAAGGAGGGCTGACAGGCCAAGAATAGGAAAGCTGACCATTTAGGAGGATATTACCATGTATCCAGCAATTATAGGAATGGATGTACACCGGATTAAGGGCATCAACTGGAAGAGATTAAAAAGAACTCAAAGAGCTGGAGAAAAAAGGAATAGCTGACTTTACTCCATTTATCTATTAAAAAAAAATTCTGAATACTGGCTCTGGGCTAGGCACTATGCTATTTGCTAGAGATATAAGGGTGAAAACAAAGGAAGTAAAGATTGAATTAGGTACTATCAAAAGCATAAAGAGTTCCAAATATGATTTGAGATCTTTCAATCACATAACAGGAGACAAAGAAGGATTCAACTTTGGCAATCAGTACCTAAACTCTTAAGAATCACACTTAATTTGGGTCTGGGCATGGTGGCTCATGCCTGTAATTCCAGCACTTTGGAAGGCTGAGGCAGGAAGAATGCTTGAGCCCAGGAGATCGAGACCAGCTGGGAAACATAGTGAGACCCCCATCTTTACAAAAAATAAAAGAACATTAGCCAGGTGTGGTGGCTCATGCCTATAGTCCCAGCTACTCAGGAGGCTGAAGTGGGAGGATTGCCTGAACCCAAGAGGTCAAGGTCACAGAAAGCCAAGATTATGCCACTGCACTCCAGCCTGGGCAACAGAATGAAACTCTGTCAAAAACAAAACAAAACAAAACAAAACAAAAAAACAACCAACAGTGAAATCACACTTAGTTTGGAGATGGAAGGAAACTAGTCCAGAACCTTCACAATCAAGGACACTACAGGTCACAGAGCTTAATCACAAGTGAATGGCAAAACAATATCATCCAAAACTCCTCATGAATTAAGCCAGTTTTGTAACTGAGTACCCTCATTTTTCTAGGAGATAGAGAATGAGTTATTTTTAAATTATTATTTTTTAGTATAAAGAAAGTGACTTTTTGTTTCAAAGCTAGCTTAGGGAAAGAAGTACAGGCTTCCTGCCTTGAGAGTACCACTTTGCTTTTGGAGCAGAAAGCCCGTTTGTTTGTTTTTTGAGACAGAGTCTCATTCTGTCACCCTGGATGGAGTACAGTGGCATGATCTCAGCTCACTGTTAGCGGATGCTGAGTCAGGAGAATCGCTTGAACCTGGGAGGTGGAGGTTGCAGTGAGCCAAGATTGCGCCATTGCACTCTAGCCTTGGCAACAAGAGCGAAACTCTATCTCAAAAAAAAAAAAAAAAAAAAAAAAAGAGAGAGAGAGAGAGAGATGGGGGTATCTCTGAGGCAATTATCTAATGGAGAAGACCTAGTTGACAAATGATCAATTTACAATGACAAAGTTCAAGTTCAATGACCACCTTTAGGCTTAAAACATAAAATGAAATTAGTTTAGTACAAGGAAGTTTATCCATCCTAATTGGTGGTCACATAGGCGCCCATGCTCAAACTATCAGGCTCACAGTATCAGTTTTGCTCGACATGTCCTTTGAAGCCTTTCTACAGAAGTGTACCACTATGCCTAAACCAGCATGTCCCACTGTGGTCCCAGGATCACCAGAAGTAGTCCTGTATGAAGTGCTGGTGTCTGGGATCCATGTCATATCTACAAAGTCGAAATCTCTGGGGATGGGGCCAAGGAGTCACCATTTAAAAAAGAAAAAAAAAAAGATCTTTATGAAATTCTTATGCACACTAAGAACACTAAGATAAGTCCCTATCCCAGCTCAAAATGCCTTTATAGTCCTTAGAAATGCCTGAATATGAGATTCATAAAAAACGATCTGATTATTACCTCAGATTTTTAACTCAGTCTTAAAACAGTAAACATGCTTTAATTTTGAAAACAGCATTGCGAAAAGCCAAATGTAATTTTAGGAACACTCTCTACAATCATTTGTTGTATATTTTAATTATCAGGAGGACATAGTCCTTTAATCACTATGAAAGTGGTGAGTTGCAAGCTCACTATGGTTACAGTGCAGTAGAAATGTGCTGGGGTTGGGCTAAGTTTGCTTCCTGGTCACCTCACAGTCATGCAATAATGCTCAACAAGAGCTCCGCACCACATCAGATCGTGGTCATCAGCAGTGGCACTGACAACATTAATATTTAATTATATTTCCTAGAAGGAAAAATAATGGTAGTTTTCAGTAATTAAAGGAAACTGTAGTAGAATGCAGAAAAAGGGTTAAAACATGTTATTTGCCAAACTGACCTGGTTCCTTTAGTGACTGATAGCGTGGAACTTCTCTCTGCATACCTGCTTAGGAAACCATCAGGCTGTGTGCCCAGAGCCCTGTACATACGTATTATTTCCAATAACCATCAGAACAAGCTTCAGGGAAGAAGCAGAATTCCAGCTGAGATTGGACGGTATTTTGTTGTGTCATCTTTAGTCATTTATTGCTCGCAGCCCCACTCTCTTGTCAGCTCAATGAGAGAAGAAACTAATTCTGTCTCGTGTAGGCAGAGTTTCTGGCCCAGAGTGGGTACAGCATAATATGTCAATAAATTACAGAAACACAAGCTTGCAAATTTGTCATTATCTGAATTGGTCAAGAAACAGGCTATTTATTAATAAAAATTTCTAATTAATACACTTTTACTTCCCCTAGGAATTAAATTTTAAGAATAGATTCTAAGATTAAGCTGATAGAATACCTTTTTTGGGTAATCCAAATGTTTCATCATTATTAAAAACACTGTCTTTGGGGTATTTTGAACCACAGCCTATCAGAAAAAAAAGTATACAAGCTTTAGAGTCAGAAAGAGCTTCACTAATAGGTACATGGTGAAGTCAAAAAGATCTATTTTGCAAATTCCCCTGAAGCCACACTGTACCTGTTGACCTCCTGAAAATTAATTAACTGTGCATCTGGTTCTTTTAAGTAATCACTTTTCTTGCCCTAGGAATGGCACAACATAGAATTAAAGAATGTAAAGTATTTAACTTAATGCCTCACACCTAGTAGTTATATGTACCAGAAGTTTGCTCCCTCACAGCCAAAACTTCCCTTCCTTATTTCTTATAGAGAGTGTCTTAAAGTAACACGCAAACCAATTTTAATTACATAACCTTACTTTTAAAAATTATTGTTGTCATTTCTTTTACAAATGAGGAAACAGGCTATGAGAGTTTAAGAAACAGCCACAAAGCGACACAGTACATAGCATTGTTTTAACATTTAACTTTTAAATGAAGACAACAGAAAATCCCATGAGATCCCTTAAAAATAGTATTATGAGAAAGAACATCAGCAATATTATAAATTGTTTAATACAAGTTGAGCATTCCTAATCTGAAAATCCAAAATTAGAAATGCTCAAAAATCTGCAACTTTTTGTACACCAACATGAAGTCACAGTCGCATGAAGCCACACCTGACCTCACGTGACGGGTCACAGTCAAAACTTTGTTTCATGCACAAATTTATTTAAAATATTGT
Organism: Homo sapiens; assembly: GCF_000001405.40. Classification (NCBI taxonomy): domain Eukaryota; kingdom Metazoa; phylum Chordata; class Mammalia; order Primates; family Hominidae; genus Homo; species Homo sapiens. The sequence goes on along the minus strand of NC_000001.11, from coordinate 61,972,209 downwards.
ATAAAATTATGCTCAGGCTCTGGGTATAAGGCATATATAAAACATAAAGGAATTTTATGTTTAGGTTTGGGTCCCACATATAGCTTATTAGGTATACATAAACATTCCCAAATCTGAAAAAATCCAAAATCTGAAACACTTCTGGTCCCAAGCATTTCAGATAAGACAGATTCAATCTAAACATAATTATTTTTGCTCAGACTTATTTATTTATTTATTTTGAGATAAGGTCTCACTCTGTCACCCATGTTGGAGTGCAGTGGTATGGTCATGGCTCACTGCAGCCTCAACCTCCCGTGTTCAAGTGATCCTTTTGCTTCAGCCGCCCAAATAGATGGGACTACAGGTACCCACCATTGTACCTGGATTTTTTTTTTTTTTAAGAGATAGGGTCTCACAATGTTTCCAGGATGGTCTCAAACTCCTGGGATCATGCAATCCTTCTGCCTTGGCCTCCCAAAGTGTTGGGATTACAGGAGTGAGCCACTTTGCCTGGCCACCCAAATAATTCTAAACAATAACAAATATTTCTTTTAACAGCTTCACCCCACAGTATGTCACAGTCTATGCTGTTTTTTCTTTTTTCTTTTATTTTTTGAGACAGGATCTCACTCTGTCACTCAGGCTAGAGTGCAGTGGCATGAACATGCTCATTGCAGCCTCGACCTCACAGGCTCAAGTGCTCTTCTTACCTCAGCCTCCTGAGTAGCTGGGACTACAGGCATGCACCACCATGCCTGGCTAATTTTTAAATTTTTTGTAGAGACCCTGAGTTTAAGTGATCCTTCTGCCTTGGCCTCCCAAAGTGCTGGGACTACAGATGTGAGCCACCACACCTGGCCTTACGCTGTTTTAAACAGTTGGGGAAAGAAACCAGACACTAACAAAATCTTATTTACTTCTGCAAGAGGCTAACAGTATATTCATATTTTCATGGCCAAAAGAAGAGGCAGGTTGGTAGAGTGTAGAGAGACAATGACTTGGGGTTAAGAACCTAGACTCTACTTTCTAGCCATGAAATCCTGGGCAGTTCACTTAACTTAGTCCAGCCTCAGACTGGTCAATGAGTTAAATGTAAATTATCTTGCCTGCCTTTACCAGCTCACAGAATTTGTAAGATGATCAAAATAAAGAATACCTGTGAAAAAAACTTTAAAAACTGTCATGCTCTAAAAGCATGCAAAGGAGCTGGCAATTTTCTTAAAGAATGTTTTGTGGTTTTGAAGCTTTCGTTAATTAAGCTTGCTTGTGAGAAAGGAAACATAATTCTGATTAAATTTCTACTTCAATGAGTATTAGACCAGGTGACAAACTCTCAGAAGTATCTTATAGTTCTGTAATTTGGACATTGAATACTTTGATGATAGTATCTTCTGAATAGTTCAAAATTTCTGGATTAAAAGTTAACCTCTTGAGTGGCCAGGTGTGGTGGCTCACACCTATAATCCCAGAGCTTTGGGAGGCCAAAGCAGGCGTTAGTGTGAGGTTAGGAGTTTGAGACCAGCCTGGGCAATAGATGAAGAGGTCATCTTTACAAAAAATTTTTAAAAATTAGCCAGGCTTGTGGCACATGCCTGCAATCCTAGCTACTTGGGAGGCAGAGGTGGGAGGATCACTTGAGCCCAGGCATTTGAGGCTGCAGTGAGCTGTCATCGCACCACTGCACTCCAGCCTGGGAAGAATAGAAGAGCACAAAGGATTTTCATGGCAGTAAAACTGCTCTGTATAATACTGTGTGGTAAGATACATGTCATTATAATTTGTCAAAATGTACAGAACATATACCAAGAGTGAATTCTAATGCAAATTATGGACTCTCGGTGATAATGACGTGTCAATGTAGGTTTGTCGAATATAACAGATGTACTCAGGTGCAGGATATTGATAGTGGGAGAGGTTGCCCGTGTGTCGGTGGGGGAGGTATTGGGAACTCTACTTTCTGCTTATTTTTTCATTGAACCTAATACTGCTCTAAAAATTAAAGTCAAATAAAGAGAGAAAAAATGTCTATTACTCCAAACTATAAAATTTGTAGAAGAAAAAATAGATGACAAGCTTCATAACTTTGGATTTGGCAATGGTTTCTTGGATATGATACCAAGAGCACAGATTACAAAAAACAAAAAACAAAAAAAAAAATACAAAAAACCAAATAGACAAATGGTACACATCAAAATTTCACAACTTAAAACATTTGTTCAAAGTACACAATCAAGGGCCGGGCACGGTGGCTCATGTCTGTAATCCCAGCACTTTGGGAGGCCGAGGCGGGCGGATCACTTGAGGTCAGGAGTTCGAGACCAGTCCGGCCAACATGGTGAAACCCCATCTCTACTAAAAATACCAAAATTAGCCAGGTGTGGTGGCATGCACCTCTAGTCCCAGCTACTCAGGCGGCTGAGGCACGAGAATCACTTGAACCCAGGAGGTGGAGGTTGCAATGAGCTGAGATCACACCACTGCACTCCAGCCTGAGCGACAGAGGGAGGCTGTGTCTCAAACAAACAAAACAAAGTACACAATCAAAACAGTAAAATGGCAACCCACAGAATGGGAGAATATATTTGCAAATTATTTATCTGATAAGGGTATATAATATCTAGAATATATAAAGAACTCCTAAAACAACCAAATATAAATCAAATAATCTGATTTAAAAACGGGCAAAGGACATAAACAGACATTTCTCCAAACATGGTATACAAATAGCCAATAAGCATGTGAAAAGAAGCTTCATCAACGAGAAAAATGCAAATCAAAATCACAATGAGGTATCACCTCACTCCCACTAGTGTAGCTACTACCAAAAAACCAGCAAATAATAAGTGTAGACAAGGATTTGAAAAAACTGGAACGTTTATGCATCGTTGGTAGGATTGTAAAATGGTATATAACCCCTATGGAAGAGTATGGACATACCTTAAAAAAATTAGAAATATCATATGATCCAGTAATTCTACTTCTGGGTATATCTCTAAAATAATTGAAAGCAAAGTCTTGAAGAAATATTTGCACACTCATGTTCATAGCAGCACTATTCACAATAGTCAAGAGGTGGAAGCAACTCAAAGGTCAACCATCAGATGAATAGAAAAAAACACAAAGTGGTCTACACAGACAATGGAATACTACGCAGCCTTCAAAAGGAAGAAAACCCTGTCACATACTACAACATGAATGAACTTTGAGAAAATTATGCTATGTGAAATAAGGCAGTCACAAAAAGTCACAATGCAATATGATTCCACTTACACAAAACATCTAAAGTAGTCAAATTCATAGAAACAGAAACTGTAATGGTGGTTGCCAGGTACTAGGGATGGGGGAAAAGGAGTTCTTATAAAACTTTTTTTTAAAAGCAGGAAGTTATTTTTTAATAGGTATAGAATTTCAGTTTGGGCATTGCATGTTCTCACTCATAGGTGGGAATTGAACAATGAGAACACTTGGACACAGGGTGGGGAACATCACACACGGGGGCCTGTCGTGGGGTGGTGGGAGCGGGGAGGGATAGCATTAGGAGACATACCTAATGTAAGTGACAAGTTAACGGGTGCAGCACACCAACATGGCACACGTATACACATGTAACAAACCTGCACGTTGTGCACATGTACCCTAGAACTTAAAGTATAATAATAATTAAAAAAATACATTAAAAAAAGAATTTCAGTTTGGGAAGATAAAGTTTTGGAGAACTAGTTTACAACAATCTAAATATATTTAACACTACTAAACTGTACACTTAAAATGGTTAAGATGATAAATTTTATATATTTTTTACCGTAATAAAATAAACAACATAAGAGTCTATTTTTTAAAATAAGTCGACCCTTGAAAAGGTATTTACGGCTAACGTTGTGATCAAGCTCTGCATTTGCCGAAACAACTGAGAGTGAAGGAGACCCCATGTGTATTCTAAAGAAAAGCCACCGAATGAAAGAAAGCATCTATCCCATACACCTAAAGAAACTGACAAAAAAAAGATTAAGTCCTGAAAAACTGGTAGCTAAGATGAGTTTAATAAAGATGCAGAAAAGCTACCAAAGGCTGTCAAAATAAGCTGACAACACCTGTCATTCACACCCTTCCCACAGAGTCATAGATACTTGTTTTCTCTCCGGTGTTGGTATTTTTGCATGGTTTAATGCTTTACTCCTTGGGCTTTCATATCTTCTTGGATTTTTTTTTCAGGCAGGGCTGAGATGATGACATCGAAAAGGAATTATATCAGACATTGCAGCCAGTCTGTTTTCATTTTTGTCTCATCTTTAGACTCTGAAAGCAGCTGATAGTCAGGTCCTGGACAGGATCTTGCAAATCAGTGAACAATTGCTTTTCTCACAAGATAAAAGATAAACGAGAGGGAAAGGAATTGAGATAAAAAGCAAGCAAAACAGAAAGGCAAAAGCAACAGCAGAGGAGGAAATCAAGCAAGGAAACAAATATTTAAGATTAATCCAAAATCTCTTATGGGCAATTCTAAACCCAAATTTCTAATAACAAATGTTGCCTTTTGAGTGACGGTTACCTTTAAATAAATCATCTCATTTAATACTGCAACAGTCCTTTCTAAAAACAAGAAACAGTGAAGCTGAGAAGGATTAAATGAACTGCTCAAGAACAGCAGCTTGGGAGAGAATCAATATTTTAACATAAATCACTGTCTCTTTTACAAATTATAAATCACACACATTTCCTTAAAAGGTAAGATGAAACTGTACTTAGCACTCTTATCTTTTTTTCTAACATCTAATCAAGTCAATCTTATGAAAAGCAGACATTGAATGCTTCTGAAAGGTATCTTTCCTTGAATAGAAAGTTCAACTCTTAGAGATAGTTTAAGGTTAAATTAGTAAAACTATAGTTTAACTATCAAAAGCAAGTTTAGAAAATTCAAGATTTTAGGAATAAAAAGGCAGTTCTTAGTATATCTAAATAAAAATAAAATGGCTAATAGTAAGCATTTAGTTAACTGACTAATGCTTGATTTGCAAGTATTAATCTTACAAAGAATGAGAAACTGAATATTTTTAATCCTCTCCATGCAATTCAACTCTGCAATAGAATTCTATTGTCAGAGGTGTTTGAACCAGAGCAACTCCATCTTAAATAGGAGCTGGGTAAAATAAGGCTGAAACCTACTGAGCTGCATTCCCAGATGTTGAAGGCATTCTAAGTCACAGGATGAGACAGGTCAGCACAAGATACAGGTCATAAAGATCTTGCTGATACAACAGCTTGCAGTAAAGAAGCCGGCCAAAACCCGCCAGAACCAAGATGGCCACGAGAGTGACCTCTGGTTGTCCTCACTGCTACACTCCCACCAGCGCCATGACAGTTTACAAATGCCACGGTAACATCAGGAAGTTACCCTATATGGTCTAAAAAGGGAAGGCATCCACCTCTTGTTTAGCATATAATCAAGAAATAACCATAAAAATGGGCAACCAGCTGCTCTATGGAGTAGCCATTCTTTATTCCTTTACTTTCCTAATAAACTTGCTTTTTTTTTTTTTTTTTGAGATGAAGTCTCGCTCTTGTCGCCCAGGCTGGAGTGCAATGATGCAATCTCGACTCACTGCAACCTCTGCCTCCCAGGTTTAAGCAATTCTCCTGCCTCAGCCTCCTGAGTAGCTGGGGTTACAGGGGCCCACCACCATGCCAGGCTAATTTTTGTATTTTTGGTAGAGATGGAGTTTCACCACATTGGCCAGGCTGGTCTTGAACTCCTGACTTCAGGTGACCCACCCGGGTTGGCCACCCAAAGTGCTGGGATTACAGGTGTGAGACACCGCATTTGGCCTAATTTGCTTTCACTTTACTCTATGGACTCGCCTTGGCGCGAGATCCAAGAACCCTCCCTTGGGGTCTGGATCCTAACCCCTTTCCAGTAACACTATGACCCTAACAGATTACCATTCAAAAATAAAGACAAGGAGGCACTGGCAGGAGAAAATCCAAGCTACCTGGTACAAAGCACCCAAAGTCTACTTCAACATAAATAATAGACCAGGTGCGGTGGCTCACGCCTGTAATCCCAGCACTTTGGGAGGCCAAGGTGGGTGGATCACAAGGTCAGGAGTTCGAGAACAGCCTGGCCAACATGGTAAAACCTCATCTCAACTAAAAATACAAAAATTAGCCGGGCATGGTGGCATGTGCCTATAGTCCCAGCTATGTGGGAAGCTGAGGCAAGAGAATCCCTTGAACATGGGAGGCGGAAGTTGTGGTGAGCCAAGATCGTGCCATTGCACTCCAGCCTGGGAGACAGAGCGAGGCTCCACCTCAAAAATAAATAAATAAAAATAACATAAATAATAACAGCTTCCTGAATAAATTCCTAGGTGAGTGTTCCTGTGGAACCTGGATCATCCTATTTCACTCTCTCAAACTCTCCTAGTACAAATCTCTCCTACTGTGGCCAAAGCACTGCCTCCTCGGTTAAAACGGGCAATAAAACCTAGTGACTAAGAGTGTGGGCTCTAGAGTCAGAATGTGAGTTCAAATCCTACTTTTGCCACTCGCATTTGGGTGCTATGCCTTCTCTGTACTTCTCAATTTCTCCCGTCACTGGTTAACTCTGTCCCTTGTCAACTGAACTACTTAGCCTCCTGCTACCCACTTCCCCTCGTGGGATCAAATAATAAAAATTAAAAAGGTTCCACTGGTTGACAACGTTAGTGAGAGTGAGAGTTAGAGAACCATTTTGTTCACTAAATGGTTAGGTAACTTTGGGCTCAGAGGTATCAAAAACAAGTACAGATGAAGGTAGAAGATATTAAAGATAATAATTACTGTATTCAAATGCAAATAACATCTACTGACCCTAATTACCATATTCAAATGAAAATAACTCTACTGAGTTTTAGGCACAGTACAGGCTTTTTCATGTTTTTTTCATTGAATCCTGAAACTAATTTTTGAGGTAGGCATTAGCCATGTGTCCTTAAGATGAATAAACTGAAACTCAGAAAGTTTAAATGGCTTGATTGAAAAGGTACAACTAGAAAATAATAAAGCTTCAATCTCTACACATGAAGGCTCCTTTTTTTTTTTTTTTTTTTTTTTTTTTTTTTTTTTTTTTTGAGACAGAGTCTCCTTCAGTGGCCCAGGCTAGAATACAGTGGTGCACTCTCAGCTCAGCTCACGTCACTGCAGCCTCCACCTTTCGGGTTCAAGCAATTCTCTCACCTCAGCCTCCCGAGCAGCTGGCGCTACAGGCACACACCACCACGCCCGGCTAATTTTTGTATTTTTAGTAGAGATGGGGTTTCACCATGTTGGCTAGTCTGGTCTCAAACTCCTGACCCCATGTGTTCTGCCTGCCTCAGCCTCCCAAAGTGCTGGGATTACAGGCATCGGCCACCACGGTCGGCCAGCAGGATTTAAATACCTTTTTTATTTCTTTTTCTTTTTTAAGAGTTGAGGCCTTGCTCTGTTGCCCAGGCTAGACTGCAGTGGCACGATCTTGGCTCACCGCAGCCTCAATTTCTGAGCTCAAGTGAACCTCTTGCCTCAGCCTCCCCAGTAGTTAGGACTACAAATGTGCCACACCACGCCCAGTTAATTTTTGTATTTTTGGTAGAGATGGGGTTTCACCATGTTGCCCAGGCTGGTCTTGAACTCCTGGCCTCAAGCAATCCTCCCATCATAGCCTCCCAAAGCTCTGGGATTACAGGCGTGAGCCACTGCACCCAGCCTTAAATATCTTTTCTATGTGTCATGGAAATCTTTTCTGGAAGCTTTAATCTGCTAATCTATATATATAGTTAACTGGCTATTTTAAGAATAGTCGAGAACACATAAGAAATTATACTGCTTTTTAGGCCAGGTGCAGTGGTTCACGCCTCTAATCCCAGCACTTTGGGAGGCTGAGGTGGGAGGTTTACCTGAGGTCAGGAGTTTGAGACCAGCCTTGCCAACATGGTGAAACCCTGTCTCTACTAAAAATACAAAGATTAACTGGGCATGGTGGTGCACGCCTGTAATCCCAGCTACTTGGGAGGCTGAGGCAGGAGAATGACTTGAATCTGGGAGGCAGACGATACAATGAGCTGAGATCATGCCACTGTACTCCAGCCTTGGTAACAGAGAAAGGAAGGAAGGAAGGAAGGGAGGGAGGGAGGGAAGAAGGAAGGAAGGAAATTATAATGCTTTTTAATACAACTTAGTGTGAACTAAAACTGTGACAAAACAGTTATTACCTCTAGAACTCATTATATTAGAATAAATAACATTCAACTAAAGCTTTTAAAATAGTTCCAAGAGAATCAAAATACTATATAGGCCAAAATTTCCACTCCCTTCTGATTTGGATAGGTAAGTATAAGCAAGCAACTAAACAAATTGTAAAAAGGGATAATGTGTGCTGCTGCTTTTTATTCTATACAATTAACCCTCAGCAATCCAAGTTTAAACTGTGTGGGTTCATGTATATGCAAAATTTCTTCCATCTCTGCCACCCCTGAGACAGCAAGACCAACCCTGCCTCTTCCTCCTCCTCAGCCTACTCAACATAAGGATGAGGATGAAGACCTTTATGATGATCCACTTCCACTTAATGAATAGTAAATATATTTTTTCCTCCTGATGGTTTACTTTTTTTTCTTTTGAGACAGAGTCTCACTCTGTCTCCCAGGCTGGAGTGCAGTGGCGCAATCTCAGCTCACTGCAACCTCTGCCTCCTGGGTTCTAGTGATTCTCCTGCCTTAGCCTCCTGAGTAACTAGGACTACAGATGTGCAACACCACGCCCAGCTAATTTTTTGTATTTTTAGTAGAGACAGGGTTTCAACATGCTGGCCAGGCTGGTCTCAAACTCCTGACCTCAAGCAATCTACCTGCCTTGGCCTCCCAAAATGCTGGGATTACAGGTGTGAGCCACCACGCCCAGGCTGGTTTCCTTAATATTTTCTTTTCTCTAGCTTACTTTATTGTAAGAATATATATAACACATATACAAAATACGTGCCTAACTGATTGGTTGTGTTATTGGTAAAGCCAAGAGTAGGCTATTAGTAAAGTTTTGGGAGATTTAAAAGTTATATGCTGATCTTTAACCTACCAGTGGAAATCCTGCTAATTTGTCCTTTGATATCCATTCTACCTTTTCTCTTGAATAATAGACTGCGTATTTTTTAGCTGGGCATATGTCTGTACAGAAGAAAAAGAACATTTCTCAGCCTCCTTTATAACTATTTGTGTAACTAAACTCTGGACAATGGAATACAACTTAAAGAATTATGTGCTATTTTCCAGAAATATCCTTAAAAGGAGGAAGGTTGCCCTTTCTCTTTTCTCCTTTCCTTTCTGGCGGCTGGGCTGGCATGCCGCCTTGATAGCTGCAGCTAGTATCTTCTTGACATTTTGAGGTGACATGGAGGATGGAGGTCACACATAGGAAAGCAACAATATGAAAGAAGCCCAGGTCTCAGACGCTGTGCAATGTCCACTTCCAGGTCCATATGTGTGAAAAAAATAAACTTCTGTCCTCTAGAATAGCTGTTATTTTGGGGTGTCTTCACTCAGAGTCAAACTTAATCCTTAAGAATATATCTTCTAATTAGTCCTCCTGTTGCAATTTGTCAACAAGTTAATTCTCCCTAATGATCACCGATTAATCCTCTACTAACTAAAAGAAGTCTTCAAAACCCTCCATCATCACACCACAAACCCAGTCCAATTACTCTACACATCTAGATTGATTTGCCTTATATCTGCTTTTTCAACTATAAAACTGCTTTGTAAAAATAACTGAAAACTAAACTCCAGACAGTGTATCTGAAATGAATATTTCAAGAAGGAAAAAATATCGAGACAGAAGGACATATAGTCAGTGCCCAAGCCCCTCCAAATTACATGCCTTCTGCCTAATTTTAATATCCTGTTATTCATCCATTTGCTCATTTAATATTTACTGAGTGTATCATCTGTACAAGGCATTAAACAAGACATGTTGAATTAAAAATTAATCAAGATAGACTATTCTCATGAGGCTATAAATATAATGAATAACCATGTATGAATAATGATAATATCATGGTAGGCTGTGGAAGTAAAAATGAAATAATAGAGGAACCAACAAAAAGAAATACAGAAGACAATACTTCTAACTGAGAGAGTCAGGAAAGGTTTCCCAGTAAGAATAGATGGTATTGTTTGAGTGTCAACACATAGGGCTGCAACCAAACAGAGACTTCCGTATTCACATTTCTTTTCTTTCTTTTTTTTTTTTTTCTAAGACGGAGTTTCATTCTTGTCGCCCAGGCTGGAGTGCGATGGCGTGATCTCGGCTCACTGCAACCTCTGCTTCCCAGGTTCAAGTGATTCTCCTGCCTCAGCCTCCCGAGTAGCTGGGATCACAGGCATGCACCACCACGCCCAGCTAATTTTTGTATTTTTAGTAGAGACGGGGTTTCGCCATGTTGGTCAGGCTGGTCTCAAACTCTTGACCTCAGGTGATCCACCTGCCTCGGCCTCCCAAAGTGCTGGGATTACAGGCACGAGCCACCGCGCCCAGCCCTGTATTCATATTTCTTTTGTCTGCTTTATATCATTTTTCCACATCTTTTGCTGTCAGGTTGGTACTTTTCATGTATTGATCCTGCAGTCAGCAGGCCTGTCTAAAGTGTTTTTGCAAAATATATTTTTTTGTCTCCTATTATATGACTATAAAATATGATAAATTATAATAAAACATTTTATTGCAAATTGGTAGCTAATAAGATCTAGTCAGGGATTCTTTTTCAAGCAAAGTAAATGAGCTGAGAGTACACATGTAGTTATATCCATTTTGGCCCCTGGGAATCTCTTCTGATCATTTCTTTCTTGGCTTTGTGCCTTGGGTAGGACTGGTCAAGATGTCAGAGAGCTAAGTTTCAGAATATCTAGTAACACAGTCAACCATGATTGGTTGTGCAGTATGTACACTGCACAAGGGTGCCAGGCTGCGATAGTGGGTGGGAGTTGTTATGGAATCCATTTGACTGTGTCCAAGGATAAAGGCATTCCTTTTTTCTTTGATCAAAGGCCTTTACCTTGCTAAATCATCTGAGTGCCTCCCTGTTGGCATCGTTCCAGAGCGTGTAGCTTTCTCCAACTCACCCAAAGGTACTGTTCCAGATATTCCACAGAATTAATGACAGTAAAGGGAAGAAAACTTTAGGCTTAACTTTTCTCAGACTGATTTTGAAAGCTGAACCATAAACCTGTCTATGTCTCCATTATTAAAATGGACAGTCCCTTTCCTTCCCATATGAGTGTCTGAATATATTTACAAGATACCAATCCTTCCATCTTTAACTCTGCCCCTTTCAAGAAGATATAACTGTCTAGAACTCAAGAATCAGAAATCAGTGTTTCCCCCTATCTAGACTGGATGAAGCCAAGAGCACTGAGAAAAATGGTCAGCAAAATTATCATTTCTAGAGAACCCACTGGCATCAAGATTTTGGGAAATTTCTTTTAAAAAAATCAAGAGGAATTTGAAATGTTCTCCATAAAAATTGTACTTCGTTCAAAGGTAAAACTTTTTTTTTTTTTTTTGAGATGGAGTTTCGCTTTTGTTGCCCAGGCTGGAGTACAATGGCATGATCTCGGCTCACTGCAACGTCTGCCTCCTGGTTCAAGCTGATTCTTCTGCCTCAGCCTCCCAAGTAGCTGGGATTACAGGTGCCCACCACCATACCTGGCTAATTTTTTGTATTTTTAGTAGAGACGGGGTTTCACCATGTTGGCCAGGCTGGTCTCGAACTCCTGACCCCAGGTGATCCAGCCACCTTGGCCTCCCAAAGTGCTGGGATTACAGGCGTGAACCACTGCACCTGGCCAGATAAAACAATTTTTATGCTGAACTCAGATTTGTGTAATAGGAAGATATGAGGGAAAGGATGGTCATGCAGGGAGAATGTTCTGCATTTCATATGTATTATGTCACTTAGTCCTCTAAATAATCCAAAGAGGTAAGTGCTTCCATTTCCACATTAGAGTTAAGGAATATGTTTCAGAAAGATTAAATAAAGAGATGATCTGGGGCTAAAATTGCATGACTCCAAATCCCATGCTCTTAACCACTAAATAAATGGTTTATATAAACTTATACAAAGATAATTAGACTCATTAGAATACCCAATATTGATATTGAATATAACCATGAAACATCATTTACTTATTTATTTATTTTTTAGAAATGGGGGCCTTGCTCTGTTGTCCATGCTAGGGTGCAGTGCTGTGATCCTAGCTCACTGAAACTTCAAACTCCTGGGCTCAAGTGATCTTCCTGCGTCAGCCTCCCAAGTAGCTGGGACTACAGGTGCATGCCACCATGCCTGGCTAATTTTTAAGTTTTTTGTAGAGATGGAAGTCTGGCTATATTGCCCAGGCTAGCACTTATTCTTTCATACAACATTAAGCAATAATTATGTACAAAGGACTGTGTTGAGACCCATATGACAGAACCATTCTAAAAAAGCAGTGGTGAGGCTGGGAACCATGGCTCCAAGCACTCTGGGAGATCAAGGTGGGAAGATTGCTTGAGTCCAGGAGTTTGAGACCAGCCTGGGCAACCTGGTTAGACCCCATCTCTACAAAGAATTTTTTAAAAATTAGCCAGGCATGGTGGCATGCACCTGTGGTCGGTCCCAGCTACTTGGGAGGCTGAGGTGGGAGGATCGCTTGAGCCTGGTGGGTCGAGGCTGCAGTGAGCCATGATTGTGCCACTGCACTCCAGCCTGGCAATGGAGCAAAACTCTGTCTCAAAAAAAAAAAAAAGAAAAGAAAAAAAATATATTATATATATAATATATATATAGGCAGTGGGAGAGCTCTTTATAGAAATAGAAGTTGTCATTTCCTGACATTCAAAAATTTATCTATTTAATTTTCTTTCTTAAGTTTTATTGTAGCTTAACCAATTTTTGGAGATAAGATGTTATACATATTTATTATCTGCTATGTAATCCCCGGTCCCATACTAATTTCTTTCAAAAAAGTTATACTATAAAGGTCTAGCTGGCCTATTTTGATATGAAGTATCATCTATTCATCCTACCTTTCATGATTTGTATAGATTTGGAACAGTGCTGTTTTTACCTCCCTTGAGCTATGGATTTTATGGATGATATAATAAAGATAACCTCCTCCTCCTTTCAATCCCCCAAATACCCCTCCCCACATTCCAAGAAAATTCAAGGGATTAGCAGACATTTTTGGACTCTTTATGGACTGACAGATTCCAGGCTAAAGGCTCACATTTAGGCTCTTCGTATTTACTGAAAATGTGTATCTTCAAGGTTTTATCTGCCCTAACAAAACAGAACATCCACTCCCCCTAAAAATCACAGGACTAGAAGGAATTTTAAGGGTAATTTAGTCTCACACTCATTTTACAGATTAAGAAAGTGAGGCTCCAGAGAAAGTCAATGACTTGACAACTTGGTCACACACTAACTAGAGGCACAGCCTTGATTTCTGGGCCTCCATATTCTCCCTCTACCAGGTAACCCCTGGGGATCACAATCTCTCCTCTGTGTTCCCTGAGGAAAATCAAAATTCAACATGTATTTGAGGCCGTATATAGGGTCACAGTGGGCTTTTTCTAAGAGGATAAAAAAATTTGCCAAATAAAGCAGACGACACTGCTTAAATATTGGGAAAATCTTCAAGGGAAATCTTCATGGTTTACAAATGGTAGGGTACTTTAACCATAGAGGGCTTTAAGGTGTATAGATATTTTGCAAATATTACACAAGAATATAGGGAATAATATAATATAATGATATTCTATACTAAAGTATTCTTATCTAATCAATTTAGTATTTGCCACTACCATTTGCCAGAAACAATTAGGGTCATGTTTTAAAAAGTTAAGGTAATATTTGAACAGTTAACTTCTTTACAGCAAGGGAAAAACCTAAATAACTAACCAGATTAAATTTAGGCCATGAAATTAACAGAGAGTTAGAAATAATGAGTATACAACTGGTAGTCACAATAAACCTGTAAACAAATTACAAATTACAAACATGTAAACACAATAAACATGTAAATCACAGAGTATACCACAATAAAGGTAACAACTTTCAATCTTACACAAAGGAAAAATAAATGTACCAACATACACAGAAATACATATACATATATTTTGTATATAGCTAAACTTTTCAGAGTGCTTACCATTTACAAAGCAATGTATTAAATACTTAATATATTTTATGCCATTTAATCACCAGGAAAACCTTATTAGGTAGGTAGCATTATCCTTGGTTTGTAGAAAAGAAAATCAAAGTTCAGAGAATTTTCTAATAACGAATTTGCTCAAGTATACACAGTTGACAAGCTATAAGGTAAGATCTGACCTTGAACTCACACCTGATTCAAAGCTTCAACTTCTATAACGTAACTTAGGGGTTGGCAAACTTACTTGAGAGAGCTCGACAGTACGTACTTTAGGCTTTGGGGATCCATGGTCTCTGCTGCAATTATTCAACTCTGGTTTTTTGTAGTTTGAAAGCATCAACAATAAGACTTTTCTTTACCAACACACATAATGGGCCACATGCTGCACCAAAGGTTCACGGGTCACAAAGTGGAAAACTTCTACTCTTTCCTATTTGACCAAGAAACTATCCCGTAACTTGCCCTGAACATGGTGCAATGCATAAATCATATTATAGATTAGTTCAGAAACCACTGAAGAAGTGAACACAAAGTAAAAATGAACTGCTCAATTAAAGTAAGAAAAAAAAGACGGAAAGCAGGAAAATAATCTGCCCATTATTCTAACGCTCATCATTCCCAAATATATAATTCCTTTATGATTATAGAAAAATTATTTGTCTGATAAAAACCATTGTTCCACTGAGAGAAAATGCCCTTTCTTTATATAATATCATTGTACCATGCAGCCCATAAAAAGAACCTTCTAAGTAATACGTGTAGATGGCAGAATGATTCCCTTTTCTTTAGTGAGCCATTGTTCCATGAGAATACCCACTTTATAAATGGAATAGATTTGCCCACTCTCTTATGAATATTCATTAGGTTACATGCAAAATGACCTTTTCTACATCAGTTCAAATAAGGTTTATTAAACATCTACAGTTACCTAAACTCTGGCCATAGACAGCTAAACCCCTAGTCTCAACACAGCACTGTAAGTGCATTAATGGCCACATACTCATGGGGAGGAAATGACTATTTAAATGCAAAGCGAAAGAAACAGGAGCACAGGCCTATGATGGGAGTAACAGACTCAAGGGGGACTGAAGAATGGAAAGCTAGTTTTTGCAGGTTCTGTGATCTGTGAAAACACAGATTATCTGCCTGCCAAAATGATTGTTCTCAAGGAACAGTTGAAACACGTGACTAAACAACTTGCAAATGATCATATAAATGTGACTTAGCAATAAATCAAATCCAATGTCTTGTCATTTGAAGAATCAAAGTATTTAACTTAATTTTACACAGTAGCACAGAGCTGTTTTCAAAGACTTCATGTGGCACAGATAAACAGCCACAACCAATGTAATTTTGTTATTAGATGATCACTATGAACATGTTTTATCCCTGCAGGTATAATCAAAACATTTCCAAGAAGCATGAGATATACTCAAGCGAACACTTAGATGACAGAACCTAGAAACTACCCATTAGATATAAATTTCTTTTTTTAACCTTTCATACCTCATTATCTTTTGCTTTATGGAACTCTAAGGTGCTGCCTTCTCATTCCCAGCCTGCTCTTGTACCTGCACTGGCTTTTGTAAGATTCCAGAGAGCAGATATGGAAAACCCGAAGCAGGTTCAGGCAACACTGAGCCAAAACCCAAATGAAATTCAAAACCTTTAACAAAATGCTCGTACATTTCCATCTTACTTAGGTCAAACATGAAAATACTGAGTGACTCACACTACAATTTGTAAAAATTTCATAATTAAAATAAACTGGAAACCTAAGCACTCACCCATTCCCATCTGGTTAGCATCAGGAGACTTGCTATTTCTTCTCCAAATGCAGACCTTCCTCCGCAATGGAAGATAAGTCAGTTTGTGCTGAGAAGCCTGGCTCATACTGGGCAGCGTGTGATGCCACGGGGAGGTGTACCCTAAACCTCATGGCATGCCTCTGATACTGTATTTTTCTCCAATTCAGCTTCATGTGGTTTGTGACTTTTTCTTTTAAATTGGAACTTTCAATATTAAAATGTGGTTTGCTGGGGAATACAGTAAACATTTTTCAAAATCTGGAACTTCAGTATGCTTTTTGGAGTAATTCCAATTATATGTCTCTTTGTCCAATGAGTGGATGTACAACATGAATTACCAAAAAAGAGAATAGCAATCAATTTGGCTTCACTAATGAAATGGATTACTTGAGAAGATGCATGAAGACACGAAAAATTAAAACTTCTTAAAAGTACAGGCTTTGTAGTCATCTAGACTTGATCTATAAAATAATAAGACTTCAAAAAACTCATAACATTATATGTGTTGAAGAAAACAATGTGTGTAAGGCATTTAGCACAGTGTCTAGAACCTAAGTATTCAAAAAAGTAAAGAAATAAACCTATAAATTTCATTTCAGTGTTCTCAAATGTAGCTACTTGGATTAGCTATCACTATAATTTCTATTTCAGAAAATAAATTCTTGAACTTAAAGTTTTAGAACTCTGTTACACATGTATCCCCTCTTGGCACAGATCATTGCTATCGTTTCCCTCCTACAAGCCAGGCTTGTAGCACTTCTTCTAGTAGACTCACAAGTCTGGAGCTTGGACTCCAAGCCACTCTCACCAACTTCATAAGCTCAGTCTCTTCCAGAGGGCCTTCCAGTGCATGTGTCTCTGCACCTATATATCTTTTTTCTTTTTAGAAATTTTATAAACTTCTTGAAGGCAAAGTTCATATTAGATACTGTATTTCTCCTCTTAACCTTAGGGCTGTATTAGGTTCCAAAAATGCTTAATGATGCATCACCACAGTAACTGCGGCTATGCTATACTTCCACCAACCAATGGATAAACCCCTCCAAGCATTCTATAAAAAGAGTTTTACTATCTAAAAATGGGAATAATAATACTAACATGGAATAGATGTATTCAAAATGTGCAATATGAATTCCTCACACTATACAAGGATCTTAAGAGTTTGGCATACCAGCCAGGCACAGTGGCTCACGCCTGTAATCCCAGCACTTTGGGAGGCCGAGGCTGGAGGATCATGAGGTCAGAAGATTGAGACCATCCTGGCTAACATGGTGAAACCCTGTCTCTACTAAAAATACAAAAAATGAGCCGGGCGTGGTGGCAGGCACCTGTAGTCCCAGCTACTCAGAAGGCTGAGGCAGGAGAATGCTGTGAACCCGGGAGGAGAAGTTTGCAGTGAGCCAAGATAGTGCCACTGCACTCCAGCCTGGGCAACAGAGCGAGACTCTGTCTCAAAAAAAAAAAAAAAACAATAGAGTTTGGCATATCATAAATG
The DNA here is from genome assembly GCF_000001405.40 of Homo sapiens. Taxonomy (NCBI): domain Eukaryota; kingdom Metazoa; phylum Chordata; class Mammalia; order Primates; family Hominidae; genus Homo; species Homo sapiens. Next base: position 61,954,729 of record NC_000001.11, on the reverse strand, counting down.
TAAGAAAAAGATAAAAGTAAATTGTTTAAAAAATACATATCTAAATATGTAAACATGATAGAAACTTAGGAGTGATATTTCTTACCTCCTGCCCCATTACATTCAGCAAAAAAGAGGCAGTCTCTGCAAGAAAGTAACTTTAACTGCTACTTAATTTTTGATATATTATTTTCTTAATTGAAATAACAATGCCCTCTCTTTGTTCAACATTGGATCAATTAAAATGATGAGTGTTTAACCTATACTTATATATATCAAACCTAAAATACTTTAAAGTGACATAAAACTACTGAAATCAAAGCAACATAAACCCATGTAAAATAATGTGTTTCCAAGCAAGAACAAAAGAAAAGGTAAATTCTCTACAGACCGAGGCCTCATCCTTTATTTATAATTCTACATATTACTTTTTGTAAAATATGCCAAAAAGAAACATGAAATAGAAACATGCTTTTAAAATTGACTGAATGCCAAAGCAGTGAACATAATATAAGATAGACTAAGTCATAAGACTACCAAAGTGTATTAAAATACTTTGGAGTTAAATGTGTATACATAAATAGAAGCTTTTAATAAATGTTGAAAATACTGATTATAGAAAATCAATCCTGATCATGAACACTGAAAAAGTAACTTACATATAACACATAAATATGTGTCCATTTATGAGACACTTTGATAGTTAACAGCCTTTCTAAAAGTGAGTTTATATATTAGTTCAACAAAGCGCAAAGGACACATAAATTCCTAATGACTAGATATACTTGACTCACTTTCTAGAAAACTGCAATGGGGATTTTCAAGGGTTCCACTGCGGTGTTTGGAGCCTGGACAGTGGCGACTTCAAGTCAGTGTGGTAGAGATTAAGAAAATGATCAGGGATGGCCAGTTATACTCAGGAGATTAAAGCATACATGTATTATAATCTGGAGAAATAGATTTTTAAAATCAAGAAATTTCCTAAAATAAAAGGAAAATGAATAAACTGCTCTGAAGAGTCTGAGGAAAAGCAGGCAGGATCCACAAATATCCAGGATGATCCCTATAAGTTGCCTTGTCAATACAAGTTTGAGAAGCAGTATTAAAAAGATGACAGACAACTGAAAGCAATTCCAACTGCAGAATGAAAAGAAACACAATATAGTCAGACAGTTGTCACTACAGGGAATCTGTGACGCATCCATTTAGGAGCTATAGCATTTCCTCCAAATCAAAATAACAGAATTGAATACTAGGTAGTTCAGGACCCCCACAGGGATATCTTCAGAAATTATATTTTAAACAAAAGTTCTTGCTCAATAGTTTTGACAGCATAGCCACAAATAAGGTTGGCTAGCTTAAATCAGGAATGCAGCAAATATTCTACTGTTGCAGTAGAAATAACCTAATTTGCGTGTGCACTGCTGAAAATAAAAAGAAAGGCTATAATGTCATGTCTAACTCTTGAGTTAACAATTGCCTCCCTTAGGCAATAATACTTATGCAAGAATACCCCTATTATGTCTCAATATTCCATTTTATTTAGATAAAAAGAAGCTCTGATTTTAAGAAATTAATTTTTTAAGTCAGGCAAAAGCATAAACTAAGAGTACTCTATTGCATGAAATTATATGGCCAATGTAGCAATGATTGCAAGAACCATTATGTTAACAAGGAAGTCAGTGGTAATACTTCCAAGAGCTGAGCCCCCACCCCTAACGAATTTAAATTTGTAGATTTAGATGAATGAGGCACCAAACACAACTAGCAAATAAAATAATTAATGTGTTATTTTACAATTTAGAAAAAGCAGCCTTTTGTTTACTACTATGAGTCCTTAGTGATATTCTGCTTTCATCTATAACAAAATGCTGAATGGTCAGTTTTTAAAATTAACCAGAATAACCTAGTTCTAACATAAATAGTCTTCCCTTTTTATTATGGTGAAGTCACAAGTAACAACAATAATGATAATAAATGTCCTGGAGGTCTACTTCTCAATTACAATTCTGAAAGGAGAGAATACAGCATGAACAGTGTTGAGAATCTTGGCAGTGAAACTACTGGTATATCTTTGACAGTCTGATTAAACTGCTCCACTTTTCAAAAACATCATAAGGACATTCAAACTACAGTGCACATGAAAGAAAATTGCAGGGGTTTGTTTCTAATGTACAATCACCTTGCACATGCATATGTGCCCTCGCTCTCTTACTTAAGAAAAATGCCTTGGCTTACCATTGTCTAAACCTTTAAAACCACATTCTGCACCAACACTAAAACAGCATCAGATTGCATTCCGAAAGAACCACAGATCACACAGGCAACAGAAATCTTACCTGGGAAACCCCCTTGGACCATTGTTGTGTTCCCTTCAGGGTATCTGCATTCCTGACAAATATCCAATGCTGGACGCAGCTCAAATCCTCACCACAGACTCCTCTCTCTTCTGACGACCTTGGGCCTATTTTTCTCTCTCTCTCTCTCTCTCTCTCTCAGATTTTGTTCTCTTTAAGGGCAACCTGTCAATCTATTTATATCAGGAAAAGCAATCAATTAAGCTAATTTCAAGCTAGTCCTCAAGCTAAACAGTCACCTCTGTCAGCAGGTGAAAGCTGCCTGGAAAACTATGCCGGAGAAGCAAAATCCCTGGTTTCCCACATCAGACCCTTGGATGCTTCACGCTGCTGACTGTGACACTCAGTTACCCTGCTCGCCTCAGGATAATAGCTCTATTTCAGAACAGGAGGCATTATAACCTCAACCATTTATTGTGGCCAGCTTCAATTAATATCATTTTAATGACCCAGCTTTCCTGCTGAGAAACGGTTCATCACATTAGTTACATCTTTCAAATGCAAATTAAAAGGAAACAGCAGTTGATTTTAGCCTGTCCAAAGTGAGGGGAACAGTCACCAACTTGCTCTCTCCTTAATGCTCCCAGCATTGAATCATGTTTATAACAAAGAAGCTGGTGAACCACACTGAGCATGTGGTATCTCTCCCCTAGCGAGATTCATTTGTATCTCAGTAACATTCTAAACGTGCAGTAAAGATTCTATTTAAGCAGTCAAGCCTTCAAGTTAGCTTTCAGGGGGGAAAAATATAAAAAAAAAATGTAGCTTCAGAAAACCCACTAGAAAAATGGTTGAGATTTCTTAAATTTCACTCAAAGTGCTACAGTGCACCCCCTACCCTACCCTACCCCCCACACACCTGAATACCATTATTTAACCAATTACAGTGACTTCAGAAGTATCTACCAATTATACAGTATAATCTTTCTTTGTAAAATGCAGAATAAAAAAATCATCTATGTGATCACTGTATCATATGAGTAATACTTAAAAAGTCAAGAATACCCAAAGAAAACTCAAATACTACTCAAAAGGTATTAAACAATACAATTTTTAATTTACAGTTATAATAAATACATCCAAATTATATCAAGCGCTGAAGCTGAGTTTTCAGAATAAAAAAAACAATAAAAAGCCAAGTTCATCAGTTTTCTCCAATTACAGAGCTAGAATACAAATTCTACTAAATAACTTTTTTTTTCCTTTTTTTTTTTTTAGACAGAGTTGCCCAGGCTGAAGTGCAGAGGTGCGCTTTTTAGACAGCTCTGTTGCCCAGGCTGAAGTGCAGAGGCGCGACCTTGGCTTACTGCAACTCCACCTCCCCGGTTCAAGCAATTCTCCTGCCTCAGATTCCGAGTAGCTGGGATTACAGGCATGTGCCACCAGGCCCAGCTAATTTTTGTATTTTTAGTAGAGATGGGGTTTCACCATGTTGACCAGGCTGGTCTTGAACTCTTGAGCTCAGGTGATCCGCCCGCCTGGGCCTCCCAAAGTGCTAGGTTTACAGGCATAAGACACTGTGTCAGCCTATTTTACTTAACTATGAAAAGCCCAAAAATGGATGATTGTGTAGGAAATGAGAAAAAGAATTTACATAAAACTAAAAAATGAAATCAGCCTTTATTTCTAACACTTTTCCATCCTATTTTGCATTGCCAAAAACAAACAAACAAAAAACAAAAAAAAGAACAAACATACTCAAATATTTGGTGAAATGAACATATAAATTTTGTTAAACACAGTTTGACGTGAACATTCTTAACATTCTTTAAATGCTTGGTAATAATTGCTGTTGATTGTAGTGACACCTATTGGCAAGGTAGAGATCAACTACAGAGTCCACAACGATACAAAAAATAGACAAAATTTTAAACCAAAAGAACTACTAGTTGCTCAATAAATCTTTATTACAAGTTTGCTTCATGCTAAAAACTGGCATGGCACACAGAGAAAGGCACTGGAAGGAAGTGCCTACATGTGGCCCTGAACATCAAATGAGAACCAGATTCTAGTGCTGGTTTCATCAGTAACTAATTTAGTGGTTTGGGGCAAATTAATCACTCTCTGTCTCAGCCTCCTCAACGTAAAATTAGATACCAAATGAGCTCTAAGGTTCTCAAACGCCATCACTGTCAAAAAAATACGTTGCTGTTGATTACTATACTTTTATTCCCTTATTTATTTATTTTTTAGGTGGAGTCTCGCTCTGTCACCCAAGCTGGAGTGCAGCAGCGTGATCTCGGCTCACCGCAACCTCCGCCTCCTGGGTTCAAGCGATTCTCCTGCCTCAACCTCCCCAGTAGCTGGGATTACAGGCACGTGCCACCACACCCAGCTAATGTTTTGTATTTTCAGTAGAGATGGGTTTCACCATGTTGGTCAGTCAGGCTGGTTTCGAACTCTTGACCTCAAGTAATCCGCCTGCCTTGGCCTCCCAAAGTGCTGGGATTACAGGCATGAGCCACCGTGCCTGGTCCCTTCTTTGCTTTTTTGAGACAGAGTCTCGCTCTGTCACCTAGGCTGGAGGGCAGTGGTGTGATCTTGGCTCACTGCAGCCTCTGCCAGGTTCATGTGATTCTCCTGCCTCAGCCTCCCAAGTAGCCAGTATTACAGGCATATGCCCCCATACCTGACTAATTTTTGTATTTGTAAAAAGACAGGGTTTCACCATGTTGAGCGGGCTGGTCTCGAACTCTTAACCTCAAGTGATCCACCTGCCTTGGCCTCCCAAAGTGCTGGGATTACAGGTGTGAGCTGCTGCACCTGGCCTATTCACTTCTTGGAAGTAATTTACAACCTGATCTCTCTTCTTTAATGTAGATCCTTTTATAATAACTTTTAACTCTCTTACGCATGTGATTCTTTAATTTAAAATTATATTTAACTTTGAAACATTTTTAAAAGTTTTACTGAGTATAATTTGCACACTATAAAATTCACTCACTGTAAATATACAATTCAATGATTTTTAGTATATTGGAGTTGTGCAACCATCACAACTATTTGGTTTTAGAACCTTCCCACTTCCCACCACCCCCCAAAAATTCCATCAAACCCAATCGCAACCCAGGCCTGCTTTCTCTCTATATAAATTTGTTTTTTATGGACAGTTTATGAAAATGGAACCATACAGTATGTAATGTTTTGCAGCAGGCTTCCTTTTTTTTTCTTTTTTTTTATTATTATACTTTAAGTTCTATGGTACACGTGCACAATGTACAGGTTTGTTACGTATATATACATGTGTCATGTTGTGCTGCACCCGTTAACTTGTCATTTACATTAGGTATATCTCCTAATGCAATCCCTCCCCGCTCCCCGCCGACCCCACAACAGACCCCAGTGTGTGATGTTCCCCACCCTGTGTCCAAGGGTTCTCACTGTTCAATTCCCACCTACGAGTGAGAACATGCAGTGTTTGGTTTTCTGTCCTTGTGATAGTTTGCTGAGAATGATGGTTTCCAGCTTCATCCATGTCCCTACAAATGACATGAACTTCTCCTTTTTTATGGCTGCATAGTATTCCATGGTGCATATGTGCCACATTTTTTTAATCCAGTCTATCACTGATGGACATTTGAGTTGGTTCCAAGTCTTTGCTATTGTGGATAGTGCCACAATAAACATACGTGTACAAGTGTCTTTATAGCAGCATGATTTATAGTCCTTTGGGTATATGCCCAGTAATGGGATGGCTGGGTCAAATGGTATTTCTAGTTCAAAATCCTTGAGGAATCACCACACTGTCTTCCACAATGGCTGAACTAGTTTACAGTCCCACCAACAGTGTAAAAGCATTCCCATTTCTCCACATCCTCTCCAGCACCTGTTGTTTCCTGACTTTTTAATGATTGCCATTCTAACTGGTGTGAGATGGTGTCTCATTGTGGTTTTGATTTGCATTTCTCTGATGGCCAGTGATGATGAGCATTTTTTCATGTGTCTGTTGGCTGCATAAATGTCTTCTTTTGAGAAGTGTCTGTCCATATCCTTTGCCCACTTTTTGATGGGGTTGTTTGATTTTTTCTTGTAAATTTGTTTGAGTTCATTGTAGATTCTGGATATTAGCCCTTTGTCAGATGGATAGATTGTAAAAATTTTCTCCCATTCTGTAGGATGCCTGTTCACTCTGATGGTAGTTTCTTTTGCTGTGTAGAAGCTCTTTAGTTTAATGAGATCCCATTTGTCAATTTTGGCTTTTGTTGCTATTGCTTTTGGTGTTTTAGACATGAAGTCCTTGTCCATGCCTATGTCCTGAATGGTATTGCCTAGGTTTTCTTCTAGGGTTTTTATGGTTTTAGGTCTAACATTTAAGTCTTTAATCCAACTTGAATTAATTTTTGTACAAGGTGTAAGGAAGGATCCAGTTTCAGCTTTCTACATATGGCTAGCCAGTTTTCCCAGCACCATTTATTAAATAGGGAATCCTTTCCCCATTTCATGTTTTTGTCAGGTTTGTCAAAGATCAGATGGTTGTAGATGTGTGGTATTATTTCTGAGGGCTGCTTCTATTCCATTGGTCTATATCTCTGTTTTGGTACCAGTACCATTCTGTTTTGGTTACTGTAGCCTTGTAGTACAGTTTGAAGTCAGGTAGCGAGATGACTCCAGCTTTGTTCTTTTTGCTTAGGATTGTTTTGGCAATGCGGGCTCTTTTTTGGTTCCATATGAACTTTAAAGTAGTTTTTTCCAATTCTGTGAAGAAAGTCATTGGTAGCCTCATGGGGATGGCATTCAATCTATAAATTACCTTGGGTAGTATGGCCATTTCCGTGATATTGATTCTCCCTATCCATGAGCATGGAATGTTCTTCCATTTGTTTGTATCGTCTTTTATTTTATTGAGCAGTGGTTTGTAGTTCTCCTTGAAGAGGTCCTTCACATCCCTTGTAAGTTGGATTCCTAGGTATTTTATTCTCTTTGTAGCAATTGTGAAGGGGAGTTCACTCATGATTTGGCTCTCTGTCCATTATTGGTGTATAAGAATGCTTGTGATTTTTGCACAGTGATTTTGTATCCTGAGACTTTGCTGAAGTTGCTTATCAGCTTAAGGAGATTTTGGGCTTAGATGATGGGGTTTTCTAAATATACAATCATGTCATCTGCAAACAGGGACAGTTTGACTTCCTCTCTTCCTAATTGAATATGCTTTATTTCTTTCTCCTGCCTGATTGCCCTGGCCAGAACTTCTAACACTATATTGAATAGGAGTGGTGAGAGAGGGCATCCCTGTCTTGTGCCAGTTTTCAAAGGGAATGCTTCCAGTTTTTGCCCATTCAGTACGATGTTGGCTGTGGGTTTGTCATAAATAGCTCTTATTATTTTGAGATACATCCCATCAATACCTAGTTTATTGAGAGTTTTTAGCATGAAGGGCTGTTGAATTTTGTCAAAGGCCTTTTCTGAATCTATTGAGATAATCATGTGGTTTTTGTCTTTGGTTCTGTTTATATGATGGATTACTTTTTTTGGTTTGCATATGTTGAACCAGCCTTGCATCCCAAGGATGAGGCCAACTTGATTGTGGTGGATAAGCTTTTTGATGTGCTGCTGGATTCGGTTTGCTGGTATTTTACTGAGGATTTCTGCATCGATGTTCATCAGGGATATTGGTCTAAAATTCTCTTTTTTTGTTGTGTCTCTGCCAGGCTTTGGTATCAGGATGATGTTGGCCACATAAAATGAATTAGGGAGGATTCCCTCTTTTTCTATGGATTGGAATAGTTTCAGAAGGAATGGTAGGAGCTCTTTTTTGTACCTCTGGTAGAATTCGGCTGTGAATCCGTCTGGTCCTGGACTTTGTTTGGTTGGTAGGCTATTAATTATTGCCTCAATTTCAGAACCTGTTATTAGTCTATTCAGAGAGTCAACTTCTTCCTGGTTTAGTCTTGGGAGGGTGTATGTGTCCAGGAATTTATCCATTTCTTCTAGATTTTCTAGTTTATTTGCATAGAGGTGTTTATAGTATTCTCTGATGGTAGTTTCTATTTCTGTGGGATTGGTGGTGATATCCCCTTTATCATTTTTTATTGCATCTCTTTGATTCTTCTCTCTTTTCTTCTTTATTAGTCTTGCTAGTGGTCTATCAATTTTGTTGATCTTTTCAAAAAATCAGCTCCTGGATTCACTGATTTTTTGAAGGGTTTTTTGTGTCTCTATCTCCTTCAGTTCTGCTCTGATCTTAGTTATTTCTTGCCTTCTGCTAGCTTTTGAATGTGTTTGCTCTTGCTTCTCTAGTTCTTTTCATTGTGATGTTAGGGTGTCAATTTTAGATCTTTCCTGCTTTCTCTTGTGGGCATTTAGTGCTATAAATTTCCCGCTACACACTGCTTTAAATATGTCCCAGAGATTCTGGTATGTTGCGTCTTTGTTCTCATTGGTTTCAAAGAACATCTTTATTTCTGCCTTCATTTCATTATGTACCCAGTAGTCATTCAGGAGCAGTTTGTTCAATTTCCATGCAGTTGAGCGGTTTTGAGTGAGTTTCTTAATCCTGAGTTCTAGTTTGATTGCACTGTGGTCTGAGAGACAGTTTGTTATGATTTCTGTTCTTTTGCATTTGCTGAGGAGTGCTTTACTTTCAACTATGTGGTCAATTTTGGAATAAGTGCGATGTGGTGCTGAGAAGAATGTATATTCTGTTGATTTGGGGTGGAGAGTTCTGTAGATGTCTATTAGGTCTGCTTGGTGCAGAACTGAGTTCAAGTCCTGGATATCCTTGTTAACTTTCTGTCTAATGTTGACAGTGGGGTGTTAAAGTCTCCCACTATTATTGTGTGGGAGTCTAAGTCTCTTTGTAGGTCTCTAAGGACTTGCTTTAGCAATCTGGGTGCTCCTATATTGGGTGCATATATATTTACGATAGTTAGCTCTTCTTGTTGAATTGATCCCTTTCCCATTATGTAATGGCCTTCTTTGTCTCTTCTGATATTTGTTGGTTTAAAGTCTGTTTTATCAGAGACTAGGATTGCAACCCCTGCTTTTTTTTTTGTTTTCCATTTGCTTGGTAGATCTTCCTCCATCCCTTTATTTTGAGCCTATGTGTGTCTCTGCACGTGAGATGGGTCTCCTGAACACAGCACACTGATGGGTCTTGACTCTTTATCCAATTTGCTAGTCTGTGTCTTTTAATTGGAGCATTTAGCCCATTTACATTTAAGGTTAATATTGTTATGTGTGAATTTGATCCTGTCATTATGATGTTAGCTGGTTATTTTGCTCGTTAGTTGATGCAGTTTCTTCCTAGCATCAGTGGTCTTTACAATTTGGCTTGTTTTTGCAGTGGCTGGTATCGGTTGTTACTTTCCATGTTTAGTGCTTCCTTCAGGAGCTCTTGTAAGGCAGGCCTGGTGGTGACAAAATCTCTTAGCATTTGTTTGTCTGTAAAGGATTTTATTTCTCCTTCACTTATGAAGCTTAGTTTGGCTGGATATGAAATTCTGGGTTGAAAATTCTTTTCTTTAAGAATGTTGAATATTGGCACCCACTCTCTTCTGGCTTGTAGAGTCTCTGCTGAGAGATCCGCTGTTAGTCTGATGGGCTTCCCTTTGTGGGTAACCCAACCTTTCTCTCTGGCTGCCCTTAACATTTTTTCCTTCATTTCAACTTCGGTGAATCTGACAATTTTGTGTCTTGGGGTTGCTCTTCTTGAGGAGTATCTTTGTGGTGTTCTCTGTATTTCCTGAATTTGAATGTTGGCCTGCCTCCCTAGGTTAGGGAAGTTCTCCTGGATAATATCCTGCAGAGTGTTTTCCAACTTGGTTCCATTCTCCCTGTCACTTTCAGGTACACCAATCAGACGTAGATTTGGTCTTTTCACATAGTCCTATATTTCTTGGAGACTTTATTCGTTTCTTTGTACTCTTTGTTCTCTAAGCTTCTCTTCTCCCTTCATTTCATTCCTTTGATCTTCAATCACTGATACCCTTTCTTCCACTTGATCAAATCGGCTACTGAAGCTTGTGCATTCGTCACGTACTTCTCGTGCCATGATTTTCAGCTCCAACAGGTCATTTAAGGACTTCTCTACACTGGTTATTCTAGTTGGCCATTCGCCTAATCTTTTTTCAAGGATTTTAGCTTCTTTGCAATTGGTTCAAACATCCTCCTTTAGCTCGGAGAAGTTTGTTATTACCAATCGTCTGAAGCCTTCTTCTCTCAATTCGTCAAAGTCATTCTCTGTCCAGCTTTGTTCCGTTGCTGGTGAGGAGCTGCGTTTCTTTGGAGGAGAAGAGGCGGTCTGATTTTTAGAATTTTCAGCTTTTCTGCTCTGGTTTCTCCCCATCTCCATGGTTTTATCTACCTTTGGTCCCTGATGATGGTGACATACCAATGGGGTTTTGGTGTGGATGTCCTTTCTGTTTGTTAGTTTTCCTTCTAACAGTCAGGACCCTCAGCTGCAGGTCTGTTGGAGTTTGCTGGGGGTCCACTCCAGACCCTGTTTGCCTGGGTATCACCAGCAGAGGCTGCAGAACGGCAGATGTTGCTGCCTGATCCTTCCTCTGGAAGCTTCGTCTCAGAGGGGCACCCAGCCGTATGAGGTGTCAGTCACCCTCTACTGGGAGGTGCCTCCCAGTTAGGCTACTCGGGGGTCAGGGATCCACTTGAGGAGGCAGTCTGTCTGTTCTCAGATCTCAAACTCTGTGGTGGGAGAACCACTACTCTCTTCAAAGCTGTCAGACACGGACGTTTAAGTCTGCAGAAGTTTCTGCTGCCTTTTGTTCAGCTATGCCCTGCCCCCAGAGGTGGAGTCTACAGAGGCAGGCAGGCCTCCTTGAGCTGCGGTGAGCTCCACCCAGTTCCAGCTTCCCGGCGGCTTCATTTACCTACTCAAGCCTCAGCAATGGGGGACACCCCTCCCCCAGCCTCACTGCCACCTCGCAGTTCGATCTCAGACTGCTGTGCTAGCAGCGACCGTGGGCGTGGGACCCTCCAAGCCAGGCACAGGACATAATCTCCTGGTATGCCGTTTGCTAAAGCTGTTGGAAAAGCGCAGTATTAGGGTGGGAGTGTCCCGATTTTCCAGGTACCCTCTGTCACAGCTTTCCTTTGCTAGGAAAGGGAATTCCCTGACCCCTCGCACTTCCTGGGTGAGGCGATGCCCCGCCCTGCTCCATGGGCTGCACCTACTGTCTGACAAGCCCCTGTGAGATGAACCCGGTACCACAGTTGGAAATGCAGAAATCACCCAACTTCTGCGTTGTTCACGCTGGGAGCTGTAGACTGGAGCTGTTCCTATTCGGCCATCTTGGAATCTTCTCAGCAGGCTTCCTTTACTTAGCATGATGAGAATGTAGCAGCATTGAACTCCTTTTCATTGCTGAATAGTATTCCACTGTATGGATATACACTATGTATATCCTGTCACCAGTTGATGGACATTTGGCTTGTTTCCAGTTTTTGGCTATTATGAATAATGCTGCTACGAACTTCTGTGGAGTAGAGTTTGTGTGGACACATGTTGTCATTTCATTTGGGTATATACCTAGAAGTGAAATTGCTGGGTTGTATAGTAAACCTATATGCAGACTTTTAAAGAAACTGCTGGCTGGGCATGGTGGCTCATGCCTGTAATCCTAGCACTTTAGGAGGCTGAGGCAGGCGGATCACCTGATGTGAGGAGTTCCACCAGCCTGGCCAACACAGTGAAACCCCGTCTCTACTAAAAATACACAAATTAGCTGGGTGTGGTGGTGGGTGCCTGTAATCCCAGCTACTCAGGAGGCTGAGGCAGGAGAATTGCTTAAACCCGGGAGGCAGAGGTTGCCGTGAGCTGAGATCGTGCCCCTGTACTCCAGCCTGGATGACAGAGTGAGACTCCCTCTTAAAAAAAAAAAAAAAGAAACTGCCAAACTGCTTTCCAAAATGGCTGGACCATTTCACACTCCCACCAGCAGTGTATGAAGATTCCAGTTGTACTGTCTATCATTTTGCATTAAAATCATTCTAGTGAATGTGCAGTGATTTTAGTTTGCATTTCCCTAATAACTAATGATATTGAGGATCTTTTTATTAGCCATTCAGATGTCTTTGGTGAAGTATCATTTCAAGTTTTGGCCCATTTTCAAAAATTGAGTTAGTTGTTTTCTTATTATGAGCTGTAAAAAGAAATGCTTTTTTTCTTTCAAATAAGCATATTTTGTTATATAGAATTCAAGTAAATTAAATAAAGTTGAAAGCATATATTTTTTCTCAAACCTCCTCTCTCAAAGTAGTTCTGTACATTCTTCTGTACTTTTTTCAATAAAAGAAAAAATACTAGGAATCCTGCAAAGTTCAGCTTTGACCTTTAGAATTTGGTTAAAAACTGCTATTTGGCTTTGACCTCCAGAAGGCCAAATGAAAGATACATCATTCATGGCACCACTGAAGCAGTGCAAGATCAATAATCTGGTGACAGCACATGTTAAGAATGAAAACAAAACTGTATTTATTAATGGCAATAATTCAAACAAGACTGACATTTGGATTTACTGTTACTATTTAGAGTAGCATTCTTGAAGTAACTTTGAAGTGAAAAATCTCTTTCAGTGACAAATGTGGTTGCTATGCTGAAATTCTATCAATTAATTGAAGTAGAATGGTTATTACTACCAGAGTAAAATATTAAAATAATTAAAGACAGGGATGAAAGCTGTAAGTTTTTATATTAAAATTTATTAAAAAGTTAAGTAGGAAAAAATGTTGACAGTTAATATGACTATTAAGAGAATTAACTTTTATTTATTTATTTATTTATTTATTGAGACAGAGTCTCACTCTGTTGCCCAGGCTGGAGTGCAGTGGCATGATCTGTGCTCACTGCAACTTCCACCTCCGCAGCTCAAGCAATTCTCGTGCTTCAGCCTATCAAATAGCTGGGACTACAGGTGTGTGCCACCACACCTGGCTAATTTTTGTACTTTTTGTAGAGATGGGGTTTCACCATGTTGGCCAGGCTGGTCTTGAACTCCTGATCTCGAGAGATCTGCCTGCCTCAGCCTCCCAAAGTGCTGGGATTACAGGCATGAGCCATCGTGCCCGGCTGAAAATTAACTTTATAAACAACATTATACTCTTTGTGAGTCAACAACTGTTCATAAAACGTAAATGCTACAAGGTAGAATAATAAAGTTATGCCATAAGTTTGTTGGGAATGTTTGGCAAACTAGCACTCACATTAAACAAAGTAAACTTTAAAAGCTATTATTTTTAGTTTTTAGATTCCATCTGAACCATTAACTTTTCTCAAAAAATTTTCCTGTGTATTCTTCCTACGTAGGGAGAAATGAAGTTAAAGTAAAATGTCAACCCTACAGCATCAAAATTCCATAGGAAATATGCCAATTCATATTATATACAATTGCTTCTATGGCATATCCACCTTTGATCCAGGGAAAATAAAGAGTAAGAAGAGAAAAAGTATTAGAGAAAAGTGAAGTACTCCAAAATGCCTTTCTCTCCTAGTGATCTCAGTTGAAAGTGAAAATGTAATACTGTGAAGATGCAAAGGTGAGCAGAGAGAATCCAGCAGTAAACAGTGTTAATAAAGTACCGGTCCTATTCAATCTTGCTAAACTTAAAAAAACTGACTTCCAAAATTTAAATAAATTAAATAATAATTTTAGATAAAAGGTTAACATACTCTTATGCTAGAATTTCTTTTTCTTTTCTTTTTCTCTTTTTTTTTTTTTGTTTTTTGAGATGGAGTCTTGCTCTGTTGCCAGGCTGGAGTGCAATGGCATGATCTCAGGTCACTGCAACCTCCACCTCCCGGGTTCAAGTGATCCTCCAGCCTCAGCCTCCCGAGTAGCTGGGACTACAGGTGCGTGCCACCACACCCAGCTGATTTTTTGTATTTTTAGTAGAAATGGAGTTTCACCACGTTGACCAGGATGGTCTCAATCTCTTGACCTCGTGATCCGCCCATCTCGGCCTCCCAAAGTGCTGGGATTACTGGCGTGAACCACTGCGCCCGGCTAGAATTTCATTTTCTAATGGCAATATGTGGCACACATTGAAGAATTTTATATTACTACTGATAATAATAAAAAGCAGTAGCTAGCACTTCTGCTAGCATTTCTGGAGCACTTCCCATGTGCCACTTCTTATATAAATGCATATCTTCTAATCTCTCATAATAACACTGTGAAAAGGGTATTATTGTTATCATATTCCCAATCTTAAAATGAGGAAACTAAAGGAAATAGATGCGACTTGCTCCAGCTCAAATGCCTACAAAAATTTAGAGGCTAAGTGGCTTAGTCAAAGTAAATGATGTATTAAATACATAAATATATATTACTACAATTGCTATTAGTAAAAAATGCTGAAGTAAACATCTTTGTAGAGATATATATCTAAATACACATATATTTACATGGACAATGACTCCCTTAGGATATGAAGCTGAATTATTCTGTCAAAGAATAAGCATATATAGGCCGGGCGCGGTGGCTCACACCTGTAATCCCAGCACTTTGGAAGGCCGAGGCGGGCGGATCACCTGAGGTCAGGAGTTTGAGACCAGCTTGGCCAACATGGTGGAACCATGTCTCTACTAAAAATATAAAAATTAGTCAGGCATGGTGGTGGGTGTCTGTAATCCCAGCTATTCGGGAGGCTGAGGCAGGAGAAACACTTGAACTGGGAGGCGGAGGTTGCAGTGAGCCGAGATCACACCACTGCAGTCCAGCATGGGCGACAACGTCTCAAAAAAAAAAAAAAAAAAAAAAAAAAGCACATAGAAACTTTTTATACATGCTGCCAAACGGGTGCTCAAAAAGAGGTAAAATGATTCCTATTCCTACCAACAGTATATAACAACTCCTGTTTTTCTACAACCACTCTAACAATGATGATTAATATTGTTAAAATATTAAGTACTCTGATAGGCAAAAAAAACCTGATTTTTATAGTTACACTTATTATTAGTGAGGCTGAACACAGATATTTTGTACTTGTTACCCAAATATAACTTATTTTGTTAAATACTGCCTGATCTTTGCTTGTTTTTCTATTGTCCTCTGACTGTATATATATGTGTGTGTGTGTGTGTCTTTCTTCTGACTGTGTGTGTGTGTGTGTGTGTGTGTGTGAATGCAAAGTTTTTAATTTTTATGTAAGAAAACACATGATCATTGTCCGTTATTGTTTTGGTAATAATAATTTGAAAGGCTTTTCTCTGTACCAAGGTTATATTTTAAAAATACCTTATATAGACTTTTTGTAGTATTTCTATGATTTCAGTTTTTAGAATTACATGAATTTTTTTTTTTTTTTTTTTTTTTTTTGAGATGGAGTCTCGCTCTGTCGCCCAGGCTGGAGTGCAGTGGAACGATCTTGGCTCACTACAACCTCCGCCTCCTGGGTTCAAGCGATTCTCCTGCCTCAGCCTCCCAAGTAGCTGGGACTACAAGCGCCCGCCACCACGCCTGGCTAATTTTTTTTTGTATATTTAGTAGAGACGGTGTTTCACCAAGAATTACATGATTCTTTTTAAATCAATTTGTAATTTTCTTGAGAAGATCTCCACATTTTATCCCCAAATGAGTACACAGTCGATCATTTATTGAATCATCTATCTTATTTCTACTATTTAGAAAAAAAAATTTTTTTATGCTCTAAATTCTAAATAAACACCTGGGACTATTTCTACACCAATTTTAATGCAAATATTGAACTGATTTTATTCCTGCAGTTAAAAAATTATTTATTTATTTATTTTTAACAGAGATGAGGTCTCACTATGTTGTCCAGGCTGGTCTCAGACTCCTGGGCACAAGTGATCCTCCTGCCTCAGCTTCCCAAAGTGCTAGAATTACAGGTGTGAGCCACCACACACAGCCTATTACTGTTAGTTTGTTTTTTTATTTCAACTTTTATTTTAGATACAGGGGGTACATGTGCAGATTGGTTACATGAAAATATTACATGATGCTGAGGTTTGGCATATAGATCCCTGTCATCCAGGTAGTAAGCATAATACCAGATAGATAGCTGTTTTGTTTTGTTTTGTTTCTTGTTTTTTTTTTAAACACCCCACCCTCTCTACTACTGCAACTTTAAACAATGTTTATAATCAAGAATGCTGTTACAATACTAGCACTCTGGACAAAATAATTCTTCCTTGTAAGGGACCATACCTTGATACCCCAACCAATCAATGACAGTAGAATCCCCCATCCACTTAGACCAGGGGCCACTTGGCAAGGTGCAGAAACGTTTTTGGTTGTTATAACTGTGGTGAGTGGGAGGGTACTATCAGCATCTAGTGGGAAAAGGCCTGGGATGCTGTTAAACATCCTACAATGCAAAGGACTGCCCCAAAACAAAGAATTATTCTCTCAAGACAGCAACAGTACCAAGATGGAGAAAACACTCACATTCATGTCTAAAAGCTCCAGACTGAGTTTGAAAAGCACCAGTTTAGAAGAGATTCAGATACAAAAAAAGGCAAGTCCCTAGGCCAGGCGTGGTGGCTCATGCCTGCAATCCCAGCACTCTGGGAGGCCGAGGCAGGTGGATCATCTGAGGTTGGGAGTTTGAGACCAGCCTGACCAACATGGGGAAACCCTATCGCTACTAAAAACACAAAATTAGCCAGGTGTGGTGGCGCATGCCTGTAATCTCAGCTACTTGGGAGGCTGAGGCAGGAGAATCACTTGAATTCAGGAGGCGGAGGTTGTGGTGAGCTGAGATCGTGCCATTGCGCTCCAGCCTGGGCAACAAGAGCAACGCTCCGTCTCAAAAAAAAAAAAAAAAAGAAGAAGAAAGTCCCTCGTCATTATCTTTCTTTTCCAAAACTGCCTAGTATTTTATCTCTAAGTCAATTTTCAATCAAGTGCTTGTATTTTTTTTAAAGACTATTCCACCTAGCAAGCAGATGGATTTAAATTACCTTAAATTTACAGATGGATTTAGAAATAACTGAAATCTGTAATACACTTAGTTTTCCAATCAGGAAAATAGTATGGCACTCTATATTTTTCCCAAAATCTTTAATAAAGTTTCCTAATTTTCTATAAGAAAGAAACTATATTGTAGTCCCAGCTACTCAGGAGGCTGAGGCGGGAAGATTGCTTGAGCTCAGGAGGTCAAGGTTGCAGTGAGCCAGGATCATGCCACTGCACTCTAGCCTGGGTGACAGAACGAAACTGTCTCAAAACGAAAAAAGAAAGAAACTATGGGGATTGTTAACCAGTGGTCCTTGAATTCTTAAATGGGCTTCAAGACTCCCACAAAGCTGAAAAAATGTTACATAAAATGTTGTGTGTATATGTGTGTGCACCCATGCACATGGGTGACAGTGTTTCTGTGTATTTGCATACATTTTTCTGGGGAGTAGGTTTATAGCTTTCATTGCAGTGGCACTGAATAAACGACTCGAAGCTATGAGTCATTGCCATGACTTTTATGTTCCGAATTGCATTGTTCCTGGATATTTCCTATTTTTTACAGTTATTGCTATTAGGAAATTTATATCACATTTCCTAAGTAGATAATACTGATAAGAAGATTTAAAAAGATGTATCATTCGGCCAGGCGTGGGGTCTCATGCTACCTGTAATCCCATCACTTTGAAAGGAGGCCGACGTGGGCAGATCACTTGAGCTCAGGAGTTTGAGACCAGCCTGGTCAACATGGTGAAACCCCATCTCTACTAAAAATACAAAAATTAGCTGGGTGTGGTGGTGTGTGCCTGTAATCCCAGCTACTTGGGTGGCTGAGGCACGAGAATCGCTTGAACCCTGGAGGCGGAGGTTACAGTGAGCCGAGATCACGCCACTGCACTCCAGCCTGGGTGACAGAGCGAGAGACCCTGTCTCAAAAAAAATAGAAGTACAATTCATATATAGCCTTACTTATTATAGCCAAAATACTCTGTAGGTTTTGAATTTTTGAGACTGACAATTATATGACCATCTGTAAATAATAATTTAATTTGTTCTCTTCCTTTCCGGCTTTTTTTTTTTTTTTTTTTGGTCTTGGAAGAGGAGAGGAGGTGAGCTTAATGCATTGCTAGGTTCTTGAGGACAGTGGGGCTAGCAAGTATTCTGTTTTCTCCTAAACTTGAATATAGAATATTTTTTGCAAGAAGGGGAGAGGTTTGGGATAGGTTTCCTACTCCACTCCATGGGAACACATAAGAATTACTTTTTAAAAAATTAAAATATATATGTATATATATTTTATATGTGAAATGAATTTTAAATAAATATGAAGTGGAGTGACTGCTAATGAGTAGGGATTTGGGGGGAAGTGTGATGAAAATGTCCTAAATGTTCTAAAATTAATAGTGGTGACAGTTGAACAATTCTGAATATACTGAATTGATAGCCACTGAATTATGCATTTTAAGAAGGTGAATTATATGGTATGTGAATTATATCTCAATAAAGTTGTTATTTTTTTTAAAGTTATCCCTTCTAAGCTTAAAAAAGACTGTGACTCTGAGTAACAGAATTGATAATAAACCACATTTCACAAGGACTTAGCTAGTATCCTGTTCTTAAAATAATTGAAATAAAACAATAAGAATTAAAGTAAAACATGAAGATGCAAGGAATTGGTAATCTAAGTTTTTATTTGCATCGGGCAGTACACAGGTTAATTTTTTTTTTTTCAGACAGGGTCTCACTCTGTTGCCCAGGCTGGAGTATAGTGGCACAATCATGGCTCACTGTAACCTTGACCTCCCAGGTTCAACTGATCCTCCTGCCCCAGCCTCCTGAGTAGCTAGGATCATAGGCATGCACCAACACACCCAGTTAATTCTTTTGTTTTTTGTAGACAGGGTCTTATTATGTTGGCCAGGCCAGTCTGGAATTCCTGGGTTCAAGCAACCCACTCGCCTTGGCCTCCCAAAGTGCTGGGATTAGAGGAATGAGCCACTACGCCTGGCCACACAGGTTAATTTTATAATTATGCTTCATAATCCAAATATACTCTTTATACCAAACATTCCATTATGATATAAGATGACCAGGTCTTTTCTGGGAAAAACAAAATTAGGGTGGAAAAACAAAATTAGGGTAGAAAAACAAAATACCTATGACAGCGTGCTTTTCTGAAATTAAAGTATAAAGGAAGGGCTTTAGGATTCCTACAGTGTGGGGTTCCATTCATATCTCTGCTAGGTCCTTAAAAGCCAGTGGCAGCAAACAAGTCAATTATACTGAGTTTCTAGGACCTTATCTGCATAGACAGAGACATGTCTATAATGTGGTTCTCATTGTTTCTTTATGACTACTCTCTTACATGTTACAAAAAGTCATTCCAAAGCCTTCTGCTCCCCATAGTTGAAAAATGTCGCTGAAAGAATGAATGCTTGCAGGTTAGAAAGACCTGGCTGTTGTAAAAGCATTTAACCTCTGGGATCAAAGTGATCAAAGCAGGGATTTCTGGGGATAGACGCTTCTCTCTCAGGAGACTGAAGCTTTTAGATAAGGTAGGAAATGGCATGTGGGGAAAGAGAAGTCAAGCTGTTCTGCACAGAATGCTCCGAAACTAGGTGGATGGTGCGGTTCGGCAGAAAGAGTATCTCCGAAGCACCACGAGCAAACCTGCATTTTCATCACATCCCCACTGTTGACTATCCGAGGCATATACCCTCTGCCATTAATTCGGCCAAATACTAGGTTTGTATAACGTCCCAGGCCAAAACAGAGAGGGTCATTAGCCTCATGGAACTTAGAGTGTTAAGTGGGGAAGACAGATATTAATCTAGTAAGTACATTAAAATGATATTTTGTTAACTGCTATAAAGGAAAAATGCAGGAATCTATACTGAACTAAGGAGTCAGGCAAGCTTTTCCAAAGGAGGTGACACTAAGCTGAAATCAACAGAAGGTATAATACCTTCTTCAAAGGCTCTTCTGTATATCCAATGAGAATGCATTCAAAGAGTTGGGGAGAATGTATGGCACATAGCAGGTACTCAAGAGACTGTGATTATTACCGTGTAATTACTAAAACTGTGGTGATAAAAATGTAAAGGGCTGGGCATGGTGGCTCACACCTGTAATCCCAGCACTCTGGGAGGCCAAAGCAGGCGGATCACCTGAGGTCGGGAGTTCAAGACCAGCCTGGCCAACATGATGAAACCCCATCTCTACTAAAAATACAAAATTAGCCGGGCGTGGTGGCGCATGCCTGTAATCCCAGCTACTTGGGAGGCTGAGGCAGGAGAATCACTTGAACCCGGGAGGCAGAGGTTGCGGTGAGCCGAGATCGTGCCACTGCACTCTAGCCTGGGCAACAAGAGCGAAACTCCATCTCAACAACAATAACAACAACAACAAAATACAAAAATTAGCGGGGCGCAGTGGCATGCACCTGTAATCCCAGCTACTGAGGAGGCTGAGGCAGGAGAATTGCTTGAACCCGGGAGGCAGAGGTTGCAGTGAGCCGAGATTGCACCACTGCACTCCAGCCTGGGCGACAGAGCAAGACTCCATCTCGAAAAAAAAAAAATGTAAAGGAACAACTACGAATGCGAAAGAGACTGGGAATAAAGATTCATGTATGTTTGTTGATCCATTGTCAGGAAGAGAAATAACAAACAGAAGAGAAGTTTCATTTTAGGGTTGGGGGATGGGAGTGCTGGTAATGGCTTGAGCCAAAACTGAGACTAGAAGGTAAAAGGTCAGCCTTGGAGAAGACATAACATTTTATTTTGGTTAGAAAATTGAAAGTGCTAGTGGAAAAAAGACATGGCATCTTCTTAACAGCCTACTAAAAATTTGGGTCATAAGATCAAAGAAGGATTAAAGTTAGAAAAGAAGACTTTCAAGTCACCACATAACAGTCAACTGAGTGATCTCTTTATGCTCTCAGTGATCTTGAATTCTTTTTTTCCTTTTTTTTTTTTTTTTGAGATGGAGTCTCACTCTGTCGCCAGGGTGGAGTGCAGTGGCACGATCTCGGCTCACTGCAACCTCTGCCTCTCAAGTTCAAGCGATTCTTCTGCCTCAGCCTCCCAAGTAGCTAGGATTACAAGGAGCCCGCCACTACGCCCAGCTAATTTTTTGTATTTTTAGTAGAGACGGGGTTTCACCATGTTGGCCAGGCTGGTCGTGCACTCCTGACCTTGTAATTCGCCTGCCTCAGCCTCCCAAAGTGCTGGGATTACAGGCGTCTGATTTTAATTCCAGGTATGAAAGGCCATTTCCACAAAGTTAAGTCAAAAGTTCCTGCACCATCAATACATACCTTTGACAAATCCTGCAACCTTTGATAATGGTAGTTTTGCCAAGAGCTACGCATTGATGCAGTACATTGTTTCTTAATTTTTTCATAATTCTCAATTAATTTCACTAATTGAACCAGAGTTCAATTATAAGACTTCTTACGATAATTAGACACCAGGATGTCATAAAATATGTGCAACTATGCAAGATAAGTGAGCTAAAATAGAAATGCCCATTACATACCAAACTCTCTATATTGGTTGTTACATTTAAGTTTCATAATAATCTGAACAATAATTACTATGCTTATTATTTTTTGAGGGGGTCGGACAGAGCCTTCCTCTGTTGCCTAGGCTGGAGTGCAGTGGCGCAATCTCGGCTCACTGCAACCTCTGCCTCCAGGTTCAAGTGATACTTGTGCCTCAGCCTCCCGACTAGTTGGGACTACAGGTGTGCAACACCACACCCAGCTAATTTTTGTATTTTTAGTAGAGACGGGGTTTCACCATGTTGGCCAGGCTGGTCTTGAACTCCTGACCTCAGGTGATCCACCCACCTCGGCCTCCCAAAGTGCTGGGATTACAGGGGTGAGCCCCTGCGTCCCGCACACTACAGTTATTTTATCAAGCGTCCTCTTTCTCTTCTTCCTCATCAATTTCTTGTTAAATTCAATGGTTATTTTCATGTCTCCAGCCTCCTCAACTTCTTAGCAGCATTCCACCCTTGACCATTGAAGGTCAGTGACAGCCTTCTTGAAACACCTTTCTCTCATAAACAACACAATCCCCTAATCTCCTGGAAGTGCTCCTTGCTGGCTCATGGAGCAGGTGCTGGGTTTGCTTCTTGTTGCTGTCTACACACTACTCCTAAGTAAACTTATGGGCTCCCATGACTTTAAAGACCATTTCGATCAGTGGTTTCGGTTTTCAGAGTGTAGTCTCTGGATCGGAAGTATAATACCAGCATCACCTGGAAACTAATTCTAAATGCAAATGATCAGGTCCAGGCTTAAGGAATCAGAAATGGCTGGGGCTGTGTGTGTGTTGGGGGGGCAGGCAGGGAATGACCATGACTATCAATTACTGTTTTAACAAGCTTTCTGGAACCTCCTGAGGCACACTGAAGTTTGAAAGCCATGGATCTAAATTAGTGTTTTTCATAATGCAGGTTGCGACTTGTTTGTTAGTCATAAAATATACTGAGTTGCAACCAACATTTAAAAACATGAAATAGAATAAAATAAAAAGAATAAAATTCACACATTATAAAGGTAAGTAATATTTCATGAAACTTTTGTTTCAGTTTTACATACATGTTCCTGTGTGTATGTGTGCATCTATACTGGTTAAGTGAAGTGTATTTCACTGTGGGTCACAGTCTCAAAAAAGCCCTTATCTATATGATGACTACATGAGCCAGATCTTTGCAGTGTGGTTCCTTCTTCATTTAGGTTTCATTTTTGAGACAGAGTCGCACTCTGTCATTCAGCCTGGAGTGCAGTGGCATGATTTTGGCTCACTGAAACTTCCACCTCACAGGCTCAAGCTATCCTCTCACCTCAGCCTTCCAAGTGGGTGGGACTATAGATGTTCACCACCATACCCAGTTAATTTTTTGTAATTTTTGTAGGGATGGGTTTTGCCATGTTGCCCAGGCTGGTCTTGAACTCCTGGACTCAAGTGATCCACCTGCCTTAGCCTCCCAAAGTGCTGGGATCACAGGCGTGAGCCACTGCACCCAGCCTATTTGGGCTTTTCTTAACAATTCTTTGTCTCGTCCAATGCACTTATTCTCATGCTATCATGTTTTGTTTTTATTTTTTATTTTTGTTTTAAAATTTATTTTTAACATAATTTTTAAATTTTATTACTTTGTTTTATTCATAGTCCTTATCACTATTTAAACTATCTGATTGTTTATAATCTTTCTCCCCACCAGAATCTAAGCTAATGAGAGCAACAGCCATGTTCCCTGCCATATTCTCAACACCTAGAACAGTGTCTCCCAAATGCATAACATCCACTCAATAAACACTTCTTATCTGAATAAACTTTATAAATAAGCAACTAGCAAAGCCAGCTCTTAACATGCTTTAGACTAGTGTGTGATGGCTCACGCCTATAATCCCAGCACTTTGGGAAGGATAGTTTGAGCCGAGGAGTTTGAGACCAGACTGGGCAAAATAGCAAGATTCCATCTGTACAAAAAAAATAAAAAAATTAGGCTGGGCGTGGTGGCTCATGCCCATAATCCCAGCACTTTGGGAGGTCGAGGCGGGCGGATCACCTGAGGTCGGGAGTTTCAGACCAGCCTGACCAACATGGAGAAGAAACCCTGTCTCTACTAAAAATACAAAATTAGTGGTGGCGCATTCCTATAATCCCTGCTACTCCGGAGGCTGAGGCAGGAGAATCGCTTGAACCCAGGAGGCAGACGATGCAGTGAGCTGAGATCATGCCACTGCATGCCAGCCTGGGCAACAAGAGCAAAACTCCATCTCAAAAAAAGAAAAAAAAATTAGCCAGGCTTGGTGGCACACACTTGTGGTACCAGCTACTTGGGAAACTGAGGCTTCAGTGAGCCATGATTGAGCTACTGCACTCCAATCTGGATGACAGAACAAGACCCCATCTCAAAAAACCCCCAAAACCATGTGTATCTCATCCCTGGATCTCTCTAATAAAATCAGCACTTCCCTGTAGGCCTAGGGCTTACACTGCAGCCATCCGCTTCAGAATCATGGTCCTTGGGAAAGTTATGTAGCCATACTTTCATCACTGTAAAAACAAAGGCTTAGTCTTCGGACAAGAATCTGATAAAACAGCAACCCGAAATACTTTTAGTTTAGACAGATGAGCAGAGTGTTCATTTAACATGAGTCAAGGAACAAAGAAAAACCCATGGGATCTATTTCAAAGGGAAATACGGGAAGGCCAGAGGCTTCAGGTTCACTTGCATTTCAAATGTGAATTATCTAACAAATACCTCCATACAGTTCAAATTCTTCTGGAGGAGGTTAACAGTAAATTTAATGGGGTGTAAAATGGGGACTGTACACGGGGAAGGAAAAAAATTAGGAAGCAAAATGAATGAAGAGAAAAGTAATATATACAGCCAACATAGGTCTCCTGGAGAATCTGTGAAATGTATAATATTATAGCTCAAGAATGGCTCAATATTAGAAGTCTTTTTCTGCATTTAAGGTAAATTAGCCTCCTTCCTGACCCCACTGCTGCCGTGTATATGTGCCTGTGCATATGAGCTTGTAACTTTGGGGAGGACACTGCTGAGTCTGCCTATTTTAGGCATAAAAGTGATATTTAAAAGAGAACCCCAAATCACTCTGTACCTATTTCTTTTCTTTTTTTTAAGAGAGGGGGTTTCACCATGTTGGTCAGGCTAGTCTTGAACTCCTGACTTCAGGTAAGCCGTCTGCCTCGGCCTCCCAAAGTGCTGGAATTACAGGCGTGAGCCACTGTGCCCAGCTGTACCTATTTCTGCAATCATAATGAGTTTTAAGTAACAGCAAGTATCGATGATGTTATAGGCTCTGGAGTAAGAGTACATGGGTTTGAACCCCATTTCTACTATTTGTTAGCTGTCTAACTTTGGACACATTCTTTAATTTCTCTGAGCTTTCATTTGTATAATTAGAACTTCACAAAGTTAGTATGTTGACTGAGTTAATACTACACATAAAGGCTTTAAAACAATGCCTGGCACATGGTAAACCAGAGCATTTACTAGGTATCACACTGCCTGTACTAAGCTCTTCAAAAGCTTTTTCTCCTCTAATTGTCACAACAATACTATGAGGCAGGTTATAAGATATTCGCTCACCCCCACATAGATAAGCAAGTGTGAATCATGAAGAAGTTAAATAACTTTTCCAAAAACTCACAACTAGCAAGTAATAGAACTAGGATTAGAACATAATCTTAGGTGCACACCTCAACCAGGTTTCCCAATAACTGGGCAAATACTGGCCTTCTAGGAAACCAGAATGTATGGAGTAACAACAATTCAGCTCCATTCCGTGGCAGCTGACATGATATCTATATCAGAACAAGGAAATATATTACACATGTGCACATACATATCAACTTTTTACACCATGTGTAGCTCTCCAAAAAGAAGCTGAGAACTAAAGCCCACAGTACACTTATCACACTTTATTCCCATGCCTTTGCATTATCCCTTCCGAGGTGGTGGCTCAATCAAGACAAAAGGAGCAATGTGTTATTCACTTCATAGCAGACTCACTTAACACTGTTACTAAAAAGCAGATGGTATTCAACAAAGATTTATTGAATGCATGAAGAAAATGACACGAGAAAGGGCTTCATAAAATTGCAAAGTACAATTCAAGTTTTTATAATCAGCTTAATTATCATAAAGTTATTTATTTTATATTTTATTTCTATTTATATATTCGTTATTATATTAAGAAAAATATAAATAGTAATTATTATAACCATAATAGGAGCTATAATACTTATCAAAGACTCACTATGTGGCAGGTTAAAGGCTTTATTGCTTTATTTTAATCCTCATTACAACCCTATGAAGTAGGTATCATTATTGTACCCTTTTTATAGAGGAGGGCATATTTAAGGTCACACTCTAGGAACTGCTAGAGTAAGAATTTTGACTCAATTTCAATATTGAATTCCTTTTCTATATTGTAGAAGGGAAAACATTCTGTTAAGGAAACATATGTTTCACATACCATAAAATTCACCAGTTTACAATGTATAAGTCAGTGATTTTAATATATTCACAAACTGTACAACCATCACCACTATCTAATCTTAGAACATTTCATCACCTCCAAAAGAAATTTGGTATACATTAGCAATAGTATACACTAGACGCACATAAAAGAAATGCAAATTATTTTAGGTAAAGCCACAGTTAAATATATGTATGAATGCATATTTGATTCATCTAATGCAAAAGAAAATCATGAAATGAATTTTAAAGGACAAAATACAAGTTGGTGGGCCTTCTGTAATCCTGCATTAGCAACATCACTTTGAGTAAGGCAAGTAATCAACAACTGAAATCTACATCCAACCCAGATAATTATGGGTCAAATTCTAATTTCAAAGACTAGGGACATTTTTGTATTCACAACCAAACAATAAGATTAGAAGGGAATATAGGAAAAATAGTGTACAGCATAGCTTCCTTCAATATTCCCTTTCTCAGTGTCCAAGGGAAAAGCTTAGGAAATGACGCCACAAAAGCTTCAAAGGTATAGATTTGATTTTTTAGCATACATTCATGCACATTTTTGAAGAACTCACAGCCATATATTTGATAATTTACAACAGTCGTTAAAACATAATTTAATAAGTTCTGCATCTACCCTAAATAGTGAAAAGGCACTCACGGTCGGTAAAGGCATCTTCTTCTTCATTTTCATCACTGTCATCAGTCAGAGCTTTATAAGGAGGAGGAAGTTTCATTGGCGGTGGAGCAGTTCCTTGCCTCTGAAGATGCAAAATTTGAGAGAAGGGTTAAATGCTTCTTGTACAATGCTCTTTCTTCAATGACAAAAAGCATAAAAAGATAGTCTGGAAATATTTAGACCATACCCAACTTCATTCATATCATGAGGACTGTAAAACAAACACAATGTATTATTTTAGGCTTATGTTATAATATAAAAGTGACTCTGTGGTATAAACACACTAATGCAGAAAAACAGGAATTTAAGAGCAAGCTTTTAAGACTGCTGACCTACCTAAAGGAGTGCATTCTTTCTCTAGTGAGACAGTCAGTTATTTGTATCTTCTATACATTGTAGAAGCTTAATTTTGTTATTAATCAGAAAATTCAAATGAAAGACATTTCTAAAATAAATGTAAAAGTAAAAACTATCCATTGTATTAATTCTACAATGATTTAAACTTTTTCTTCAATTGTAGAAGTTACAGATTTTATTCTTTAAAAGACACGTGACATACCAAGATTTTCTAACTGAAAATGTATTCATCTATAATTTATAGATGGTCAACACACATTTTAACATTTTCAAAAAGAGATATCTTCATGATGAATAATTATATCTGCATAAATATTCATTCAATTCACATACCAAATGATACAGCACATCAATATTTGGTTCATACACACAATTAAAGTAGAACTAAACTCTATGATCAAATTACCTTCACAGAATGAAGACATTTTCTTGAACGCTGGGAAAAATAAAACATGCCAAACTCAACGGTGAGACTCAAGCTGCTAAAAAGAATAGGAGCCGATATACCCAAGCACTCCAGAAAAAACAAAATAACTGGATTATGCTACAGGATTTCAGTAAAGTACATTCAATTATGCTTTATATGACAAAACCACTAATGGCAGGATACACTTCAGTAAGTGGCCAATGAGTGGTCCATTACAGAAAGCAGGCTTGTAATAAATTCCTCCAAAATAG
This sequence comes from Homo sapiens, assembly GCF_000001405.40. Taxonomy (NCBI): domain Eukaryota; kingdom Metazoa; phylum Chordata; class Mammalia; order Primates; family Hominidae; genus Homo; species Homo sapiens. The sequence continues at coordinate 61,926,776 of NC_000001.11, read as the reverse complement.
AAAATACTATTTGAGAGTCATAAAGGAAAGCACACACCCATATTTACTTAAGATAATGTCGAACCAAAGCAGAAACTATATACACTTGTAGAAAATCCAAAAATCTATAAAATGCAACAGTGATGGCAGAAGATGCCAAATACAAAATGCCTCTTAGGCAATAGGAGAATACAGAAATGTGATCACTTTGTCTCTTTAATTCTTGTAAGTTGAAAAAAAAACTTAAAAGTGAGTGAAATGAAGAGTAAAGGCAAATGAACTCTTTTCAGTAAACCTTTTCCTCAGAACCAGGATATTCTATATCAAAGACAATACTCAGAACAAAGACAGCCAGGTTTTAAACTAATATTAAGAGATGAATTCTCTTTAATGGAATTTTTTACATCTAAGGCAAAACTGTACCACTGATTTATTTATTTAGCTTCTACTGATATTCTTGAAAAAGAATATAGAATAAGCATGTCCTGGTCTCCTTATAGTCTGAATGTGGATTGCCAGATACTGCATGTGAGAGAAGGGTGTGTACAGGGCCAGGCTCTCCCCAGATGTGGCAAAGGCAGCTGGAGCAAGGGATGTACAACTAGATCAGGTGATTATGACCTTCACCAGGGTAGAGCACAAAACAGACTCTGGTATCCTCAACTCTGAGAACAGTCCTGGGAACACAGTAGGCCTCCCTGAACTATTTGCTGAATGACTAAACAACTGGTTGTCACTTGTGCTGTTTGGGTTCCCTGACGCATTATTAACCTTAGAAAAATGTCAGAGATGCAAATAATTCTTGTTCAATGTCATTGCATATTAATTTTGTCTGGTAGAGATGCAAATGATTTTAGTCCTATAGAAAAGATCACTTCAAAGGTTACAGTTTTATTGCCCTGTAAGACATTAACCAGTTTTGTATCTAAATTGGAATCTTAAGCATTCTTTCTTTTAGCACTCTCTTCAATAGCACTTCACTCTCTTCAATTCTCTCTGAACCAGGCTTACCATCTTATTGGTTCCCTCATTAATGAGTTAAACAAATACCTGGCACCTGCACATTTTGCATAATTTTCAGTCATGTTTTTATTTTTTTCTTAAATTATACTTTGAACAGTTTTGGAGGTCCCACAGAGATGCTCAAGCAGACTCACCTACCAGAACCAATTAAATTGTGATGCCTCAGAGATGCAATTCATGAGCTGTTTAAGCCCATTTACATGATTTTTTGGCACCCACAGTTAATTCCAAGTGGCAACAAACTTTGCTTTTTTGACAGTTTCTCTGATTTTTATTTCCAGTTCTATGATTTTGTTTCTGATATGAGACCAAGTTTGGTTCTGATGTGTACTTGTAATTCCTCGCTGATAGTAGGAATAAATGAAGTTTGGTTTTATGGTCTGACCATTTAGAGTTATTTGTTGGGATGAGAATCTATATTATGCTGCTTCTATAAAGATCTATTCTCGATTGATTGAGAGACAACAGAGAATGCATTTTTTAGTCTTCTTGTTTGCCTGTCTGTCTTTTTTTTTTTTTTTTTTTTTTTTTTTTTTTTTTTTTTTTTTTTTTTTTTTTTTTTTTTTTTTTTTTTTGAGACGGAGTCTCGCTCTGTCACCCAGGCTGGAGTGCAGTGGCGCGATCTCGGCTCACTGCAAGCTCCGCCTCCCGGGTTCACGCCATTCTCCTGCCTCAGCCTCCCGAGTAGCTGGGACCACAGGCGCCCGCCACTACGCCCGGCTAACTTTTTGTATTTTTAGTAGAGACGGGGTTTCACCTTGGTCTCGATCTCCTGACCTCGTGATCCACCCGCCTCGGCCTCCCAAAGTGCTGGGATTACAGGCGTGAGCCACCGCGCCCGGCCGCCTGTCTGTCTTTTTGTACAAGAACATGTCTTGGGTCCTACTGGAAAGAACAGCTCTTTAACGTAAAACCAGTAGGGTTTTACATTCCTATGTCTACATTTGACATATGGCTATAGCTGCAGGACAGAAGCAGAATACATTGTGTATCTGCACTGGAGAAAGAAAAGTCCTTACCTTTCATTTTGAGTGTGAAATATTTTCCTACCTTCAGAGCATATTAATAAATTAGATATAAATCTCTCAAAATAAAGAATCTCTTTCTGATTGGTTTATATAAGTGAGCATTATTTAAATGTAATATTCCCAGAGTTTCCAGAAAATAGTTGACTAAAGTTATACTACTTTAAATGTACAAGCCTTTTAATAATAATTTTAAGAATCTCTTTTTCACAAAAACCACAAACTCAGAATCATTTTTATATAAGGATCCAAATTCACATAATCAAAGTTCATAATCTCTTGAAGAAAGAGAATATGTGAAATAACACTGAAGAAAACCTTAGAAAATAGCCAAGAGTTTTTAGGAACCCACAGTTAATACTAGTATTTCTTTTCTGTTTTTGAGACAGAGTCTCACTCTGTCATCCAGGCTGGAGTGCAGTGGTGCCATCTCAGCTCACTGTAACCTCTGTCTCCCGGGTTCAAGCAATTCTCCTGCCTCAGCCTCCCAAGTAGCTGGGATTACAAGCTCGTACCACCACACCTGGCTAATTTTTGTATTTTTGGAAGAGACGGGGTTTCACCATGTTGGTCAGGCTGGTCTTGAACTCCTGTCAAATGATCTTCCTGCCTCGGCCTCCCAAAGTGCTGGGATTACAGGCATGAGCTATTGTGCCTGGCCAGTATTTCTATGAATCCTGATTGCCTATTCTTTCACTCTACGTAATGCAAAACAGGTCAAAAAACAGTGAACTGAGGCAAACTAGAACAAAACTAGAGACTCATTCAAGATCTGCTCATTAGTTTTCTGTTCGTTTGTTTTTAGTCACTTTTTTTTTTTTTTTTTTGAGATGGAGTTTCAGTCTTGTCGTCCAGGCTCGAGTGCAATGGCGAGATCTCAGCTCACTACAACCTCCGCCTCCTGGGTTCATGCGAGTCTCCTTCCTCAGCCTCCCAAGTAGCTGGAATTATAGGCATGTGCCACCACAGCCGGCTAATTTTTTTTTGTATTTTTAGTAGAGACAGGGTTTCACCATGTTGCTCAGGCTGGTCTCAAACTCCTGGCCTCAGGTGATCCACCCACCTCAGCCTCCCAAAGTGCTGGGATTACAGGCATGAGCCACCACGCCCGGCTAGTCACTCTCTTTTTTTAAAGTGAATGATCTCAAACCAAACCTAGACCTCTGTTAGAAATGAGTTTCGGGTGATTTGTATTGTCAATGATTCTAGAGAACATGTCTTGCTTTTATATTAAGGAGAAAATAAGATAAACAAAAAAAACTTCTTCTAGTGATAATAATTTTTAAAGAGATAGATTAGTCTCCTGGCCTCCTAACTTTGAAAAGAGTACGCTCCCAAAGCATGCTGGGCACATTTTTATTTTCATACTAATTACATTCTCTTTATTTCACTACATGTGGCACCATGATCTGAATGCCTCTTATGGTGAAGGCGCCTTGTCATTCCAGAATGTAGTAAAATGCTTGGCATCTAAGATGCAATTTCAGAGAAAAGTAATACAGTAAAAAGAGCATTCTGCAACCACTAAAAGACCATCTGTAATGAAGATGTAGATTCTGATATGATTTCTCCTGTTGCCACATTAACGCAGTGGCTAGGTGTTTTTCTTTGTGACAAATAACTCAGTTGACTTTTGGTATTACTGGGCTCCTACTGGGGTTTTTACTGAATGCAAATATCCTTGCCATGTATTGAAATTCAATTGGTTTAATGGAGCAGTCCAAAGTTGATAAGAATCACACATTTACTTTTTTCTTTCCTGGGATCTTATGTGGAATTTTCCTGAATTGATTACATTATCTTGTTCCCAGATGTGGCTGGAGTAGTAACAAGTTCATTCACCTACGTGGTGTTCATTGTCTGTGTCCCCACAGAGTATTACCTTATATGTTTCCTTTTTGATGTTATATCCCCAGATTGTTGCACAGTAACTGGTTCACTATAGGTAACCAATAAACACTTGATGAATGTTCACATCTTTGCATCAACATATGAATTGACAAAATTCCAGCAATAGGGTAGATTAGATATTCAGAAGAACCCTTCTTAACCACACAAAAATGACAGATTAAAGTTTAAACAGTGCTTTTGTGACATGTGACTGAAGTCAGAAACAAAAATCCTAAATCAGGAGGTCCAGTGGAGCACTGGAAGGTGACACTTGCCTGGAGGGCATCTGCCAATCCTTGGAAACCTAAAGCCAGAGATCTCTTTTGATTTTAGGACTCTTTATTCATTCAAGAAATATATATGATGCCAGGCAGTGTTCTGGGTGATAGAGGTAGAGTAATAATGCAACAGATGAGGTCCCTGCCCTCATGGAGCTTAAATTCCAGTCCCTTCCAGATGTCACATTTTGTGGGTTTCCATGTCTTGTCCCCAAATTACTTTAAAGTAGCAGTTACTGGCCAGGCATGGTGGCTCACATCTATAATTCCAGCCTTTGGGAGGCTGAGGCGGGCAGATCGCCTGATGTCAGGAGTTCAAGACCAGCCTGGCCAACATGGTGAAACCCCATTTTTACTAAAAAAATAAAAAAATTAGCCAGGTGTGGTGGTGTGCACCTGTAGTCCCAGCTATTTAGGAGTCTGAGGCAGGAGATTTGCTTGAACCTGAGGGGTGGAGGTTGCAGTGAGCTGAGATTGCACTACTGCACTCCAACCTGGGTGACAGAGGGAGACTCCATTTTGAAAAAAAATAAAAATAATAAAAATAAAGTAGCAGTTACTGATTCTATCCTGTTTGCCTTGCCCCACTAGAAATGCAAGCTGCAAGACAGCAGGAATTTTTTTTGTCTTTAACAGCTTTAATTCAATATATTGAAGTATAATTGACATGTACAAAACTGCACACATTTAAAGGATACAATTTGAATCCATCACCACAATCAAGATAGTGAACATAACCATCATCCCTAAAAATCTGTTCATGTCTTTTTTAAATCCCTCCTTCCCACCTCTTCCCCTGACACCTCATTCCCAAGGAACCCCTGATCTGTTTTCTCTCACTACAGATTGTATTTTCTAGACTTTTTTACAAATATAATCATCCAGTATCTACACATTTTTATTTAATGAGAGATAAGGATTTAATGAGTCCCAAGTGCCCCCTTGAGGCCAAGGAAGGTGGGAAGTTAGACTAAAAATATCACCCTCCCAAATTCCTATCCCTGAAAATAAAGGCTTGTACCTCTAAAAGATTGACAAAGAATTCTGCAACTAATTACCTGCAATCTGTAGGGAAAAAGAAACACCTCTGCAAGCAATAATCACCATCTTCTGGAATCTTATATATTACCTATGCTTATTAATAGGTGTCCCTCTAAAAAAACCCACAACAGCCTGATCATATGACATGTGCTACTGCTAATCTGAATATAATCTTTGTGATTAAAATCTGAACTGAAAGACAGTGGCCAATCCAGTTAAACAGACAATCCTTTAATTTGGTAAACAACCTAATGACACTTTTCCTCATCTTTTTGCAAAAACTCTTTCCTTAAATCCTCAAGGAGTCAGTGTCTTGACTGGCCCCCATGTATATGTCTGTAATTAAAGTTGTCCCATGGGTTCAATTCAGTTATGTCTTTTTTCCTAATGGGGTGAAATCTGTAGTAGATAAAGGTTTAAAAAAATAAACAAACCAAAATATTGATCACAGAAGATATATTTCCTGGTCTTTGTCTTAGCTTGAGGTGGAAGAGAAAAAGAGGAAAAAGGTGCACCTTAAGAATTCCATACAAGAGGCCAGGTGCGGTGGTTCATGCCTGTAATCCCAGCACTTTGGGAGGCTGAGGCGGGTGGATCACCTGAGGTCAGGAGTTCAAGACCAGCCTGGCCAACATGGTGAAACCCCATCTCTACCAAAAATATAAAAATTAGCTGGGCATGGTGGGCATTCCTGTAATCCCAGCTACTCAGGAGGCTGCAGCAGGAGAATCACTTGAACATGGGAGGTGGAGGTTGCATGAGCAGAGATCACTCCACTGCACTCCAGCCTGGGCAACAGAGCGAGACTCTGTCTCAAAAAAAAAAAAAAAAAAAAAAAGAATTCCATACAAGTCTAGATTCACTGAAGTTAAAGACCTGACTTCATTTTATGTGTGTGGCTTAACGAATTCCAACCCAACATGCCAGGCAAATATAAAAAGAAAGTCAACATGGTTTCAGTGATAGTGGGTATATTAGTCCGTTTTCATGCTGCTAATAAAGACATACCTGAGACTGGGAAGAAAAAGAAGTTTAATGGACTTACATTTCCATGAGGCAGGAGAGGCCTCATAATCATGGCGGAAAGCAAGGAGGAGCAAGTCACCTCTTATGTGGATGGTGGCAGGCAAAGAGAGAGAGCTTGTGCAGGGAAACTCCTGGTTTTAAAACCACCAGATCACACTATCACGAGAGTAGCACAGGAAAGACCCGCCCCCATGATTCAATTATCTCCCACCAGGTCCCTCCCACAACACTTGAGAATTCAAGGTGAGATTTGGGTGGGGAGACTGCCAAACCGTATCAGTGGGTGAAACAGATGTTTAAGGTATTACTAAACACTGCCACATATTAATAAAAGGGCCAATTTCCCAAGGATGATATAAAAATTTTAAACTTGGATGTACTTAATAAATTAACTTGAAAACATGTGAAATAAAAACTAAAAATACACAAAAAACAGACTAATTTTAGTATCAAAAGGGGCAATCATTAGGTTATGCTAACAAAAAAAATCAGTAAGTATAAGAAATCGGAATAACTCAAATAGTTAGTTTGATCTATCAACTTTTTATAAAAACCTGTACTCAATAACTAAATAATAGCTATCCTTTTTAATCACAAATATAACATTTCATAATAACTATGTACTAGGCCATTAAAAACATGTCTCAACCAATGTCAAAGAATTAATATTACATACACAACAATCTCTGATTATAGCTAAATTAGAAAATAAGAACAAAAAGATTTTAAAAAATATTCATGTGGAAACTTCAAAATATATTTCTAAATACATTTTGGGTCAAAGAGAAATCACATTGGAGCCTAAAACAAAAACAAAAACAAACAAACAAACAAAAAACCCTTAGTACCAAAAAACAGAAATTCAATTTAAAATTTTAGAATGTAGTAAACAGGAACTTAGCAAAACTTAGGCTAGAGGCAGTGGCTCAAACCTGTAACCCCAGCATTTTGGGAGGCTGAGGTAGGCAGATTGCTTTAGCCCAGAAGTTTGAGATCAGCCTGCGCAACATGGCAAAACCTCATCTCAAAAAAAAATACAAAAAACTAGCTGGGCGTGGTGGTGCGCGTCAGTGGTCTCAGCTACTTGGGAGGCTCAGATGGGAGGACTACTGGCAGTGAGGTTGCAGTGAGCCATGATTGCCCCACTGCACTCCATCCTGGGCAACAGAGTAAGGGCTGTGTCTCCAAAAAAAAAAGAAAAAGAAAGAAAAAATTTATAACCTTAAATGATTATTTTAGACAAGAAAGAAAGTAGAAAATAAATAATCTCTGCATTTAACTAAAGATTATTAAGGGGTGAAAAAGGGGAATGAATTCAAACAAGGAAGTAAGGCAATATAAAGATGAGAACAAAATTAATTAAGCAGAAAAAAGATATAACAGATAAGACGAACACACTTCAAAAGGTAATTCTTCAGAAAAAAAAATTAAATGAAAAATTACTTTCAAGATTAATCAAGAAAAAGATATAGCAAATAATTACCAATTTTATTTTTTACAATTTATTTTTCATTATTATTTGTTTTATTTTATTTTTTACTTTTTAAAAATTTTTTTGAGACAGGGTTTTGCCCTGTCCCCTAGGCTGGAGTGCAGTGGTGTGACCATGGCTCACTGCGGCCTTCCCTGGCTCAAGTGATCCTCCCAGCTCAGCCTCCCAAGTAGCTGGGACTACAGGTGCACACCACCACACCCAGCTAATATTTTATATTTTGTAGAGACAGGGTCTTCCCAGGTTGCCCAGGCTGGTCTTGGAACTTCTGGGCTAAAGCAATCCTCCTACTTAGGCCTCCTAAAGTTCTGGGATTACAGGAGTGAGCCACCAGGCCTGGCCATAATTACCTATTTCAGAATGAAAAAGAACTACTATGAATGGAGCAGAGATGATTAAAGTTAAGAGAAATGGCTGGGCACGGTGGCTCAGGCCTGTAATCCTAGCACTTTGAGAGGCGGAGGTGGGCAGATTGCCTGAGCTCAAGAGTTCAAGACCAGCCTGGGCAACACGGTAAGACCCATCTCTACTAAAAAATATACAAAAATTTAGCCAGGCATGGTGGCGCATGCCTGTAATCCCAGCTACTCGGGAGGCTGAGGCATGAGAATCACTTGAATCTGGGAGGCGGAGGTTGCAGTGAGCTGATGCCATGCCACTTCACTCCAGCCTGGGTGACACAGCAAGACTGTCTCCAAAAAAAAAAAAAAAAAAAGAATACACAAACAACTTTATGCCAACAAATGTAAAAAACTTAGGTGATATTAATATTCCTACAAAAGTCAATGACCAAAAATGACTAGGAGAAATAGAAAATCCAAATGATTCAATAACTATTAAAGAACTAAATCAGTATTTAAAATTTTTCCCACATAGAAAACACAGGCCCACAACGGCTTCATAGGGTAGCTTGACTAAAGATTGAAGGAATTGATAATGTTTTCTTTCTTTCTTTTCTTTTTTTTTTTTTTGAGACAGAGTCTCGCTCTGTCGTCCAGGCTGGAGTGCAGTGGCGCCATCTTGGCTCACTGCAACCTCCACCTCCCAGGTTCAAGTGATTCTCCTGCCTCAGCCTCCCAAGTAGCTGAGATTACAGGTGCACGCCACCAGGCCCAGCTAATTTTTGTATTTTTAGTAGAGACGGGGTTTCGCCATGTTGGTCAGGCTGGTCTTGAACTCCTGACCTTGTGATTCGCCCACGTTGGCCTCCCAAAGTGCTAGGATTGCAGGCATGAGCCACCACACCTGGCCAATAATTTCTTTTTTTATACAAACTCTCAGAGAACTTAAAAGAACACATGCTCCTACCGATCATTTTAGTAGTTTACCATAACCAAAGCCAGATAGGACAGTATATAAATGAAAATTTCCAGGCAAATCTCACTCATGACCATGGATGGAAAAATCCTAAAATAAATATCAGCAATGGGGAAAAACAAAACAAAACAAATAAATTGCATTCCAGTAATTCAAGATTGGTTCAACATTCTGAAATCTATTAATATAATTTACTACATTAAAGGATTCAAGGAGAAAAAAATTTATAGATGCACATACTTCTTTCACTGGAGATTAGTAATATATCTGATTAAATTCAATGCCAGTGCCATTCATGGTAAAAATTCTTAGCAAAGTAGGAATGAAAGAGAGTATTTCCTTAACCTGATTGAAGCCACCTTTGCAAAAATTATAACTGTCAGAAAACTATGGCAGTGAAAGAGACCTGACCTAACCAACTCCATCTTGCCTTTAACCTCCAATATCTTGGCCTTGTTCATCCCTGTGCATAGGCCAAGCTGACCATAGGAGGAATTTAGTTTATAGTTAAACTTTGGAACAAAGATGGTAACAGCTCTTTTCCAAAACAAACCCCCTACTTGCCTAGGGACCAGACCATCTTTGCAAAACCAACAAATTAGCCACAAGATTAGAAATTATGGTTTAGGAGTCATGCAGTCAGAAGCCACACGATTCCTAACCTCCTCAGTTGCTTCCATGGATAATGTTACTATTATAAAAACTAAGATTAGTGTTTAAGGTATTTTCCAGACTCTGTATTCTGATGGATCAGCCGACGTACCCAGACTGGTAAACTGACTTCTCTGGTCTTCTGCCTCACCTCCCCCAAGGAACTGACTCAGCACAAGAGGACAGTTTTGGACTCCCTATGATTTCATCACCAACCAAACTAATCAGCATTCCCCATTCCCTACCCCCAAAACTATCTTTGAAAGAAGACTCTAGCCTCCAAATTTTCAGGGAGGCTGATTCAAGTAATAATACAATTCCGGTCTCCCATTTAGTCAACTCTGTATGCATTAAACTCTTTCTCTACTGCAATTCCCCTGTCTTGATAAATCGACTGCATTTGGGCAGTGGGTAAGATGAACCCATCAGACAGTTACATGACAGATTATCTACAAATACCTACAGTACATCATATTCAACAGTGAAATATTAAAAGCTTTTCCTTAAATATCAGGAAGAAAAATGACAAGAATGTTAGCTATCATTACTTCTACTAAACACAGTACTGGAGGTCTTAGCAGATACAATAAAATGAGAGAAAGAAAGATTGGAAAGGGAAAAAGAAAATTACCTTATTCCAAAGAGTTTATTATTTATTATATGTATAGAAAATCCAAAAATAAAAATCTACATAGAATAAGAATTTGAGATTCATATTCTTATTAAAAATATCATATATACACACATATATATATGGAGCAGACACACAAAGACACTAAAAGGTTCTATATGAAATGTTTAATAAGTTTATCTTTAGGTGGTAGGTTTATATTTTTATTTTTTTGTTTCACCATTATGGTTTTCCCAGTATTCTCCACTAGATTATTGTATGTTTTAAAAGAATAATGTTACAAGATGTCAAATAAATATATAAAAGTCAATTTTATGTCTACATACTAGAAACAAACAGAAAACACAGTTTAAAGAGATATCATTAAATAGCAAAATAAAATACCTAGGAATAAATCAAGATTTCAGTATCTTTTTAAAGAAAATTATAGGCCAGGCGCAGCAGCTCATGCCTGTAATCCAAGCACTTTGGGAGGCCGAGGCAGGTGGATCACAATGTCAAGAGATCGAGACCATCCTGGCCAACATGGTGAAACCTTGTCTCTACTAAAAATACAGAAATTAGCTGGGCATGGTGGCACATGCCTGTAATCCCAGCAACTTGGGAGGCTGAGGCAGGAGAATCCCTTGAACCCAGGAGGTGGAGGTTGAAGTGAGCCAAGATCACGCCACTGCACTCTGGCCTGGCGACTGAGCAAGACTCTGTCTCCCAAAAACAAAAAAAAAAAAGAAAGAAAAGAAAATTATAAAAATTAATTAAAAGAAATAAAAGAATTTAACAAATTAAAAAATCATATTAATGGCTTAAAAGTCTCAACATCCAAAAGATATAACTTCTTTCTAAGTTAATCTATAGATTCAACAAAATTCCAACCAAAATCCCAAAAGAAACTTTTGTGGAATTTAATAATCTGATTCTAAATGGATATGGAAAATAAAAATGATATAAATAGTTAAGACATGTCTAAGAAGAAGAAACATATAAAAGAAAGTGCTCTATCAGGAAAAAAGATTGATTACTAGGCTTTAATAATTCCGTCAGTGCAGCATTTGTACTGGGATAGACAAGTTGATCAAATGGAACAAAGAGAAAGCTTAGAAACAGACTCCCCCTTGTAACCTGAGATACAGCAGAGTTGGACTGCAAATCAGTGGGTAAAGGAGGTCTATTTTAAAACAGTGGGACAGTAATTCCCCAAGAGAACAACAAGTTCTCTTGATGAGAAAAAATGAAAATTCATCCCTACTTGACACCACATCTTAAAATAATTTTTAGGTCAACAGATTCTACTTTAATAGAGGTGGGCAAACAGGAATGGAGGATTAATTCTGATTGACAGGAAGGATAGTTTTCTCAGGAGAGATGACCTTTGATGTGGTCCTTAAAGAATGAAAAGGATTCTTATGGGAGAGCAATGTGGGAAATGGACTTCCAGGCGAGAGCAGCAAGATCAAAGTCTCAGTGTGAGAGGCATGTTCTGGGAATGGACAAACAACCAGCCTGTCTGAACAGGAAAGAAATCTATAGACGTTGATGGCTGACTGGCCGTTTATAGTATTTTTGCATCTATGCTGCACCAGGTTTCTGTCCTCCATCCTGGTAAGAACCAGTCATATTTGCAGGGAAAAAAATTATAAATATAGTGCTCCTACAACACTGACACTCATCAAAAAGCCACTTCTATTATAGCCCAGATATGGAAAACAAAAACAAAAACAAAACAAAAACATTTTTTAAATCCTTGAGAGGTTCAAGTTACCTTTTCTTTCTTTTCTTGGGTGTCCTGGTTCTGGTTACCGGTGATTTTGTTGGCCTTGTTATGTACGTTAGGAATGACCTATGGTGACAAAAAAAGGGGTGGGGGGAAGAAAACGTTTAAACGACATAATCATTCCTTTTTTTTCTCTTGACATTCCACAATGGAGAATTTTTTTTCAATCATTACATTTCTGTTTTTTTCTTTTTCTGAGATGGAGATTCGCTCTTGTCACCCAGGCTGGAGTGCAATGGCACAATCTCTGCTCACTGTAACCTCCGCCTCCTGGGTTCAAGCGCTTCTCCAGCCTCAGCCTCCTGAGTAGCTGGGGTAATAGGCGCCTGCCACCACACCCAGCTAATTTTTGTATTTTTAGTAGAGATGGAATTTCACCATGTTGGCCAAGCTGCTCTCAAATACCTGACCTCAGATGATCCGCCCGCCTCAGCCTCCCAAAGTGCTGGGATTACAGGCGTGAGCCACTGAGCCTGGCCTATCATTACATTCCTTAATGTATTTGTTTAAACAGCTAAAATCTTAACTTTGTAACTTCATCTAAAGAGTAAAAGTATGAGAAGTACAATTCAAAGCAAACAATAAAACTTGGAAAGCCTGAGAAGATACATAACTCTAAAATATTATAAAGTTATATATATGCCATCAGGGCATAAAAATGCAGGTTTCTGTACGTAGATCCAGAAGCTGAAGACGAAAAAGACTAAAAACAAGTTCACATACTGACTGTAGTCCAAACATCACATTTTGCAAGATAGAGTTTTAGGGGTGATCTAATTAATTATCCAAGAACATAGGATAACACATCTGTTTGACAGATTTACCTTATTCATCATTGTACCCCCAGTTCAAGCATGTTATCTCCCACACTGTGTGTACTCAATATTCCACTATCACTATTAGCATAAGGAGGAATTAACAAATCTATTCCCACCACTGAATAAGCTTAATGAGAGTAGAACTCAGTGTTATTTTTCACTATTTCTCTGGTGCTCAGAAATGGCCTAATACATAGCTGTACATAATAAATGTTTATAAATGAACGAACCAGTTTAATTTTATAAAAAGAAGCTCCTCAAAGAGCTAGCACAGATAATCTTGGCATAAAATCTGGTGAGAGACATGAAGATTAAAAGAAAAAAATAGACCAAGTATAGTGGCTCATATCTGCAATCCCAGCACTTTGAGAGGCTAAGGCAGGAGGATCGCTGGAGTCCAGGAGTTTGAGACCAGCCTGGACAACAAAGGGAGACTCCATCTCTACAAAAATTTACAAATTAGCTGGGTGTGTTGGCGTGCGCCTGTAATCCCAGATACTTGTGGGGCTGAGGTCGAGGCTACAGTGAGCCACAATTGCACCACTGAACACCAGCCTGGGTGACAGGGCAAGATCCTGATTCAAAAAATACATAAATAAATTAAAAAGAAAAAGACAAAAAAAAACTCCTTGCTCAGGAAATTAAAAGACTGCCTGCCTGGAGATAATTAAAAACAAAACAAAAAGCCCATTTTCCCCTAAATGCAATTTAAGATTAAATTTTCATTTTTAATATAGAATGTAAATAAAGTTTAGAATGAGAAAGTCTCAGAAACGTGTCATTTACGTAAAAAACAACAGTAACGATACACTAACATATATACAGTGCTATGTGAAGAGGCACTGTGCTACTAGTAACCTAATATTTCTATCTCTGTTTAATACATATAACAACCTAAGACAGATTTCAAAGACTGGTGGGGTTTACAGGCATGTGTTCCTTGTCCTGAAGAATCTTAAACAAAACACTTTGCCTCCCTGACAAGTCAGAAACTATCTGCCCACACTACTACTTTCTCCCATAGAAAAACTAGCTGATGCTAAATAGAAGCTTTGGGATGAGACAGAATGTCAGCTGCCACTCACAATGTTTACGCTGCCTTCCCTCCCCTCCCCTCCTCTCTACCTTCCCCTCCCCTCTTCCCTCCCCTCCCCTCCCCTCCCTCCCTCCCTTCCTTCCCTCCCTCTCTCTCTCTTTCTTATCTTTCTTTCTTTCATTGGTTTGTTCATTCGTTGAGACAGAGTCTCACTCTGTCACCCAGGCTGGAGTGCAGTGGCCACTGCAGTGCAGTCTTGGCTCACTGCAACCTGTGTCTCCCAGGTTCAAGCAATTCTTGTGCCTCATTCCCAAGTAGCTGAGGTTACAAGTGTAAACCACCGCACTCAGCTACTTTTTCTATTTTTAATAGAGACAGGGTTTCACCATGTTGGCCAGGCTGGTCTCCAACTCCAGACCTCAAGTGATCCTCTCACCTCAGCCTCCGAAAGTGCTGGGATTACAGGCGTGAGCCACTGCGCCCAGCCCACTGTTTTTCAAATAGCAGAGAAATGTTCTTCTGTACATATATCTTTAGCAAAATTTAGAAGACAAAATGCTCAATGAGACTCCACCTTTCAGGAAAACAGAAGACTGTATTTCTCGTGAAAGTAAAAATATATTTATAGGTGATTAATATGCAAAATGTTCATGTGTCAAAAAAAGTAGGTACCCTTATAGAACAATGGTATTGGTAAGCACAACTGGAATACAGGAAGAAAGAAAGCAACACGTGATGATAAACATAATGAGCTGAAGATATCCAATTTTTTAATATAAAAATATATATATATTAATATAGAATGAAAATAAAGTTTAGAATAAATGAGAAAGTCTCAGAAATGTGTCATTTATGTAAAAAAACAGCAGTAATGATACATTAACATATATACAGTGCTATGTGAAGAGGCACTGTGCTAGTACCTAATATTTCTATCTCTGTTTAATACATATAACAACCTAAGTCAGATTTCAAAGACTGGTGGGGTTTACAGGCATGTGTTCCTTGTCCTGAAGAATCTTAAACAAAACACTTTGCCTCCCTGACAAGTCAGAAACTATCTGACTTGTCATATATATGATATATATATATATATATATATAAAAATATATAGATGATGGAATTTCTGTGAAGTGCAGTTATGTTATTAAGTGGAAAAAATTACCTTACAGAAAAACTTTCTATGGGCCTTACTCTCAAATAAGTATTTGCCAAGTACATCCAAGTAGATACACACATTTTTCCAGAAGGCTGAAAATACACTTGAGAAAGTCAGGGTAAGAAGATTTAAAAGGTGTATTGGTGGCTAGGTGCGGTGGCTCACTTTGGGAGGCCGAGGTGGGCGGATCACGAGGTCAGGAGTTCGAAACCAGCCTGACCAACATGGTGAAACCTCATCTCTACTAAAAATACAAAAATTAGCTGAGCGTGGTGGCATGCACCTGTAATCCCAGCTACTCAGGAGGCTGAGGCAGAAGAATTACTTGAATCCGGGTGGCGGAGGTTGCAGTGAGCTGAGATCACACCACTGCATTCCAGCCTGGGCGAAGAGCGAGACTCTGTCCCAAAACAAACAAACAAACAAAAAACAACAACAAAAAAAACCCAAGAAAGTGTACTGGTGATGCTCCTAAGGCAGCTGATAATGCACACAGATAAAAACAACCGCTCAATTCATAGTGTTGAGGAGAATGTTTATGTGACCAAGGTACTTTTAGACATCACCTTTGATGGGCACAACATTAGAAAATGACTTATTTTGGGGGTTTTAAGGAAAGTTCAAAATTTAATGTAAACTAGATAAAAATGATTAAGCATTGCCTATATTTTCTATTTCTGGATAATCAGTACTACTTGCAATAATAAGTAAACCAAAGACAGCACCATTTTACAAAGACATGAAACTTGATTCTCCTTTCATTTGCCTCACTCAATAAGAATCACTTTGCCCTGTCCAGGTGCAGTGGCTCATGCTTGTAATCCCAACACTTTGGGAGGCCAAGGCAGGAGGATTACTTGAGCCTGGAGTTCAAGACTTGCCTGAGGAATAAGGGGAGACCCTGTCTGCGGGAAAAAAATCAAAAACTAGCTGGGCATGGTGATCCATGCCTGTGGTCCCAGCCACTTGGGAGGCTGAACTGGGAAGATTGCTTGAGCCAAGGAGATCGGGGCTTCAGTGAGTCATGATTGTGCCACTGCACTCAGCCTGGGTGACAGAATAAGACCCTGTCTCCAAAAAAAAAAAAAAAAAAAAAAAAAAAAGAGTCACTTTGCCCTATAAACAAAGTTGAAAATGGAACAAGTCATGGACATGGTAATTAACATCATCAATGGGATATGCTCCCTTGGCTAGAACCACAGATGGTTCAATGCCTGATGAACTGAATGTACAATGTGGCAGTCTATTATACTACATAGGGAATAAGTAACTTGAGCATGGCATGGTGCTGAAGAGATTTTCTTTGTTTGAATAATTGAAAGAAATTGCACTGTTTGTGTCATCCAAACAAAAGTTTCCACCTCAGCTCACTAGCAAAGGTTGGATTGAAAGCTTAGCCTTTTTGGCAGGTCATTCACAGCTGGCCACACAAATGTATAATTTGATTGGCTCATTCTCATTCAAAATTATTGATTTGGAAGTATAATTTGGCAAAGAACAATCTGGCCAATTTTCCTGTTGAACTAGGTTTCCAGAAATAAAAGCCATGGCCTCAACTATATTCTCAATATTGTAAGAATTAAAAACTGAATTCTAAAAATTCTTATTGAATTTCAAATTTTATGAAAACAAGAGAACTTTATTCAGCTCACCTCTCTCAATTAGTCTTGATGATGTAAACATAGTGCTAAGAATGGAAGGCACCATACTGCAAAATGCAGTGACACAGCAGAGGTGCCAATGCAGGCTGCAGCTCACTGTGCATAGGCAGATTACAAGCATGCAAAATATTCCATCAATGCCCCCACCACTGGGATAGCCAAACATATACCCACCCAGTTTGCCATATAAGTATTATTTTCTTTTTGCCTTGACATACAAAAATTGGAATGCACTACAAAACTATATTGGAAAGCAAATAATTTTTTAAAATATGCAGTTAGAAGTGCATATGTAAGCCTGGGGAACAAAGTGAGACCCTATCAAAAAACAAAAAAAAATTCACCAGGTGTAGTGGCATGCACCTGTAATCCCAGCTACTTGGGAGGCTAAGGCAGTAAGATTGCTTGAGCCCAGGAGATAAAGGCTGCAGTGAGCTATGATCATGCCACTGCACTCTAGGCTAAGTGACAGAATGAGACTCTATCCCCAAAAACAAACAAAAAAAGAAGTGTCTATGTTTTGAACAGCTGTCTTCCATTATAAAATGAAGAAAAAGAATATTGAATATTGCTTCCAGTTTTAAGGGTGATGTTTCTGTTGCACATTGTAGTATAAAATCCACATCCTGCCACTGACATTTCATATCAGAGTTCCAATTCCATACCAAAGGAGTAATTAATTACAGAAGAAAAATTGTAGGTCAGGCGCAGTGGCTCACACCTGTAATAACAGCACTTTGGGAGGCCAAGGTGCGCAGATCACTTGAGGTCAGGAGTTTGAGACCAGCCTAGCCAACAAGGTGAAACCTCGTCTCTACTAAAAATACAAAAATTAGTGGAGCATGGTGGCACATGCTTGTAATCCCAGCTACTCGGGAGGCTGAGGCACAGGAATCACTTGAACCTGGGAGGCAGAGATTGCAGTGAGCTGAGATCGTGCCACTGCACTCCAGACTGGGCAACAGAGCAAGACTCCATCTCAAAAAAAGAAGAAAAAGAAAAATTTTATGATTAAATATTGCTGTTTTTACATTTGGAATCTCCAACATTAGAACACACAACAGTACAACATGTCAACACGTTTTTATTTTTACATCCTTTAATAAATATACACAACATGTGATAGTATCTCTACAATGTTTTTACACCTGACCCTCTGTTCAAAGTATTTCATAAACAAAGTAACTGGCTCAGAAAAGTAACCTGCAAGTTAGCAAAGCTGGTAAATAAGGAATCAAGAAATTGAAAACAGGTCTGTTTGATTCCAGAAGCAGTAACTTAAACCAATGCACACTGTAATGACTCCAATTTGACCAGAAGATCAAAACTGGAGGGGAAAAAAGGGAACCTTATGACTAAATTTTTATGAAGCTCATACTTTAAATATAGTTTGGGAACTACAATGAAAATATGTGGAAAATACTTAGAGGCCAAAGCTTGGTCTGCAGGTATACAGAGTGTTGTTAAACTTTTTGAAAATATGAACTAAAACTTACTCGTGGAGTGGATGACAAACTCTGAACAATGAACACCACAGGGTTTCCTGCATTCTTAATGGCCTCAACTGCTTCGCTGTGTGAGGCATTCTGCAAATCTACTCCAGACACCTGAAACACAGAAGCAAGTTATTTCAATTAGAACAGCACTAGATATTGTGGACAGGTTAATTCAAAGTTCATGTGCATTATCTAGTTATAAGAACAACCAGAGTCTAATGAGTAGACGGTCAGAAAAAAATAAGATTGGCCCATAAAAAGCTTGGCAATTTTAGAAGAACATGTTCAAGGAAAGTAACATTTCACCTTCAGAAAAGTAGATAAGAAAAATACATTAATAAAAACATCCCTGGTTAAATATAATTATCCAAAACAGGTAGCTCAGTCAGTAACAGAACCTTAAGATGTCTGTCACCTCTGCCAGGAGCACAGTACATAATTCTGAGTGGGATAAGGGAGGCTGGGAATATCTATGGACTTTTATCATCTCTCCATTAAGCTCAGAGGCATAATATTTTAAGTAAATTGCTTGTTATCACAATTGAGTAGTTGAACATTTCTCAAATTATGTTTAAAAAGAAGTACCAAAAAGCATCCACAAGTTCTTTTACTAAAACTATTTATGTGTTCAATAAATTTGAGTAAGTGTAAACAGTTCCTTATTATAGAAAATTTCAGAGAACATAACTTGCTAACATGCCCATAAATCTCCAAGAGCACACTCTGTATTTCCAAAACATGTTTAACAGAACTAATTTTTCAAACCTATAATGTAACAAAGCCTTGGTAAATGCTGGGATGTTCTGTGGTCTCAACGGATAGTGATAATTTGTGAAGACTGCTTTGCTATTAGAGGACCGAGGAAACAGGAATGTGGGTGGAAAGGGATGTAGGATGTTTTTAAGATAGAAGGAAATATTACAGCAATAATGATACAGTGCAGAGAAAAAAATGGATGATAAAGGAGAGACATGACAACTGTAAGGTCAATATCCTTGGACGGTCAAGAGGAAATGATTCCTACTGCACAAGTTAGAGAGACTGGCTTTGGATAGAAGCACAAATGTAGTTCCTTTGCTGTTACAGAGGCAATTAGAAAAAAGATTTGGTGAGCACTGGAAGCAGGGGAAGTTCCCTTTAACTGCCTCTATTTTCTCAACGAAACCTGAAACTAGGACCTTAAACTGAGAGCAAGACTAAGGAAAGAGGCATAAGGGGTTTGGCACAGTTACCTGTTGTATTACTTTGTTCTCACGCTGCTATAAAGAACTGCCTAAGACTAGGTAATTTATAAAGGAAAGAGGTTTAATTATCTCATGGTTCTGTATGGCTGGGGCGGCCTCAGGAAACTTACAATCATAGGGGAAGGGGAAGCAAACACGTGGCAGGAAGGAGAAGTGCCGAGAAAAGGGGGAAAAGTTCCTTATAAAATCATCAGATCTTGTGAGAACTCACTCACTATCACAAGAACAGCAGAATGGGGCTAACCACCCCCATGATTCAATTACCTCCCACTGGGTCCCTCCCATGACATATGGGGATTTTGGGAACTACAATTAAAGATGAGATTTGGGTAAGGACACAGCCAAATCATATCACTTATAAAAACTGGAGACTGAACCAGCTAGGAGAATAATACAGGACAGCAAGGCAAAACTAAAGAACCGCTTGAGTGGCTGCTCATGAGCTTCTAATGAGACCAGATACCATGGCTGGTTATTTCTCCAGCCATGCTAGAGACCTGGAATAAGCAGAGCTGCACTTAACTAGGGTGTGATTCTCCCAGACAAGTTCAGTGAAAGGAAAGAGGATCAACAGTAGGAAGCACATGCAAGGAAGGGGTTGGAGCCACCAACCACTGAACTTGAGCAGGCTGAGGAGAAAGTGGGCACATGAGAAGCTGAGGACATAGATGTGTGTGCCTGTGGTATAATATGAAATGTTCTTGTTCTTGTCACAGAGTACCCTTGGAATTTCCTGAGTGATAGGAGTGTCTTTTGTTATGCATTAATAGCCCCTTTCACATCTGAGTTTATGCTACTGAGGTGGCTTGGGGTAGATCCCCTGGATAGCCTCGGGATGGGGCCAGTCACCACAAAGACCAAAGGATTAGAGAATCCCTGCATTCCCCCTACAATCTCCAAGAAGTGAGGGTGGGGGCTGGAGATGAAGCTCTGTAAAAACCCTTGAACAACAAGATTTGATGAGCTTCTGGGTTGTTGAACATGTTGACATGCTGGAAGGGTAGCAGGTGGTATACCCAGAGTGTGGATGCTCTGTGCCCTCCTCTGCATACTTTGCCCTATGCATCTCTTCATCTGGCTGTCCATCTATAACCTTTGTATAACTGGTAAATGTGTTTCTCTGAGCTGCCCTAGTAAATTAACAAAATTCAAGGGGAGGGATGTGGGAACCCTGGTTTGTAGCCAGTTGGTCAGAAGTATAGGTGACAACCTACTAAGATTGGCGTCTGACCTGGGGGCAATCTTGTGGGACCAAGCCCTTAACTGTGTGATGTAATGCTAGATCCAAGTACATAGTATTGGAATTCAATTAAATTATAAGACAGTTGGTGTCCGCTGGGGATCTGATACTATCTCCAGATACATAGTATCAGAATTATAAGACATCCAGTCGGTGTCGACTGGAGAACTGCTTAGTGTATGGGGGTAAACCCCCACACATCTGGTCACATCTAGTATTCTGTTTTGAGTGTGAGAGTAAAGGGAAAAGGTTGGTAAGAATATGGAGAAACTTACACATTGCTGGTGTGAATGTAAAACGGTATAGCCAGCCACTCTGGAAAGAGTTTGACAACTCTTTTCAAAACCAAAAGTACAATTACCATAAAACCCAGTAATTGCACCCTTGGGTGTTTATCCTACAGAAATGTAGACTTATTTTCACTCAGGAATTTGTACATAAATATTTAGAGCAGATTTATTTGTAATAGTCAATAATTAAAAACTACCCAAGTGTCTTTCAATGGGTGAATGATTAAACAAATTGGTACATCCATATTATGAAATGCCACTGCTATGGTTGGAATTTATGTGTCCTTCACAATTCATATCTTGAAATCCTAACTTCTAAGGTGAAGGTATTAGGAGGTAGGTAGGGCCTTTACAAAGTGATTAGGTCATGAGGGCTCTGCCCTCAAGAATAGGATTAGTGGCCTTATAAAAGAGACCCAAGATAGCTAGCTCATCCCTTCCACTATGTGAGGACACAGAGAGAAGGCACCATCTCTGACACCCCAGAAAACAGGTCCACACCAGACACTGAAATCTGCCAATGCCTTGATCTTGGAGTTCCCAGCCTTCAGAACTATAATGGAATTTCTATGTTTATGGTATTTTGTTTTGGCAGCCTGAATTTCCAAAGACACCTGACTCAACAAAAAGGAAGAAAGTGGTAGTTTCTTTGTAGATAGAGGGTCTCACTATGTTGCCCAAGCAAGTCTTGAACTCTTGGACTCAATCCATTCCTGCCTCCGCCTCCCAAAGTGCTGGGATTACAGGTGTGAGCCACCTCACCCAGCCATGGGAATGAACTATTAATGTGCACAACAAATTGAATGAACCTCAAGGAGATTATGCTAAGTAAAAAAAGGCAATCTCAAAAAATACATAATGCATAATTGCATTTATAAGACAATTGTGAAATAACATATTTATAGACATCAAGAAACAGAAAACTGGTTGTCAGAAGTTAGGGATGGGAGAGAAAGGGAAGAGGCAACCAAAAGTGAAGAAGGTGCCTGCTTCTCCTTCCACCATGATTATAAGTTTCCTGAAGCCTCCCCAGCAATGTGGAACTGTGAGTCAATTAAACCTCTTTGTTTTATAAATTATACACTCTCAGGTATTTCTTCATAGCAGTTGAGAATGGACTAATACAGAAGGGTAATGCAAGGGAGTTTGGTGGTGATGACACAGCTGAGTTTCTCAATTGTGGTGGTGCATATGCAAGGTTTTACATGTGATAAAACTGTATAGAGCTACAAACACACACACAAATCAATGCATGAATAACTGGTGAAATCTGAATAAACTACGGATTGAGCCAATGTCAATTTCTTGGTGTTGCTATTATAGTATAGTTGTATAAGATATTAAAATTGGAGGTGACCGAGTGAAAGGTACATGGGACTTCCCTGTACACTTCTTTGTAATTTCCTATAAATTTATGATGATTTCAGAATACATTAAGAAAAAATATAATACGAAACATTAAAAAATTAAGTTACAATAGATCAGCAATCAAAGTAAAAAGTGAATTCGTCTCACTTATTTTCTAGATGATTAGATTCAAAAAACAAAATTTAGTTGGATGTTGCTTACAAAAAATACAACTAAAACTAAATGAAAAGAATGGTGGAAAAGAAGGAATGAAAAAAGCAAAGTACTGTCCGGGCGCAATGGCTCATGCCTATAATCCCAGCACTTTGGGAGGCTGAGGTGGGCGGATCACCTGAGGTTAGGAGTTCGAGATCAGCCTGACCAACATGGCAAAACCCTGTCTCCACCAAAAAATTCAAAAATTAGCCGGGCGTGGTGGTGGGTGCCTGTAATCCTAGCTACTTGGGAGGCTGAGGCAGGAGAATTGCTTGAACCTGGGAGGTGGAGGTTGCAGTGAGCTGAGATTGCGCCACTGCACTCCAGCCTGGGTGACAGAGAGAGACTCCATCTCAAAAAAAAAAAAAAAGCAAAGTACCATGTAAATTAATAACTAAAATAAAACAAGGTTACCAATATTAATAAAATAGAATTTAAGGCAAAAAGTAACTAATAGGAATACAGAAGAAAACCACATAATGTCAAAAGCAAATCACCAACAACAAATCCACTAAATATGTACAGCAAAACCAACAGAATTACAAAGAATAGCAAACAAATCCATAATCACAGTGGGGGACAAACTCTAACTGAAACTGAGGAAAAAGACCAAAAAAATTAGTAAGAATATGGGACTCCTTATTTGTTTATCTAACTGACTATTATTATATGGATGTCAAATAGGCATCTTAGCCTAACATGTCTAAAACATGTCTCCCCAAATCTGTTCCTCCCACAGTCTTGCCCATCTCAGCAAACAGAAATTCCATCTTCGATTCCTCAAGCTGAAAAGCTTTTGAATTATCTTTGCCACTTTATTCTTTTGCATCCATTCTGTTAGTAAGTCCTATTATTCACCTGCAAAATATACCACAACCTGACTGCTCTCCTCCTGGTCCAGGCCGCCATTCTTTCTCTCCTAAGTTACTGCAACAGCCTTCTGGCTGAGGCCCCTGCTTCCATCCCTGCCCCTGAAGCCAGAATACTCCTTTGAAACAATACTTACCTGTTCATAATTCTCCAGTGACTCTCCGCTGCGTTCAGAGCAGAAGACCTTCCAGAGCTTTCAGGATCTACGTGATGTGGCTTCCCATCACTCCTCAGCCCTTTTCTCTTACCCCTTCTGGCTTGTTCATGCTATGCTATCATTGCTGGACTCACTGCTGCTCCTTGAACACATCCAGGCAAGCTCCTACCTCGGAGCTTTTGCATGTTTTTCTTCCTCCATATATCTATATGGCTCACTCTCTCATTTCCTATATTTGTCCCAATATCATCTTCCATAACAAAGTTATTAAAATTGCAACTATTGCTTTCACCATCCCCAACCCCAACGCTCCTTATCCTCCTCCCCTGCTTTATTTTGTTCCCTAGCTACTTATTGCAATCTGACATTCTACATATACTTATTTTATTGTCTATTCCCCCATTCCCACTATCATGTAAACACCATAAGGGAAGGGACTGTTGGTCATTTTCTTCATTGCCATAAGTAGTATATTTGAAAATTGTTTTAAATATTGCACAGCACAAATATAACTCAACATTTGTATATACAGACAAGCTTTTATGTAGTTCCTTAATTTAATCCTCACAATAATGCTATCGATTTTGAATTCTCATTTCCATTTTATCTGAAAACGGAAAATAAGTAGGTCTAATGACTTGTCCAAAAACACATAGAAAATAAAAAGGACAGACTCCGACTCCAACCCATGACATCCAGGGCTCTTTGTATTCTATCACAGCTGAAACACCATGATTAACAGTTAGCATCATAAAGAATGAATCAAGAACAAGCAGATTATGGGATTACAGATACCCACCATGGTGTCACCCAATTAACCCAATGCAAAGAAATGTATCACATTCAGACCTCAGGGCATTCTCAGTGGTTTAATATGCCTTTTTTTTTTTTTCCTGCTTTGAGACAAGAGTGTCGTTCTGTCACCCAGGCTGGAGGGAAGTCCGATCTTGGCTCACTGAGACCCCCACCTCCAGGGTTCCAGCGATTCTCCTGTCTCAGCCTCCTGAGTAGCTAGGAATACAGGCACGTGCCACTACGCCCGGCTGATTTTTGCATTTTTAGTAGATGGGGTTTCACCATATTGGCCAAGCTACTCTCAAACTCCTGACCTCAAGTGATCTGCCTGCTTCGGCCTCCCAAAGTGCTGGTATTACAGGCATGAGCCACCGTGCTCGGCCTGATGTGCCTTTAAAACTTAGCGCCCACAGAGCGTATCCGGTGCGAATCATGGATCCTCCCCTCACCCAATAGAGTCTTCAACCTTCCAGGGTCAACTTCTTTCTCTAAACAAGCATAATATCCTCCTGACACATAATTATAAAATTTAGGGCTTCAGGAAAAAAATTTAGAGCTTGTTAAAGAATGTGGGAGAAGCATAATGCCTACCATCTGCCCTGTTCTATATAGAGCCCTTTGTTAGTTAAAGTGTTTTTTTGCAATCAGCTGAAGTTTTTATCATTTTATTTGTTTACCCCTGCCCACACTCACTTGAGAAACTCATAAATTGTGCATACAATGTACAAACTAAGGCATATAAATAGAGCACACCAACTGTACACACACGGTCCCCAACACATAAAGAAAGGTCTTCTAGCTAAATGATTATTTCACTGTCTTACCGTATGTTTCCAATAAAAACAGTACTTTAACATCATTTACCTCAAGTATTTTATCTCCAGTTTTAAGTGCGTTCGTCTTCCCTGCTGGACTGTCTTCTAAAACTTGTTTGATGAATATACCTTTAAGCTCCTCTCCATTCTTTAGACGTTTTATAACAGTTTGTCCACCAACAATACTGATCCCAAGAGACACATTGGGTTCTCTAAAAATCTCAACACTATATAAAGGAAAAAAACAAAACTCACTCATCAACAAGTTTAATCTGTTGGACTGTAAGTATTCCATTTGCATCATATCCTTGTGACTCATATTTTATATAAATTTTTGAAATATATTTTTACAAATGTTATACAAATTATACCTAGTTCCAACATTATGTTATCAATAATTCATAACAAATGAAAGTTTTAGTTCTGAAAAGCATAGATTTCTAGAACAATAAATATAACTCTAAATATTCAGTGAAGATTTAGTTAAGCCCAAATATTCCCATCTCCTATTATAATATATTTTCTGTCATTAGTCCTTTTCATTTGTATCCATAACATTAGCAAAGAATGGACTGAAGAAATAACAAATGGGCAAGACAAAAATCAAGAAAGCCACATATGGCTTGGCGCGGTGGCTCACGCCTGTAATCCCAGCACTTTGGGAGGCCGAGGCGGGCAGATCACGAGGTCAGGAGATCGAGACCATCCTGGCTAACATGGTGAAACCCCGTCTCTACTAAAAATACAAAAAATTAGCCGGGCGTAGTGGCGGGCGCCTGTAGTCCCAGCTACTCCGGAGGCTGAGGCAGGAGAATGGCGTGAACCCGGGAGGCAGAGCTTGCAGTGAGCCGAGATTGCGCCACTGCACTCCAGCCCGGGCGACAGAGCCAGACTCCGTCTCAAAAAAAAAGAAAAGAAAAGAAAAGAAAGCCACATATGTCATTTCGGCAAAAAGTACAGACTTTCAGAACAAAATAAATTAGCCACTGAGTGGCTCGTTGTCCAAGTTGCTTTTCCCAGTCAGCAGGTTTAACTCTGTGGTTCTTTAATCAGAGGGCAGATTTTACCTGCTCCTAAGGCCAGAAGGTTTTGTTTTCTTCCTACCTCCGTGTCATTATTTAAAAGAAAGTATGAACTGAAAACTGCCTCCCTCAAAATATTATAGGTTTTGCACTGCAGCCAATAATTAACTCATTAAAAAAAGTAACTCTGAAAACAACTCTTAAATGTTTTAAGACAAATTCAGATTTCAATTACAAGCAAAGAACCAGTTTGGGTGGAGATATCCATTAATAATGGACACGGAATACAGAGAGCAGCTAAAGGAAGACTTTCATCATCTTAAAGTGCAGCCCTGGTGAGGACTTAAAACTACAGCGACTGGTGAGTACTTAAAACTTCCCCCAGATCCAAGGGAAGATGGGTTTTCAACACATTCTGTTAGCACAAACGTGGACTCTCCACCAGGGGAGGAAGGTAGAGATAAACTGATATATACTAGAAACTTCAACTACTGTTACTGTTGTTTACCAGAAAAGAAAGCTTTACTGCATTCAAGGCAGCTTTACCTGACTTGCTTAATGACATAGTGATAAACTATACTTGTTAGATGGACATCTAAGTTGCTTTCTCTGAAAGAGTATCAAAGATGTTCCTAATATTAGTTACAGTCATTTTGTTCAGCTAAAAATCTCTAGATAAGACAAAATGAAACCAAAACGTAGGCCAGCTTACAGGTGAATTATCGCAATTCTCAATCATTAGAGTAGGACTAAATAATGTTCTGTTAAGTTAAAGAAAAGAGCAACTGGTTGTGCTCCTATTGAGAAAGCCACAATAATGTCATCCACATACATTCTCGGTGGACCCCAGTGGCTAAAATTTGGAGTTTCTTCTCCTTCGCCTTCTTCTCTCTCAGGTAACTCACTACAGAGGGAGAAAGAAAAAAATACACACAATTTTAGGGCATACTCATTATTAAAGGTCCTTGGAAGGTTTTGAAATTGTAAAATCTATAGGTAGTTAAATGATTCTCAATTTTTAAGTTTTTAAAATATTTACATCAATAAATATGCAAAGCAAAAATATATTGCTTTAACATTCAACTCAACAAATCCCCACCCAGCATTAGAAAATCACAGAATTATTATAAACACTTTTATTAGTGATATTCTAGACACTAAAAGTTTGCGTTTGATTTGTGCAATTTCAAATTTGTTTCTGTATCAATATGTAAAATGTTATAAAATGTATTCCTTAAAACTTGGTATTGTTTGACCAGCTAAGACACAGAAATCAACATGTATCATAGATATCAAGTATAAATCAACATGAACAGGTCAATATGATCCCTCTTTCTAGCCCTAAGTATTTCCCCGTCATTTGTATCCCATGAATATTTTGCGTACTTATATGGAACTTTTCAGTTACTTATATTATCTAATATGATCCTCACTGCTTCCCACCTACCACCAACATATTTTCATCCAGCAAGTTAAGTTAGTATAGTACTACTGAACTGAACATGGTGAAACCCTGTCTCTACAAAAAAAAAATCAGCTGTGCATGGTGGCACATGCCTGTAGTCCCAGCTACTTGAGAGGCTGAGGCTGGAAGATTGCTTGATCCTGGAAGGTCAAGAGTGCAATGAGTCATGTTTGTGCCACTGCACTTCATACTAGGTGACAAAGCAAGACCCTGTCTCAGAATAAAAAAAGAACTGCTGAACTGGATAACGTAAAATGCTGAGTTACGGAGTATTTGGTTATCAGATTAATGCAATAGTGAATAGACAGTGCCGTGTATTATCTGGAAGAGAAATCAGGAGTCCTAAGCTCAAGTCTAACTGATACCATGAAATAGGTGTGTGGCTTTGGACCGCTAAATGAAATCAGTCCGATGTTGTAAATTGTATTACTCTATACAAAAATCTAGGCACTACCTCTTCCACTTCATTTTCATAAAAACCCTTGGCCAGGTGTGGTGGCTCATGGCTGTAATCCCAGTGCTTCGGGAGGTCAAGGCAGGAAGATCACTTGAGCCCAAGAGGTCAAGACCAACCTGGACAACATGGTGAGACCCCATCTCTAAAAAAAAAAAAAAATTAGCTGGGCATGGTGGTACACCTGTAATCACAGCTACTGGGGAGGCTGGAGCAGGAGGATCATTTGAGACCAGGAGTTCAAGGCTGTAGTGAGCTATGATCACACCACTATTCTCCAGCCTGGGCAACAGAGCAAGATCCTGTCTCAAAAACAAAAATCCCTCTAACCTATAAAGTAAGCACAGCAGATCATATTATATTTTACACAGGAGGAACTGAAGCTCAGAGAAGGCTTAAGCATACAACCTCACAACCTTTCCTCATGTATCCAAATCTGTTTTAGCCCTAAGTTTCAATACTCCCATTTTTCTCTGAACTTAAGTAAGTCTTATAAAATGCAGCAAAACTCCACCTTCTTGGCCCTCTACAGACTTAGTATCTAGGATAAAACTGTTGTAAGGCCATGTGAAAAGGAGAAGGCTGAAAGGATCTAGACAAGCCAAATATCAGTTAAGAAATTAGGATCATTACATCTCACCCACTACCAGATGTCTTTCTTACCTTAGCTAGTCTAATTTTTATTATTGAAAGTATCACAGCATTAGGGGAAAACAACTTGGCAGACCCTTGCTGGTTACTTTCTAACGTCTTTTTCTCCCCTTCTTCCATAAATACATAACCCCTCTTTTATTCTAGGTGGCACTATGCCCAGCTTTGAAAAAAATACATTTTCTAGACTTTCTTTCAGCTAATGGGAACTGTGTGCCACAGTGCTGATCAGTGATATGGAACCAAAAGTCCCTAGATGAGACTTCCAGGAAAACTCATTAAAAGGAAGGAGAATCAGCTGGCAGGAGCCTTTTGCTCTATGCCCTCCCCTTCTTCTTGCCTAGAATTCACAGGTGAAATTGGTGGCAAAACATTCATCTTCAAATCATACAGAAACAACGAGGAGTAAGGCCATACATTAATGGCAGCAGAGCAGAAAGGACGAAGGTATTTAAGACCCTGATGACAACAGCACCACACCATCCTAAGACCACCTTCTTCAGGACTTTTCACATGAAAAAAACTTGCCTTTATTTGGTTAAGCCACACTAAATGGGGTTTCTGTTTATGAGTATGTAACTGTAATCCCTCAATGATACACCCACAATTCCACCAATTCAAGTAAACTGTTTTCACTTTAACCTATCACTTGCTTGTTCTTTGCAACTATATTAGCATTATATAACTGTAATTATAGCACAAACTGTCCTATTTTGATGGTCCTATGTAATAATAACAAGGACTAAATTAGATATTAACTGAGGCTCAACCAATATTCATTTCCTCTATAATTTTTTTCACTTGAACTTATAACAAAAATCTACCCACATAGTATCATTACCTTCATCGTTTTTTATTTACTAGTACCTTAATAGGCCATCGTATTGATGTAATTTATCTGCTATCTCAATATATTATGCACTTAGATTGTATATTAGTCCATTTTCACACTGTTATAAAGATACTACCTGAGACTGGGTAATTTAAAAAGAAATGAGGTTTAATTGATTAACAGCTTCACATGGCTGGGGAAGCTTCAGGAAACTTACAAACATGGCAGAAGGTAAGGGGAAGGAAGGTGTATGTGGCAGCAGGAGAGAGTGCACAGGGGAAACTGCCACTTTTAAATCATCAGATCTCGTGAGAACTCCCTCACTCTCATGAGAACAACATGTGAAAACTTCCCCCATGATCCAATCACCTCTCATCAGGTCCCTCACCTGACACATGGGAAATACAATTTGAGATGAAATTTGGGTGGGTACATGGAGCCAAACCATATCATTCCACCCTGGCTCCTTCCAACTCTCATGTACTTTTCACATTTTATAAGCAATCATGCCATCCCAACAGTCTCCCAAAGTCTTAACTCATTTTAGCATTAACCCAAAAGTCCAAGTCCAAAGTCTCATCTCAGACAAGGCAAGTCCTTTCCACCTAGAAGCCTGTAAAATCAAAAACAAGTTAGTTATTCCCAAGATACAATGGGGGTACAGGCATTGGGTAAATGTTTTCATTCCTAATGTTCTCCAAATGGGAGAAACTGGCCAAAACAAAGGAGCCACAGGCCCCATGTAAGTCCAAAACCTAGTGGGGTAGTCATTAAATTTTTTTTTTTTTTGAGATGGAGTCTCCCTCTGTCGCCCAGGATGGAGTGCAGTGGTGCAATCTTGGGTCATTGCAACCTCCACCTCCCAGTTCAAGTGATTCTCCTGACTTGGCCTCCCACGTAGCTGGGATTTCAAGTGCACACCACCACACCTGGCTAATTTTTGTATTTTTAGTAGAGACAGGGTTTCACCATGATGGTCAGGCTGGTCTCAAACTTCTGCCCTCAGGTGATTTGCCTGCCTCAGCCTCCCAAAGTGCTGGGATTATAGGCGTCAGCAACCGCCTGGCCATAATCATTAAATCTTAAAGCTCCAAAATGATCTCCCTTGACTCCATGTCTCACATCCAAGAAATGCTGATTCAAGGGGTGGACTCCCAAGGCCTTGGGCAGCTCTGTCCCTGTGGCTCTGCAAGGTACAGCCCCCATGGCTGCTTTCACAAGCTGGAGGTGAGTGCCTACAGCTTTTCCAGCTGCATATGCAAGCTGCCAGTGGAGATACCATTCTGGGGTCTGGAAGATCGTGGCCCTCTTCTCATAGCTCCACAAGGCAGTGCCCCCATGGGGACTCCATTTAGGGGCTTCAATCCTGCATTTTTCCTCTACATTGCCCTGGTAGAGATTCTCCATGAGGGCTCTGCCCGAGTTGACTTCTGCCTGGACATCCAGACATTTTCATACATCCTCTGAAATCTAGGCAGAGGCTCCCAAAGCTCAACTCTTGTCTTCTGTGCACTCTCAGGCCCAACACCACATGGATGCCACCAAGGCTTGGGGCTTGCACCCTCTGAAGCAACAGCCTGAGCTGTACCTTGGCGCCTTTTAGCCACAGCTGGAGCTGGAACACCTGGAATGCAGGGTACAAAGTCCCAAGGCTGCAGAGAGTAGCAGGGCCTTGGGCCTGGCCCACAAAACCATTTTTCACTCCTAGGCCTCTGGGACTGTGATGGGAGGAGCTGCCACAAAGATTTCTGACATGCCCTGGAGATATTTTCCCCGTCTTGGCTATTAACATTCAGTTCCTTGTTACTTATGCAAATTTCTGCAGCCAGATTGAATTCCTCCCCAGAAAATGGGTTTTTCTTTTCTACCACATGGTCAGGCTGCAAATTTTCTACACCTTTATGCTCTGCTTCCCTTTTAAATATAAGTTCCAATTTCAAACCATCTCTTTGTGAACACAAGCCAGGTCACCTCTTCAATGCTTTGCTGCTTAGAAATTTCTTCTGCCAGATACCCTAAATCATCTCTCTCAAGTTCAAAGTTCCACAGATCTCTAAGGCAGGGGCAAAATGCTGCCAGTCTTTTTGCTAAAGCATAGCAAGAGTGACCTTTGCTCCACTTCCCAATAAATTCCTCATCTCCATCTGAGACCAACTCAGCCTGGACTTCATTGTCCATATCACTATCAGCATTTGGTCAAAAGTATTCAACAAGTCTCTAGGAAGTTCCAAACTTTCCCACATCTTCCTGTCAGCTTCTGAGCCCTCCAAATCATTCCAACCTCTGCCTGTTAGCCAGTTCCAAAGTCGCTTCTACATTTTCAGGTTATCTTTATAGCAGTACTCCACTCTGCTGGGACCAATTCTATTAGTCCACTGTCACACTCTATAAAGATACTACCTGAGACTGGGTAATTTATAAAGAAAAGAGGTTTAATTTACTCAAAGTTCCACATGGCTGGGGAGGTCTCAGGAAACTTAAAATCATGGTGGAAGGCAAAGGGGAAGCAAGGCACATCTTACATGTTGGCAGGAAAGAGACAGTGTAGGGGAAACTGCCACTTTTACATCATCAGATCTTGTGAGAACTCCCTCACTATCATGAGAACAGCATGGGGAAACCGCCCCCACGATCCAATCACCTCCCATGAGGTCCCTCTCCTGACACATGGGGATTACAATTTGAGATGAGATTTGGGTAGAGACACAGAGCCAACCCATATCAGATTGTACCTTGTCTTTTATAATATGGACATTACTGCAAGGAATATCTTCATGCTCTGCTGTATTTTAGAATTCTCTGTTTTTTTTTTGTGTTTTTTTTTTTTTATGAGATAGAGTTTCGCTCTTGTTGCCCAGGCTGGAGTGCAATGGCACAATCTTCGCTCACTGCAACCTCCACCTCCCAGGTTCAAGCCATTCTCCTGCCTCAGCCTCCCGAGTAGCTGGGATTACAGGCATGCACCACCAAGCCCGGCTAATTTTGTATTTTTAGTAGAGATGGGGTTTCTCCATGTTGGCCAGGCTGGTCTTGAACTCTTGACCTCAGGTGATCTGCCCGCCTCAGCCTCCCGAAGTGCTAGGATAACAGGCATGAGCCACATGCCCGGCCTTCTGTTAAATATTAATTGAAATAAGATTCAAAACAAAACCTAAAACAATACAAACCTTCCTCCTCTCCATTTTCCACCTTCCTGTACCCCAAATCATATAGGCATTAAGGAAAAAAAAAAAGGCAGGTATTTCACCATGACACCTTTATGCTATCATTATAGGCATTCACTTCTTTTTTTTTTTCTCTTGTTTTGTTGTTTTGCTTTTTGAGCAGAGTTCCACTCTGTTACCCAGGCTGGAGTGCAGTGGCACAATCACAGCTCACTGCAGCCTCACCAGGTAGCTGGGACCACAGGCATGCACTACCATGCCCGGCTAATTTTTTTTACCTTTTGTAGATACGGGGTCTCATTATGTTGCCCAGACTGCTTTCAAACACCTGGACTCAAGCAATCCTCCTGCCTCAGCCTCCCAAAGTGTTGGGATCATGGGCATGAGCCACCACACCTGGCCTAAATTCTTTAATTGGCGAAAAAAAAAAAAAAACACCCTAAAATAGAAGGGAAAGCAACCTTCAACAAATAGTATGGGCTATTTGTTTCTTAATTTTAAAAAGTAAAAACTAAAAATTTCCTAAATTGCCAACTCTCACATACAATTTAGGAGAAGGGGTGGGGGAAACCACTCTATCTAGAATATGAACAATTTTAGATTTCTTTGACAAAGTATGTCACAAAATGATTAGTCTGTTGGAAGAAACTCAGAGCATATTACCTTTCTTCTAGGTTTTAGTATACACACATTTTATTCAGATGAGTTCATACCTAACGAGAGATAAAACTTGTGAAAGCTTATCTAGATAGTGTGAGTAGTTTCAGAAATACAGTCACAGGAGATGAGCAATTAAACAAATTAATGTAGTCACTTTATACTGATGAACATATGTACCTTTTAACCCAAATTTAAATTTAACCGAGAAAGTGAAATATTCTTACTGTACATATTAAGATGTAAATTTGCACAAACATATTTGAAACTTTAACAAGGAATTTCTAACCTCAAATTTTATAATTTGCACTGTCACTAAGTATGATCAATAGCTCAATCAGTTAGAAACTCAAATCTTAAAATAACAGAACTTTCCAAACCTACAGAACATACAACACCAAGAGTGAAACCTAATCTAAACTATGGACTCTGGGTGAAGATGATGTGTCAGTTTATCAATATTATCAATTGTAACAAACGTGCCACCCTGGTGGGCGATATTGACAATAGGGGAGGCTATGCATGTGGGGGTAGGGGGTATCCTCGCTGTACCTTCTTCTCAATTTTGCTGTGAACCAAATACTGCTTTAAAGAAATAAAGTCTTAAAAATGAACTGAACTTTTGCCTCTTAAATTCAACCAGAGATTTATAACCAAATTTTTCCCCAAAGGAATTAACCATCCAATTGAAACAATGTGTTTTATTTCAGGCCTTTATCACAAATGCCTAAAGTTATAATTCTTTACAGATTTGGGGGGGTGGGTGGAGATAGAGTACCCCATGAGCAAACAAGTGGATATTAATGGTAAGACTTCATGATATACAAACTCTTTGCAAATAAAATGTTCATCATACAAAATCTGATGACTCCAGACAGCCAAGGTGACCTTTCCTCTTCAGTAGTACTTAATTTCACATAAAATTTCTACATACTAAGCAGTATGAAGGTCAAGTAAACTCAGCACCCAAAAATGATGGAAGCAGGGAGAGCTCCAATTGTGACTAAGTAATCTCACAATTTTTTTTCCTCCTTAAATACACATTCTATATGGCAATATTCTATGATATACCACAGGGAATGTGAGCAACTGGAACCAAAAAGAATGGGCACTAGTGTCTTCTAAACTAGTAGGGTTATTTGTACAGATGTTCTGCCATGATTTTGAAGTTGCAGAGCAAATTATTACCTGACACCAGTATATAAAGAATTAGGCATTTCCTTGCATTAACATTCAGACATTGTCTTGAGTAAAAGAAGGTAGACATAAAAAAAGTAGCTACTGTATGACTACATGTACATGTGTTCTAAAACAGGAAAAACTAATTTACAGTATTAGAAATAAGATTAGTGGTTGCCTGGTGCAAGACACACAAAGGGGCAGGAGGACTTTCTGGGTGATGGAAATGTTCCTTATCTTCATTGGAGTGTATATTACATGAATGTATACATATCTTAGTAGGCTGTACCTTAAAATGTGTGCATTTTATTAATATGTAAAATGGTGTTTAAGAGCTTCCTTAAGAAACAGAAGTTCAAGCCATACAGGGTAAGTTGCTTCCAGAACATTACGTCTCTTCTGGCCTTCTGTAGAGCCTGAATTAGTAATCAAAGATCTAATTATATTTTCAAAGGCATTAGTGTAGTATTTCTATGTACCTCTTGTCCTAATTGTTCACATTCGCCTTCATCTGCAGTGTGGGCCACCGCTGCAACAGCACTGTAAGAACCTAGAAGTGTCACGTGCTCGAGGCCACAGACTCCCACAAACACCCCCTTTTCTCTCCCAACTCACACTCCAGAGTAGCCCTCTCTCTGAAATGCAAATATTCATTCTCTCCCTTTTCTTCCATCTCCTCCTGATGTTCTGAATTTACATGTAAGTTTTGGCAGTTTAATTCAAATGTAAACCTATTAAATATCCACCATTTATGTAGAAGGCACTAAATGCCAGGCACTGTGTTGGGAGCTTAAAATATCACGTTAACTTAGTTAATCCTTTACCCAACTATGACACCTAGCCTCCTATTTCTCCTCCCACTATTCCTAACAAAGTGTCCAATACCTGAAGCCATCTCTACTCATTTGCATCCTATTACACCTATAATTTTTTTTTCCATTTTAAATATGTCTTTCTTCTAAAGTTCACCATCCTCCCAGACATCAGCCTCTGACACATTGCTTTACTGTGATTTGATCCTATTACATTTTTTTTTTTGTTAATCAACAACCTCCTTGAGTCTTTTAATAAACCCAGCAACAATGAATACTACCCTGGGTATATGTCAGGGCCCATGAGCCTATCATTGTCACTGCCACCAACATCACTGCAAACCTTCTATTAAACGTTTACTATTGGCAAGGCTGTTATATTAAGCCTGTTAAATGCATCCTTTCCCAGCTTTATTGACTTTTAGTTGACAAATAAAATTGTATAAATGTTTTACATGTACTTTAAAAAAAATAATAGGCCAGGTGCTATGGCTCACACTTGTAATCCCAGCACTTTGGGAGGCCAAGGTGGGAGGATTGCTTGAGGCCAGGAGTTTAGACCAGCCTGGGTAACATAGTGAGATCTTATCTCTACAGAAAATAAAAAAATTAGCCAGTCAT
Source organism: Homo sapiens (assembly GCF_000001405.40). NCBI lineage: Eukaryota > Metazoa > Chordata > Mammalia > Primates > Hominidae > Homo > Homo sapiens. The sequence goes on along the minus strand of NC_000001.11, from coordinate 61,890,651 downwards.
GGTGGCAGGTGCCTGTGATCCCAGCTATTTGGGAGGCTGAGGTGGGAGGATTGCTTGAACCTGGGAGGTCAAGGCTGCAGTGAGCTGTGATCACATCACTGCACTCCAGATTGGGTGACAAAGCAAGAACTTGTCTCAAAGAAGAAGAAGGAAAAAAAAACCAATAAAAAATAGTGACCAGGTCTCACTGTGTTTGCCAGGCTGGAGTGCAGTGGTATAATCATAGCTTGCTATAACCTCGAACTGCTGGGCTCAAGAGATCCTCCCTCCTAGGCCCCCAGAATAGTTAGGACTACAGGCATGCACCAACATATCAGGCTTACTTTTTATTTTTTTGTAGCAGCAGGTTTTCACTATGTTGCCCAGGCTCGTCTTGAACTCCTGGCCTCAAGCGATTCTCCCACCTTGGCCACATAAAGTGCTGGGATTACAGGCGTGAGCCACCACGCCTGGCCTGTATGAATTTTTATTCAATCTACAGAACTACCTACTTTACGGGTGACAAAAGATAGATACAAAGGAAACCCTTTCAGGGTCATACAGGTATAAACAGCAGAAGAAAGATATGAACATCACTCATAATACATCCACACCACAGACCTCCTAATGTCTGAGAAATGTCCATGTCCCCCCTAGGGGCACCCATAGGTCTTTAAACAGCCAAAAATAACCGAGATGAGGAAGAAAAAGACTGAAACCAGGCGAGGTCTGAAAACACGATCTCAAGTGACCTTAGGAACAAAGAAGGATACAGTAGTCCCCTCCACTCAGCTAAGGTATTGCTTTCTGCAGTTTTGCTTTCCTTGGTATCAGTTAGCTGTGGTCAACTGCAGTAATGGCAAAAATCTTAAATGGTAAATTTCAGAAATAAACAATTCATAGGTTTTAAATTGCATGCCATTCAGAGTAGCATGAAGAAATATCTTGCTGTCCAGCCTGGGATGTGAATCATCTCTTTGCCCAGCATATCCATACGCTATATATGCTGCCTGCGCAGAAGTCACTCAGTAGCCATCTCAGTTATCAGATCAACTGCTGCAGTACTGATCTATTTGATTACCAGTTATTGTTGTTAATCTCTTACTGTACGTAATTTATAAATTAAACTTCATCATAAGTATGTACGTACAGAAAAGACAGTATATATAGGGCTTGGTACTGTCTGTGGTTTCAGGCACGCAGTGGGGTTCTTGGAACATATCCCTTGAAGATAAGAAGGGACTACTGTGCTCTGAACCAGAACACCTGAATTCCTTCCACAGAATTATACCCTGCCTGCCCACAGTCCCCTTTCTAGAGATCTCTCCTTTCAAGGGGCACCTGACCTCTTAATACCAGTCCTACCTCCTAAGGTAAGGAGAAGTTAGTGCAAAAGTGCACTGTAGATAAAACATCACAATCATTAGATACTTACCCTTGGTGCACTCACACGCACGTAGACACACAACTCTGCTGGGTCGTACACAAAAATTAATGCAAGGAAGAAACTGTAAAATACCATTTAGCACTTCATGACACCCTGATTTTCTGAAAGACTATCATCTAAAATAATCTATGCATTACTCAGGCAGGCTCCTGAGTGGCAATAAATATTCACCTATGAACCTAACTCCATGGGGCATACCCTTAAAGATTAAAAGAAGGAATATGATTTACAAGAACTCTTCTGGAACCTGCTGGGATTTAAATATACCCTAAATCTCCAATAGCAAGCCAAAAAAACAACTTTCAAGTGCAAGGCTAATCTCCTAAGACAAGGTTAGGTTGGAGTCCTTAAATGCCTGTGCCTGCATAAGAAATCAGCTTGTCAAATACTCATTTTGAAAGAAAAAGCAATGGGATAAGAACAAAGTATATCTTCCCTCTCTGAAGCTGGGGTCAAATTGAGTAAGAACAACTGATGCTCCACTTTCTCTTCTGTCCAAGAAAGGAGGGGTGGACTTAGAAGTTTGCTTAGATCTTTTCTGATTCTTCACATTCTACAGTTACAATTCTACAGTTTAGAGAAGCAGTCTCATTTCTGCATTCTTCTGCCAGATTCAACTATTCACACTAAGCAAAAGAGAAATTTAAAAAACAATGGAAAAATAATTTGAACACTTTGGGAGGCTGAGGCAGGCAGATTGCTTAAGCCCAGGAGTTTCAGACCAGCCTGGCCAACATGGCGAGACACCATCTCTACGAAAAGAAAAAAAAAAAGTACAAAAATTAGCCATGCTTGGTGGCACATGCCTGCAGTCCCAGCTACTCAGGAGGCTGAGGTGGGAGGATGGTGTGAACCTGGGAAGCGGAGGTTGCAGTGAGCTGAGATGGTCCCACTGCACTCCAGCCTGGGCAACAGAGTAAGACCCTGTCTCAAAAATAAAAAGAAGAAAAAAATTTTGACTAAATAAAAAGCCATAAAATATGTTTCTAACTTCTCCACTTCCAGGCATCTGTCCTAAGGAAACAAATCCTTTGCTTATTTATCACTGTGCGTTTCCCCAGAGGCTGCACCGGATATCACATTAGGACACCGGGCCTGGCAGCACTCTCCCTCTGCATACCGGCCTGGCTTTTGCAGAGTAGAAAAGCTGTTGGGCCTTTCTGTATCTCTTCCTTCCACTCAGATATGGGCTATGCAGAAGCACAGAGAACTTTTGATGAAGTTTCTATCTAAAACTCTGGGTAAAATTTCAGGTTGCTGAACAGAGAAATGCACATCATCTAAATCTAAGATATCTCCCATGTCAACACAAAAATCACACTTGGATTAAGGTTTTAATAAAAATGTTTAAAGCCAATTAAGCCCACCCTATCTATCATCCCTGTTATGTTTTGCTGAAAGCTCCAACTCCTTTGTGCACTTCTTATCTCCCTACTCATAATGCCACACCTTTCTGGGTTTTCCTTCAAATGTGCTTCCTTTGTCACGCCGCACCCCAAGACCTGCCATGCACATCATCCATCATGCTGCATGGAATCTGCTAGAATTATAAACAAAACTATCCACACCCTGACCTCTTCACTGAATGTTCTCTGAACCTCCTCTTCAACAGCTCTGGTTCTCTGCCAAGTATACCACACTCAAGTGGGTGAAGCTCATTCTCTCACTCCCTGGGGCATTGGAAAAAGAGGGTAAATATTTTTCAAAACTCCCTACCACTAGGTGGTTACTCTCCTACCACTCTTTCAAAAGCTAATCTCTGCTCCAACACCTTTCCTTTTAATGCCTACTTTATTAGCACTTCATCACTCTTAGTAGTAAATAATCTTCTCCCGAAGTGACAGAAACAAACAAACATCATCATTGGACAAGAATCTCTTTGGATTCCTGCTCTCAAGCTATAAAAAGTACCTACATCCAGACCTTCCTTTCCTTCCTGGCACCTATCTTAGTGGAGGAGGTGAGCTTCCTCCTATCAAACTATCCAAGGTGATTCCAAGTGTGCAATGTTCTCTCCTCCCTCCACCATCTCCACAGACTATATTTAATCACCCCCTTTATGGCATCTGCATATTCCACAAGCAAAGAAAATTCTCTTCAGTTTGATATACATATGAATGTAGTAATATATAATATAAATGTTGTATGTCTTATATACATTATATATATACACATATATATATTTTCCCATTGCCTTGATACATTAATACCATCTAGTTATCTAAGTAACATGTATTTTTTTTTTGAGACAGGGTCTCGCTATGTCACCCAGGCTGGAGTGCAGTGGCACAATTATAGCTCATTGCTGCATCAACCTTCCAGCCTTAAACGGTCCTCCCACCTCAGCCTCCCTAGTAGCTGGGACTACGGGTGCATGCTATCACAACAGGCTAATTTTTTTTTTTTGAGATGGGGTCTTGCTCTGTTGCCCAGGCTGGAGTGCAGTGGCACGATCTCGGCTCACTGCAACCTCCACCTCCCAGGTTCAAGTGATTTTCCTGCCTCAGCCACCAGAGTAGCTGGGGTTACAGGTGCACACCACCATGCCTGGCTAATTTTTGTATTTTTAGTAGAGATGAGGTTTCACCATGTTGGCCAGGCTAGTCTCGAACTCCTGACCTCAGGTGATCTACCCACCTCAGCCTCCCAAAGTGCTGGGATTACAGGCATGAGCCACCAGGCCCAGCCCATGACCAGGATTTTCAAAACACTAGTCAGCTCTTTCTGTGTCCAATTTTTAACCTTGTGTTCAATTCTCAATACACAACTCTCTGAAATCTACTCTACTAACAATGTTCAATGCTTACCAAGGGCATCCATGTGGCCAAGCCCCGGGAAAACTTCTTTGTCTTATCTACATTGACCCTATTAGCATGTGAACATAGCCTGTGAGGACACTTTTGTTAAAATGTTCTCTTCCTTTGATTTCTAAGTCAATCTAGTTCACTCATTTTCTCCTACCTTTTGTTCATTCCAGCTCACTCCTTTCTTCCTCTGTTCATGCCTTAAGTATTGCTGTTTTCCAGGACTCCAATCTTTTTTTTTTTAATTATACTTTAAGTTTTAGGGTACATGTGCACAATGTGCAGTTTAGTTACATATGTATACATGTGCCATGCTGGTGTGCTGCACCCATTAACTCGTCATTTAGCATTAGGTATATCTCCTAATGCTATCACTCCCCCATCCCCCCACCCCACAACAGTCCCCAGAGTGTGATGTTCCTCTTCCTGTGTCCATGTGTTCTCATTGTTCAATTCCCATCTATGAGTGAGAACATGCAGTGTTTGGTTTTTTCTCCTTGCGATAGTTTACTGAGAACGATGATTTCCAATTTCATCCATGTCCCTACAAAGGACATGAACTCATCATTTTTTATGGCTGCATAATATTCCATGGTGTATATGTGTCACATTTTCTTAATCCAGTCTATCATTGTTGGACATTTGGGTTGGTTCCAAGTCTTTGCTATTGTGAATAGTGCCACAATAAACATATGTGTGCATGTGTCTTTATAGCAGCATGATTTATAGTCCTTTGGGTATATACCCAGTAATGGGATGGCTGGGTCAAATGGTATTTCTAGTTCTAGATCCCTGAGGAATCGCCACACTGACTTCCACAGTGGTTGAACTAGTTTATAGTCCCACCAACAGTGTAAAAGTGTTCCTATTTCTCCACATCCTCTCCAGCACCTGTTGTTTCCTGACTTTTGAATGATTGCCATTCTAACTGGTGTGAGATGGTATCTCATTGTGGTTTTGATTTGCATTTCTCTGATGGCCAGTGATGATGAGCATTTTTTCGTGTCTTTTGGCTGCATAAATGTCTTCTTTTGAGAAGTGTCTGTTCATATCCTTTGCCCACTTTTTGATGGGGTTGTTTGTGTTTTTCTTGTAAATTTGTTTGAGTTCATTGTAGATTCTGGATATTAGCCCTTTGTCAGATGAGTAGGTTGCGAAAATTTTCTCCCATTCTGTAGGTTGCCTGTTCACTCTGATGGTAGTTTCTTTTGCTGTGCAGAAGCTCTTTAGTTTAATTAGATCCCATTTGTCAATTTTGGCTTTTGTTGCCATTGCTTTTGGTGTTTTAGACATGAAGTCCTTGCCCATGCCTATGCCAGGACTCCAATCTTGACCCTATGCTTGCCTTATTGTTTAAGCTTCGTGTTGATGACCATTCAAATCCAAGAGTTTCACCTACGCTTAATCTTGCTCCCAATTACCCATGTCCAGACAGACCTCAACATTAATTCCCAGACCCACATATCTAATTGATTACATTTAACTTTGTTGTTCTATGGCTACTTTAACCATCAACATGTTCCAAACTGAACTCATCATTTTCCCTTCCAACCTGTTCATGCTCCTATAATATTATATTGAAGCACTAATTTCTCATATCTATCTAGTTTCCTAGTCCAAAAACACAAGTCATCCTCAACTACCCCCTTTTACACTCAACATGTAATGAGTCAAGGGATTCCTGTAGATTTCCTCACTCTTAAATTGGTCTTCTTTTAATTTGTCCTCAAGTGCATCTGCTTGAGTTGTTAAACTCTGAATTAACCTCCCATTCTCTAAGCAGATACTCTAATCCATTTTGTGCACCACTGCAAGATACAAAATTGTACATATGGCAAAATTTTAAGTATATGAAATTCTCATAGTAATTGTCAAATATAGTGGATTTTATTCATAATATTTTTCTGTATTTTCCAAACGTTCTACCAAAATCACGCATTTTTTAAGCAAAAAAAAAAAAAAAAAAAAAACCACTATTTTATAATGTGAAAACAAAGAGAAATGATATCATACCATGTATCAGTGGCATATCTAGAAGACAACATTCCTGTGTATGCTGAGGCCTTGGAAATAACTCGTGTCGCTTGGTGTTGATATAAAGGCAAATCTTCTTGCTCCCTCCTTTGAGCCACAACAGGAAGGTCAATGAGCAAGCTAGGACCTTGGACATCATTCGGGATCATGCCTGAAGAGCAAATCCAGATGACAGTGAACACAAGAGGCACTCATTCTCCTTTAGTCATTCAACAACTAGGTATGGGCACCTACTATGGGAGGGGACTCTTCCAGGTAGGAGACTGAAAATATTAAAGTAAATAAATAAAGGCTTTAATATATCAGATGATGATAGGTACAATGGTGAAAAATAAAGAAGGAAGGAATATAGGAATTGTTCAACAGAAGTCGGTTACAATTTTCAGTGGCCTCACTAAAAAAAAATGGCATTTATGCAATATTAATATTACTAAAAAATCTAATCTTACTACACATTTTCTCTTATCAACTTAAGCTTTCCTAATAAGTACTCTGACATTTCACTGATTTAAAAAAAAAAAAAACCTCCACAGAATAACAAATAAACCATATTAAATCACTTCTATTTTTAAAAGGGTTTTGTTTATAAATTTCAGAATTCTTTTACATTCTTTTTTTTTTTTTTTTTTTAAGAGACGGAGTCTCTCTCTGTTGCCCAGGCTGGAGTGCAGTCGTGTGATCTTGACTCACTGCAACCTCCGCCTCCCGGATTCATACAGTTCTCCCTGCCCCAGCCTCCTGAGTAGCTGGGACTACAGGTGTTGTGTTGCATGCAAAAATACAATAATTTTTGTATTTTTAGTAGAGACAGGGTTTTGTCATGTTGGCCAGGCTGGTCTCGAACTCCTGACCTCAGGTGATCCACCTGCCTCAGCCTTCCAAAGTGCTGAGATTACAGGCGTGAGCTGCCACACCTGGCCTATACTTGTTCATTTAATTCTCACATCAAACTATGAGTTAGAAAGAAAAGACACTATCAACCATATTTTATAGATAGGAAAACTGAGGTTAAGAAATTTTGCCAATTTTTTACCAGCAGGTAAAGGGTACAGATTGCCATAATTTATTTAAATATTTACAACAAACTTCCTAGCAATTAATTTTGATTTCTATTTAGAAAGGTTCACATAATAAGCTTGAGAAGTATGGTGGGGACAACATTTTTGGACTTTACTTCTTATGTTCTTCCTAGTTGTCGGTAGCATATTATACAATTATCATGTTAAGAAATTAAAGGCTAGTATTTTCTCCTTATATTTGCCCAAATAAACTAAAGAAAGCTCCTTTAGTCTCACCACAATAGATCATATGTTGAAACATGTATATATAGTAAGCACAGTATAACTATCATATATAGACATGTGTGTGGGTATGTCCACATATATTGTCTATACACATCCTCACACACACACTATAAAAAGATAATGCATAAGGTATAATATATAGGATTCAACACCATGGTTATCTATGGAGAGGAATTTAAGCTGTGTTATAATGGTTTATTGTTTAAAAGCAGAATATTGGCCAGGCGCAGGTGCTCATGCCTGTAGATCCAGCACTCTGGGAGACTGAGGCAGATGGACTCCTTGAGCCCCAAGAATTCAAGACCAGCTTGGGCAACATGGTGAAACTCCATTAGCCAGGCTTGGTGGAGCACGCCTGTAATCTCAACTACTCGGAAGGCTGAGGCAGGAGGATCACTAGAGTCGGTGAGGATGATCACAGTGAGGAGTGATGTCACCACTGTACTCTAGCCTGGGCAACAGAGTGAGACCTTGTATCAAAAACAAAAACAAAAGGAAAAAGAAACCCAGAAGATTTGGGGTTGAGGGAGAAAGCTGAGATGACCCAGTTATGAGGGTAGACAGGTAGCGTTTCATACAAACTGGAAAAATTTGGAAGACTATAAACCAAATCGCGATTACCTCTGCAGACAATTTCTTATTTCTACTTTTTGTTTATCTGCATTATCTTATTTATCCTCTAGGAACACACTTAATTGTTTTTTGTCACCTAGCAAATAACCTCCTTAAGAACTTTGCATTTCTTATTCTCTCAGCCATATCCCAAATGTTTTCACACAGGGCTGGCTTACTTTACTCACGTGTCAGTCAAATGTTACCCTATGAAAACAGTCAGCCTGACCACTCCATATAAAATAGGCCTCCTCCTCAAACATTCTCTATTTCTTTTTACTGCTTTATTTTCCCTCATGAACCCTATCATATTATACATTAATTTGTTATTGTCTGCCCCCACCAGAATGTGGGCCGACTTTATTTTGTTCACTGCTCCACTCTCATGACCCCCAGAGCAGCACTCTTATACAGAAAGCACTAGCAAATATTTCTGAACAAGTAAATATGGTACTTGCTTAATACACCAACCAACAATGAGTTTTTAAGTTTAAAAAATATGAGTATACTGTTTTCCGAAGTAGAAAAACAAAGAAATCTACAGCTAATGTTATGGTTAGAATGGAAGTCGCATCTATTGTGCATCCCACGGTCCATTCTACGGAACAAGTGTATCTTTGATAATCTCGTAAAGGAGCTTTGAGACTTCTGATTAAACATCTTCAGTGATTTGGGAATGCCATTTATTCAAATTATATAAATGGGAGGCCTAAAATAATTGTGCTTAATCAAACAAGGTAAATGGAGAGCCTAAAGAGCGGGCTGGGTGCGGTAGCTCACACCTGTAATCCCAGCACTTTGGAAGGCCAAGGTGGGTGGATCACCTGAGGTCAGGAGTTCGAGACCAGCCTGGACAACATGGCAAAATCCCGTCTCTACTAAAAATACAAAAATTAGCCAGGCGTGGTGGCACACACCTGTAATCCCAGCTACTCAGGTGGCTGAGGCACGAGAATCTCTTGAACCTGGGAGGCGGAGGTTGCACAGAGCCGACATCATGCCACTGCACTTCCAGCCTGAGTGACAGAGCAAGACTCTGTCTCAAAAAAAAAAAAAAAAAAAAATAACTGTTTTAACTGTGGTTCATGGATCCTGGGAAGCTGCCCCCATAGGCCCCAGGATAAGGCTTCTGAGCATACAGGTCAAATTCAGGGTCCTTCCCAGCACACAAAGTCCCCACAGCTGGGCTCTCCTGAATGTCTCCGCTACCTGCCTTATGTATTCTTCACTCTGCACTGAGCTGTTTTGCTAAACTCTTGCAAACATGATGCTTTTCTCTGTCTGTAATTCTAGAAAATAGAGAACAACAAATAGTGCCTTAGGTTTCCCAATGCATTGCACAGTACCTTGTAGATAGATTTTATTTTATTTTATTTTTGAGACAAGGTCTCGCTTGGTCACCCAGGCTGGAGTGCAGTGGTGCAATCTTGACTCACTGCAACCTCCGCCTCCCAGGTTCAAGCGATTCTCCTGCCTCAGGCACCTGAGTAGCTGAGATTACAGGTGTGTGCCACCATGCCCGGCTAATTTTTGTATTTTTAGTAGAGACAGGGTTTTGTCATGTTGGCCAGGCTGGTCTTGAACTCCTGACCTCAAGTGATCTGCCCGCCTTGGCCTCCCAAAGTGTTGGGATTACAGGCATGAGCCACCGTGCTGGCCAAAACAGTTTTTCCTGCAATGTATTTCTTTGAACACTGTGTTCTTGGAAGAAAAAATATTTAAAATATCACACATTATGTGATTAAAGTATGACTGAAAGCTCAAACACGTGTAAGATGATAAAATACTATTGTACTGGGTTGAGTAATAATAACATAGCTTTTATCCAAATGATAAGAAATCAAGTGTATGCTCTTATCAAGATTGTGGACATCTATTTTTTGGTTTGCATACCTTCTACGGATTTAAAAAATATCTGGTAGAGCTTAACCTAGAAAATGTAACAAAGAAAAAAAGTTCTAATGCACCTTCTATATTTTGTTTTGTTTCCCATCAAATAAATGTGAGAAGACACAAAACCTTAAGTATTTTACTTCTTTGGCTAATGGGGGAAGAAGCTGAAGCTACAAAAATACCTTTAAGTGTATCCAACATTCTGTGGCTGTTCTTCATTCACGCATTCACAAATTCACTTAACAAATGTTTATAGAGCACCCACTACTTGCCAGGAACTATTCTAGGCATTAGAGATAGCTAAGTGTACAAAACTGACAAAGTTCCTATTCTTGGGAGCTAGCATTCTAGTGGAGAGAGATACAGAATGAACACAGCATGATTTCAGGATATGGTAAGGTCTAAGAAGGAAAATAAGGCAACAGGTAGGAACAGAAAGAAACAGGTGAGTAGCTGGTCGGGTGTGGTGGCTCACGCCTGCAATCCCAGCACTTTGGGAGGCTGAGGCGGGTGGATCACTTGAGACCAGCCTGGCCAGCATGATGAAACCCCATCTCTACTAAAAATACAAAATTAGCCAGGTGTGGTGGCGTGTGCCTGTAATCCCAGCTACTCAGGAGGCTGAGGCAGGAGAATAGCTTGAACTCAGGAGGTGGAGGTTGCAGTGTGCCAAGATCACACCACTGCACTCCAGCCTGGGTGACAGAGTGAGACTCTATCTAAAAAGAAAAAGAAAAAAAAAAAATAGATGGAGTAGTCAAAAACCTGGATGGTGATAGGGAATCAGTCCCATAAAAATCTGCAATACCATTCTAGGTAGGAGGAACACCAAAAGGAGGAGGCTTGATGAAAAAGAGGGAATTTTACCAATATTTTGATTTGCCACTACAAAAAGCACTGTTGCTTAGCAATATACCAAGCAAAAGAATGGGACCCAGAAGTAGCTGGGCTCCAGAAAAAAAAAAAAGGAAAAATTCTAAAACCCTAAGTCCTGTGAGCCTTATTTTTTCTTCTCACCATACCGGAGAACTCTGCAATGATAGGAAAACCAAATTACAAACAACATCTCTCCCATCTTAGAAGTGGGCAGTTAGGTTTTGGGTCCAAACAGCACAGCTTCAAACTTTTCTTCTTTTTAAATATTTTATCTTATTTGATGGAGGCCTTCATTCTAGATCGTCAGGGTCACTTTGGATCTTAGTTCTGTCATCCAACATACTGACAATCCTTCCCAATTTCCTGGAATGTGTGAATTCATCCAATATGCCATCTGTGCCATTACCCCATTTCCCGAGAAAAAGAATAACCAAGGCAACTTGTGCATAGAGTCCTATGGCCTATGTTAGAGACCTGTACTTATGCAGGCATAAACCCATTAATCACTCATAGGATATACCCCAGTAATTCATTATAAATTATCAGCCAATTGTTTTTATCATGTTTATAAGAATATGATGAATTGTGCATCAAATGTCTTCCTTAAGTCCATAAATTTGGCCAGGTGCGGTGGCTCACGCCTGTAATCCCAACACTTTGGGAGGCCAAGGTGGGCGGATCATGAGGTCAGGAGTTCAAGACCAGCCTGGCCAACATGGTGAAACCCCATCTCTACTAAAAATACAAAAAAATTAGCCGGGTGTGGTGGCACACGCCTGTAATCCCAGCTACTCAGGAGGCTGAGGCAGGAGAATCACTTGAACCTGGGAGGAGGAAGTTGTAGTGAGCCGAGATTGTGCCACTGCACTCCAGCATGGGTGACACAGTGAGACTCCGTCTCAAAAAAAAAAAAAATCCATAAGTTCATAGTATATTTGGGGTACTTGCCTTAGTAGAAAATCATAAATGACCTCTGACTAAGCAATGTAGATACTCTTTTAAAACTTTTTTTTTTTTTTTAAATAGAGATGGGGTCTCCCTATGTTGCCCAGGCTGGTCTCGAACTCCTGGACTCAAGTGATCCTCCTGCCTTGGCCTCCCAAAGTGCTAGAATTGCAGGTGTGAGCCACCACACCCAGCCTAAAACTTTTCCTATAATCATCACTGAAACTCTTTCCATGCATTCATCTTGAACAAATTTTCTGGTAAACTCACTACCACTTCTGCTTTTTATTTCATCTAGAAACTTTGGAATCAGGGTCCAATCAGTTGGCAATGTTGCAGATATGGGGTGAAAATACTGTCATGCTCAGGTGGGATTAACGGAAGTCTCAGTTACCTTTCCCCCATCCCCATACTCCCCTTTGCTCCCATCCTTGAGGGCCTCCATTCCCATATGACAATCAAAGCACTGCCCCACTGTTCCAGCTTTGCTGATGTCTGCCTCCCCCTCACTGAGGACACTGAGGAGGAAGGACCAGGGCAGGACTGGTGCTCAGGCAGGAATGGCTTAAAACCAGAGTTTTCAGAACAGGAAACTGGTTCTCTATGTCCCATCCAGCTACACTGGAAAAAGCAGTCTGTTAAACTACACCACTAAGTTGCATAGGTTGGTGCAGTTTAAAACTTCATGAATTGCTCCACACAAAGGCTACCTGTGCCCTCTGCCCCACTGCCTCCTCCATGGACCCTGTCAGTGCACAGGCACACATTTCTAACCTGTCACAGCGCTTCACGCAGTTACACTTTACAGAGCTGTCCACCAAGTGCACAGAGAAACCCAGGAGCCCATGAAAAAGATTGAGTCCTGTAGGGCCTCTGTAATCAGGTAATGGTCATAACAGGGGTACAGAGGTTAGAAAAACAGGGAGATTTTTAAAAAATAAATGCTCTAGGATTTAAGTTGTATTAATCCACTCTCACACTGCCATAAAGAACTACCGGAGACTGGGTAATTTATAAAGAAAACATGTTTAATTGACTCACAGTTCCACAGGCTGTACGAGAGGCATGGCTAGGAAGGCCTCAGGAAACTTACAATCATGGCAGAAGAGTGAAGGGGAAGCACGCATGTCTTCATATGGCAGTAGGAGAGAAAGCATGCGCAAAGGGGGAAGTGCCACACACTTTTAAACCATCAGATCTCTTGAAAATTCACTCACTATCATGAGAACAGATGGAGGAAATCTGCTCTCATGATAAAATCACCTCCTACCAAGTCCCTTCCCCAATACTAGGAATTATGATTCAACATGAGATTTGAGTGGGGACACAGAGCCAAACCATATCAGAAGTTAATGCTTATAGGAGAGGAATGGAGGAAATTTTCTAAAGGTCTACATTTGATGAGATGCAAGAATGGAATAACAAAATAAAGGCAAGCAGAATCCAAAGTAGAGAAGAGATCGGGTTACTATACAACTTAGCAACTGAAAAAAAAAAAAGTAATGAACTGATATGCTGTTGAATAACCACGTGAGCAGTACATCATTTCCTCATTCAGTAAATATTTCTTGAGCACCTACTATGTGAATATAATCAGATACAGTCCTCACCCTCCTGAAGCTTAGTGTGTAGTTAAGAGACAGGCCTGCAAGTAAGCATGTGCACTGAGTCTTGACAATAACACAAAATCAATTTGGATTTGCAAATGGCACAACCCAGTCTTCGAGCAAAGCCTGGGAAACAGAACTGCCTTCTGTCTGAAATCTTCCAAAATCTTGTAACACTAAGTGTATTACTCAATGCAATAATGTCAATAATTACATTATTAATTATGCAAATTTAAATGCTTAGTTTTATAACCCATGAAGAGTATATGCTTTTCAAAGATACACAATTTTGGATTAACCAAAAGGTCAAGAATATCTCTTTACACAGGGGTTCTCAACAATGATTTCTAAATTCATTGTTCTGCAGATAAATCTAAGATTGCCTCTTATTCCACTGCTCCTCCACCCAAACACCAGCCCATATAGCTAGTCTATTTCTTTTGATCTTGACAGTATAAACCAGTGGTTTATACAGTATACATGTGGCCACATCTGGAGACATTTTGATTTTCATCATTACTGGGAGAGGGTGTGCCACTGGCATCTAGGGTTAGAAGACAGGGACGCTGCTAAGCATCCTACAATGCACAGGATACCCCACCCCCACCAAAAGACTCATCTGGTCCAAAATCGTGCTAAGTTTGCTACAGTATTAATAGTAATGAAACAGATATGGTCTATTTATTCATTTACTCAAACATTTGTGCTATAAATCTTCTCCAACTATTTAATAGAGAACTATAAGAAATGTGGTGAATTTTAGAAAGCAATATACCTGGAGAGTTTTATTTTGGGAAGTCCCATTTTTCTTCTAGTCATGATCTTGAAAACTTGGGTAGATTCATCTAATCTTAGATATTTAAAATTAAGTATTCATACTCTGTCTTTTTTTTTCCATGCTCTGTTTTGACCCACAGGAAACTGTATGTTATCATCTCAGAGACGCCTTCAATTTTTACCCTTAAGTATTCCATTTTTTAGAATTTACTTAATAGAATCCTAATCTCATATAAAACTGTTACATCACTTTCTACAGCCCTCTCTCCCCTTACAACATATTACTATACAACACAGAGAAAGACTTTTAAGTAGTCATAACAAGTGAAGGACAGCATAAATCCTCAACAATGGCTCTATAAATCCCAGTGCTATGAAAGCATTTAACAATCTCCCTAGGGATGTCAATTTTATAATGACATTCAATATTTTAGTGTTAGATGAAGAAAAATTCTTTTTTAAAGTCAACTTTTCAAACATATATAAGAATCGATATTGAGGGGCAGCAGGGAGAGGCACTATACTTTTAGAATTCTTTAATGGAAACTAAGTTATTAATGTACTAAAATTGACTGTAATATATGGCTATAAAAATGTTTCATAAATGTTTAAAATATGCCTCTCTTTATTAATATTTAACAGTCCCATTAAATGAGCTAGCAATATTACTTAAGAGCATCAGAGATTTTAATATATATTAGTAGAGACTTATTTCAGATTTGGTGTAAGGTTCTAGTCTGAGTTTCAATCCATACTGCTAATAAAATGCAACATGAGGCAGAGAAAATGTAGCCTTCTCAAAAAACAGAATCTGAAAACTCTAAGTTGAAATCTGAGGCATGTTTATTCTTTCAGGTAATTCTGAAGCAGATTAATTATTAAGCAGACATAAATTCAAAGCATCATAATGAATAAAAATATGACGGTGAAATTCATGTATACAAACATAAAACTGAAAGCTTGCAAAATAATGTAATTTGTGTTTATGAGAAACAAAAGTCACAAACCTAAATCCAGACTAGTTTTTGCTAATGAATTAAGATTTTCCAGGTCGTCAAATCTGCCTTGTTGACTGTTTCCTTCAGTTGATGGTACAGATGGTAGGGACTCCATGACAAAATTTTCTTTCATCTTGAGAGGAAGAAAAATAGAAATGCATTAGTACTTTATGAAAAAAATGTATTACTGTACAGTTGATCAAGCCAAGTAATAATGATAGTGGAAAACTGGCCTTGCAAACAGGCATTCTCAAGTAATGGTTTATACTGTGGTAAGCAGTAACAAATGCTGGTAACAATATCTGCAAGAGTATAGGCTAACAAAATCTGTTTATTCTAAAACTTGGATTTTTAACCAAAAAAACTGTTTTATAAGCATTAATAAGTGGATTTAAATAAACATTTACCAAGGTAGAGGAATAAAAGATCTATCAAGTCAAGCAAGGTCAACTGCTGATACACACAGCCTCCTGGATTGTGTTGCTCTGATATCTACAAATAAATAGCTTCCTTGCTGACTCCAAAATATGTGATAAATTTTCATATCTATAAGCGTTTGTTAGCACTCTTATCTGCCTGGTGAATACCTAAGTTATCAAACCTAAAACCTAAAACCTACAGATAAGTGCTGTTGATAACTTAACTGCATTTTCCTCCCATCTTGCTTTTATATACATGTTTTTTATGGTTTTCCAAAGTCACAATCTTCCAGAATGCTAAAATATTTATGTTTCCCCTGACCCTGCAAATTCATATGTTAAAATCCTAACCCCCAAGGTGAAGATATTTAGAAGTGGGGACTTTTGTGGGGTGATAGAGTTATGAGGGCAGAGCCCTGGTGAATGGGATTAGTAGTGCCTTTATAAAATAGGCCCAAGGGGCTGGGTGTGGTGGCTCACACCTGTAATCCCAACACTTTGGGAGGCCAAGGCAGGTGGATCACTTGAACCAGGCATTTGAGACCAGCCCAGCCAACATGGGGAAACCCTGTCTCTACTAAAAATACAAAAATTAGCCAGGCATGGTGGTGCATGGCTGTAATCCCAGCTACTTGGGAGGCTGAGGAGAACCACTTGAATCTGGGAGGCAGAAGTTGCAGTGAGCTGAGAACAGGCCATTGCACTCTAGCCTGAGTGACAGAGAGACACTGTCTCAAAAATAAATAAATAAATAAATAAATAAATAAATAAATAAATAAATAAAATAGGCCCAAGGGAGCTCATTCCACTCTTCCACCCTGTGAGGACACAGCTAAAGGATGACATTTATGAACCAGAAAGGGGGCCCTCACTGATGCAGAATTTTTGCTCCTTAACTCAGCTAATCTGGGTTCTTGTCTCATGATCAGGAAGAATTAGGCACACGGACACACTGAAGAGTGAGGAGGGTGGAATTTTTAAGCAAAAAGAAAGCTCTCAGCAAAGAGAGGGGGTCCCGCAAGCAGATTTTCACATCCCAAATTGAATACCTGGGCCACCCCACAGCAGCTGAAGAGGCCAGGCTCCTCCCCTGCATAAGACACAAATTCCTGGTGGCTCCACCCCATTCCCCCCAGTGCATGGGTCTCCAGCCTGCTGTGGGCATGCCTAGGCAAACTCCCTGTGCAGGTTCCCTTATCTGTACAAAACATGTGGTGTAAACACTTGTAGGGGAGGTCAGAGATTCTCCAGGGACCCTTCCTAATCTGCCTAAGCCTTTGTCCGCCTCCTGCCTCTAACATCACCAGACACCAAATGTGTGGACACCTTCATCTTGGACTTCCCAGCCTTCATAACTGTGAGAAATAAATTTGTTTTGTTTATAAGCTACCCAGTTAATGGTATCTTGTTATAGCAGGCCAAACAGACTAAGATAGAAAACATCATATTTTCACTTTAAGTATCTTTTTATATTTTAAAAAATTTTATTGCCGGGTGCAGTGGCTCATGCCTATAATCCCAGCACTTTGGGAGGCCAAAATGTGTAGATCACTTAAGGCCAGGAGTTTGAGACAAGCTGGTCAATATGGCGAAACCCCATCTCTACAAAAAAATTATAAAAACTAGCCAGGCATAGCGGTGTGTGCCTGCAGTCCCAGCTACTCAGGAGGCTGAGGTGGGAGGATAGCCTGAGCCTGGGAGGGTGAGGCTGCAGTGAGCTGTGATCATGACACTCCAGCCTGGGCAAAAGAGTGAGACCCTGTCTTTATAAATAAATAAATAATAAAAATAAGAAATTTTATCAGTACAAATTTAAATGACTATTTTATAGCCACCTTAGGGATGTACCATAATTTATTTAAGGTAACACTATGTTATTCTTTATTGCTGGAATTTTGGTTGTTCAAAACAAAATGTGAATTTTGTTTTGAAAATGGTCTACTTTTTCTGTAAAGTGGTCAGACTTCAATGATAAGAGAAGGATCATTCATAAGCCGATATACAAAATACTTCCAGCTTTGCAAAGTAGATTATGAATTTGGTAATGCTGGGCAAGGTAGCAGAGCCCCAGCAACAGAAAGTGATTGGCACGCAGGTAGTAAAGAGAATTTACTGACAACAGCACAGGCTTGAAAAGTCAAGTTTTATTAGACAGAAAGAACACTGTAGTGGGGCGCTTCAGCAAGAGAGGACTGAGTGGGCCTCCGAGGATTTTCCTTAGGGGTATTTATAGACCTTAAAGCAGGAGCGTAAGGGTAATTTGGACCCTATTAGTTTTGCAGGTCATGATAGATTGATTACATTTGTAGACATGTTGGTGCCTTGATGTCAGCAAAGGCTGCACAATGAGTTTCGATATGCATGCATTCAGGAGACATATAGAAATTCTAGCTACTTATAAATTTTTGGGAAAGCAGCCTGGTAACCAGATGCTGGCTTTAGATAACAGGGAAGTCTAATTGCTTCTAAATTCCTCAGATAAGGAGTTTTGCCTCTGGATGGCATAGTTGATGACCACCAGGTAATCTTTGCTCTCTTCATTATACATCTAAATTCCTCAGATAAGGAGTTTTGCCTCCAGATGGTCTGCTTCATGGTCACCAGGTGATTTTTGCTCGCCTCGGGTAAGTATGTAACTATATCAGATAACTAATGGAGCCTAAGGAACATAGAATTCAACTCAAATATTAAATAGGGGTAAGAAAGGGGATCTGACTACATAGTTGCCTAGAATAAAATAAGCAAGAACTTCTTACAGAAAACAGTGAGGATTTGGAAGGAACTGAGCAGTTAAAAAGAAGAAGGTTGTAATTTGGGGCCATTTGGACTTCTTAAACAAAGTTAATGGTAATTCTGTTAATAGTAAATGAAGAAGAAGAAAATTGATATCCAAATCTGGGATTTCAATACATTGGGTATGATAGGTGAGATATTTATAAACAGGAATTTCTGGCTGGGAGCAGTGGCTCAAGCCTGTAATCCCAGCACTTTGGGAGGCCGAGGTGGGTGGACCACTTGAGGTCAGGAGTTCAAGACCAGCCTGACCAACATGGAGAAACCCCGTCTCTACTAAAAATACAAAAAAAAAAAAAAAGCCAGACGTGGTGGCTCACGCCTGTAATCCCAGCACTTTGGGAGGCCAGGGTGGGCAGATAGCCTGAGGTCAGGAGTTTGAGACCAGCCTGGCCAATGTGGTGAAACCCCATCTCTACTAAAAAATGCAAAAATTAGCTGGGCGTGGTGGTGGGTGCCTGTAATACCAGCTACTCAGAAGGCTGAGGTAGGAGAATTGCTTGAACCCAGGATACAGAGGCTGCAGTGAGCCGAGATCACACCACTGCACTCCAGCTTGGGTGACAGAGTGAGATTCCATCTCAAAAAAAAAAAAAAAAAAAAAAATATATATATATATATATACACACACACACACATATTTATATATATGCGTATATATGTATATATACATATATACACATATATATGTATATACATATATATACGCATATATATGTGTATATACACATATATATGTACATATATATGTATATATATACACATATATATATATACACAAAAAATTATCCAGGCATGGTGGCGCATGCCTGTAATCCCACCTACTTGGGAGGCTGAGGCAGGAGAATCGCTTGAACCTGGGTGGCAGAGGTTGCGGTGAGCCAAGATTGCACCATTGCACTTCAGCCTGAGCAACAAGAGTGAAACTCCATCTCAAAAAAAATAAAAAATAAATTAAATAAACAAGAATTTCTTTTTTCTGGTTTTTTTTTTCAAATAGAGAAGTTTTTTTTTCTAAAAAGAGAAGAAAATAAGAACATAGAATTATTCTTAGGTAAATAACCCTCAGGCAAAAAAAAAAAAACAAAAAAAACAAAAACCAAATCTTTAAAAAATGGACAAAGGACTTGAACAGACATTTCTCCAAAGAATACATAAAGATGGCCAAATAAGCACATGAAAGGATGCTCAATATCACTAATTGTTAGGATAATGCAAAACAAAACATAAGATAGCACTTTATACTCCTAAGAAGCAAACAAAAAGCCAACAAACAAGTGTTGGAGAGACTGTGGAGAAATTTGAAACCTTGTGCTTTGCTAATGGAAATATAAACTGGTGCAGCTGCTTGCTGTAGAGAACAGTATAGCTCCCCAAAAATTAAATATAGAATTAGCATATGATCCAGCAATTCCACTGCTGAGTATATACTAAAAAGAACTGAAAGCAGGGATTTCAACAGATATTTATATACCAATGTTCATAACACCATTATTCGCAATGGCCAAAGGTAGAAACAACCTAAATATCCATCAACAGATGAATGGAAAAACAAAATGTGGTATATATGGTGGGGACCTATAGGAACCTCAGAGTTGGTATTGGTAGTGACAGGAGGCAGAGAAATTTAAGGGCAGGTCCCTGACAAAACCCCACCCTCAAGCCTAAAACCATGGCCCAAACTGTTTTCCTGCTCAAATGTTACCTTTTCCTAAACCACCCATGCCCTCGCCCTGCTCTATCCTGTGCCTATAAAGACCCTAGACTCAGCTGGCAGAGAGAAGAAGCAGCTGGATGTCAGGGACTACAGCTGGACATCAGAGAAAAGCAGCTTGACTTTAGAGGGACAGCTTGATGGTGAAACTCTGGAGAATAATCCAGCCAGAGATGGCTGGACTTCTGGGGAAGATTACCTACCCACCTCCCCATCTCCTTTGCAGCTCCCCTTCCCACTGAGAGCCACTTTATTGGCAATAAAATCCCCGCATTTGCCATCCTTCAATTCATTCATGCAGCCTCATTTTTCCTGGATACCAGAAAGCGCTCAGGAGCCACAAGTGTGGATACAAAAGGCTGTCACACTGGCCCTTTGCCCTCGCTGGCAGAGGGCAGCGGCCTCACGTGAAAAGGCAGAGGGCTCACTGAACTGTTAACACTTAAGCCGTCCGCAGATGGCAGAGCTAAAAGATCACCGTAACACGCCCACTGGGGCTTCGGGGATTGCACGCACCTCCCCTAGATGCTGCCGCTGGGCCTGCACAGAATTTGCTCCTGCCAGTACCCAAAAGCGCTTGCCCAGGCTCCTGCACCCGCTCACCTGAGTGCTCCCCTCCCATGAGGGGTGAACGCTGCAGGTCTGAGTGAGTGGAGTTTACTCTTGCCAGTGCCAAAGCAGTCAGATGGTTCCAGCAGGCATGTACTCCAGTTCCCACCTTGTTCACTCACACACTCCCTCCCTCGAGGAGAGCAGTGGGCTGAGTAAACAGGGCACCTCTGTCACAAGTCCCACAAAGGGGTCAGGGGACTATCTGGCTTCAGTATGAAGATTATTATAAACTAAAGATACTTTAGATTTAACAGATGCAGAAAAAAGCCTTCTCAGAGCTTCCCTTATGTGACTAAGCAGCAAGTTCTAGGAAATGAGGCTATCAAACATTCCCTCTTGAGGTGGGTCGACCCCCAGGAAGATTGAGAGTAAGCTACTATAAATGCCCTCTTGAGGAATGGCAATAAGCAAACAGAAGGATCAGTGGCCCTGCATTTAAAAAATTATCAACATAATCAAAAATGTTAACTTTGGGAGGCCGAGGCGGGCGGATCACGAGGTCAGGAGATCGAGACCATCCCGGCTAAAACGGTGAAACCCCGTCTCTACTAAAAATACAAAAAATTAGCCGGGCGTAGTGGCGGGCGCCTGTAGTCCCAGCTACTTGGGAGGCTGAGGCAGGAGAATGGCGTGAACCCGGGAGGCGGAGCTTGCAGTGAGCCGAGATGGCGCCACTGCACTCCAGCCTGGGCGACAGAGCGAGACTCCGTCTCAAAAAAGAAAAAAAAAAAAAAAAAAAATGTTATTTCCATTTGTTCTCCTAAAAACCCGTTTGTCTTTCCTAAACAAACCTAGTTGTTCTTCTCATAGAAGCTTTTTCTGCCCTCCCTTTCCCCATGTTACGTATGTAAGCTCTAACTTTAATCACTTAGTGAGCTTGCTGCTTCTTTTGTTGCGTTCATGTGTGTATAAATAAAACTTTATTCTCCTGTTAATGCCTTATGTCAGTTTAATTTGCACTCTCCCAGGCACAAAATAGAGGGTAGAGGAGAAGTTTTTTCTCCGAGACATATATCTATAAGGAAATATTTTATTCAACTTTTTTTTTTGAGACGGAGTCTCTCTCTGTTGCCCAGGCTGGAGTGCAGTGGCGCAATCTCAGTTCACTGCAACCTCTGCCTCCCAGTTTGAAGCGATTCTCCTGGCTCAGCCTCCCGAGTAGCTGGAACCACAGGCATGCACCACCATGCCTGGCTAATTTTTCTATTTTTAGTAGAGATGGGGTTTCACCATGTTGGCCAGGCTGGTCTCGAATTCCTGACCTGAAGTGATCCACCCACCTTGGCCTCCCAAAGTGCTAGGATTACAGGCATGAGCCACCATGCCCGGCCTATTCAACTTTAAAAAGGGAGGAAATTCTGACATATTCTACAACATGGATGAATCTTAAAGACATTACACTAAGTGAAAGAGCCAGACACAAAAGAAAAATATTGTACCATTCCACTTTTTTCAGTTGCTTTAGTATAGTCAAATTCTTAGAGATAGAAAATAAAATAGTGTTTGGTTGGCAGGGGATAGAGAGAGAGGAGAAAGATCAGATTATTGTTTAATGAGTAGAGTTTCAGTGTGGGATGATAAGATCTGTAGCAACATGGTGGCCATGTTTACACAAAAATGTACATGTACTTAATGCCACTGAACTATATACCTAAAAATGATTAAAATGGTAAATTGTGTGTTGTGTGTCTTTTACTATAACTAAAAAATACCCAGATCTATAGACCTTTAGTGTTTTTACTCTTCAGCTAAAGTGAAGTATGAGGGTGGAAGAGAAAGATAAAGTTTGAAGTAGTTAGGTACCATTTGCCCTCCACAAATATAGCTGACATCTATAGCCCCAAATGGATATTACAACCAAGACAGAAATAATAATGTTCCTTCACCATTTGGGAGGGCACCCTCTAGAATAGTATTGGGAATTACATATTTGTAAGGGATTTGAATGTGTTTTTAAAATCTTCTCAGAGCTTATAATATTAGATAATATTATTAGATAAATTATCACAAGGGTCCATCAGCAATACAATGGGGGCAAATATTCAAGCCCATCCTGATCAACGGGTGTAAGTGTTCCTCACTGTGGAAGGGAGGAAAAGAGCCAATACCTTAAGAAAGCACATATAATTACTTAAAGAAAATAAAATACTGTTTAGGCAAGAAACATTCGGGCTGAAATAGTCTTACTCAATGCTGGTTTGGGGAGCCTATAGAGGTTACCTTTACAGCCTACGTGAGAATTGGCAAAAAAAAAAAAAAAAAAATTTTACAGATTTTAAAATATGAATAAGTAAACTTCCAGAGTAAATATTATAAATATACATTTGACTGTTTCATCTACAGCCTTAAAAGTGTATACATTAAAATAAACTGATATTTCAGGTTGCCTTTTGTTTCGGTAAACAGAAAATTTTCTTTTTATGGAAGAAAATGGCAATAACAAGCAAGTATGGCTGAATCAGTAATGAGAAATAAAAAGAGGGAAGCTAGGAAATTTAACATAGATTTAGTAATCAGAATATGCATTCTTCAAATTGTAAGCACTGACTATTGTTTTAAACAAGCCTCTTGAAGAACACTTTAACAAACAATAGAGTAAGTGGTTATGTCAGAGGTGCTGGAACCAGAGCAACTCCATCTTGAATAGCGCTGGGTAAAATGAGGCTGAGACCTACTGGGCTGCATTTCCAGATGGTTAAGGCATTCTAAGTCACAGGATGAGACACGATGTTGGCACAAGATACAGGTCATAAAGACCTTGCTGATAAAATGGTTGCAGTAAAGAAGCCAGCCAAAACCCACCAAAACCAAGATGGCAACGAGAGTGACCTCTGGTCGTCCTCACTGCTACACTCCCACCAGCGCCATGACAGTTTACAAATGCCACAGTAACATCAGGAAGTTACCCTATATGGTCTAAAAAGGGGAGGCATGAATAATCCACCCCTTATTTAGCATATAATCAAAAAATAACTATAAAAATGGGCAACCAGTAGCCCTCAGGACTGCTCTATCTATGGAGTAGCCATTCTTTTATTCTTTTACTTTCCTAATAAACTTGCTTTCATTTTACTCTATGGATTCGCTCAAATTTTTCTTGTGCGAGGTCCAAGAACCCTCTCTTGGCATCTGGATCAGGACCTCTTTCCGGTAACAGTTATATTGTGAAGAGCATCAATACAAACTTATAAGAGGGATTTTTTTTTTTAACTTAACGTTACACAAATGACACTTGAGATAAGAATAAAATTTTGAGTGACAGTACAGATTCAAAAATTGCTGTATCTCAAACAACCTAGTTAGAAATGAAGATATATTTGGAAAGCTGTGTTAAACGATCAAAAAGTGATTCTAGTGATAATGTAGATACTGACATTAAATATGCACTGAAGAATTCAAATAAAATTATATAATTAAATATGAGAATAGGCAAAAAAAATTTAACATCTCACAGGTTTTCAAATTGAATGTTTAACTAAACTTACAAAGTAAATATCGTAAGTATACATTTGACCATTTCATCTATAGCCTTCAAAGTTTATATATGAACTGGTATTTCAGGTTGCCTTTTATTTGGGTACATAGAAAATTATCTTTTAATAGAAGAAAACAGAACAAGGGAATTTTTATGAATATTCAGTAATCTTTCCAATTTGATTCATATAACTGAATATGTATGCTGTTTGGCGTTAAGCACTGACAGATATGAGAGGGACTGGCAAATATAGAAAGTACCAACGTCAACGGAGCACACCAGATTCCATGTGACCTCTTTCCAGAGGCAACCAGGCATCATTCACATATTCCAAAAACATCTGTTCTCTGGTACACTGCCCAGGGCCCTCTATCATGGTGAATCCTCCAGGGTCACATAAATAAAACCAGCACAGCACCTTGCCCAACAGAGGAAGCCACCAGCATTTGCATGAGGGACAAAGTGAGGAAATGTCTAAGGGAGGCAAGGGCAGAAACACCCTCTATCTGCCCACTGAGAGAACACCTGAAGCCACACTTTGCACATCACAACAGGAAAGGTGCCAACCTCAGAGAGGGAAGCAACACGCTGCATATGAACATATTACTAAGCTGTCTTTTTAAAAATGTCCCCATACAGTAAGTCTGTTTCCATTTGCCTAAAAGTTAATTTGGGGCAGGAAATAAAAAAAACAAAAATATTTTTTAAAGTCCTTAATTAAGGATTCCAATTAGTGACTGCTTGACTATAATTTTATGAAAAATAAAGTTTATTGGTGATATAATAGTAAAGGCAAATCTATTAAAATATAATGCTCTTCGCTGGGCACAGTGGCTCCTACCTGTAATCCCAGCACTTCGGGAGGCCGAGATGGGAGATGGGAGATGGGAGATGCTTGACCCCAGGAGTTCAAGACCAGCCTGGGCAACATGGCAAAACTCCATCTCTACAAAAAAATTTAAAAAAAAAACAAAACTAGCCAGGCATGGTGGTACATGCCTGTGGTCCCAGCAGCTCAGGAAGCCGAGGTGAGAGGATCCATGGAGCCTGGGAGGTCGAGGCTGCAGTGAGCCATGAATATGCCACTGCACTGCACTCCAGCCTGGGCGACAGAGAGAGGCCCTGTCTCAGAAAAAAAAAAAAAAAAGAGAAAAGAAAATTTTATATACATATATATACACGTATATATATACACACACACAATGCTTTCCCTCCAAGTTGTAAATAAATAGCATCTCAAGTGTAAAGATAATTTTCTAGAGTTGAGTGCTTTTAGCATCATACATAACACAGAGAAAAATGTGGGTGACCAAGATATAAACAAGAATATGTATGTACTAACTTGGCCTTGATTTTGCCTGATAAATAAACTATGTGAAAAATATACAGCTGTGTTTCCCCAGGGAATTTTTTTTTTTAAATCACAAATGTTAAAAGAACTCTTCTCTGAAATGAGAAATTGGAAAAACATCACTAAAAAAGCAAAGCAAAAAGCCCTAAAACAACAGCAAGGCAACTGCAGTTTATTGACCCCCATGAGAAGATGTGAAATACAGAAAAGACGAGCTTATACTTACAGCTAGACACTGGATGACACATCTTGTAAACAGTGACGACTTACGGAAAGGCCCATTTAAAAACAAACAACATTGAAGTGACATGAGTTAGAGACAGGGACAGGCGAGGAGAGCAGAAGGGGAGGTGTGGAATATCTATTCTAATCTCTTACCACATTTTCAGGGCAATAGCCATACGGCTGTGCCTCCTGGGAATAGACAGTCCTCCCGGTTCTTGCCTCTTGAGACTCGGATGGTTCATTATCATGCAACCACTGTGTACCAAAGTGAAGTTCATTCACAGAGGGCACAGGAGTGGCCTCTTGAATGTGCGACAAGGGATACAACTCCATGGATGGTGAGGGATCTTGATATAACTCATATTCTTCATCAACAAGAATTTCTCTTTCTTCATCCATTTCCTGCAATCTAGGAGTCAGAAATTCATGCATCTCCCAGGCCTCCTTGCTTTGCTCTATCTCTTTTTGTTGGGAATGGAAAGACTTTCCCAGATCTAGAAATGGTTCATCCACAAGTTCTTCTTTAAAATATGGTTCATCTCTAAATCCCTATAAATAAAAGATGCAAAAAAATGTGAAGTTACGCCTGTCCTGAAGCTGCACTATATAGATAAACTGGAAAATTTTCAAATGCTGGCGTGACTGCATATGCCAAGGCACAGCTAACATGCACAGCTCTCCACAGCAAACATGGAGAAACACAAGCTCACCTCCACACAATCCTTAACCCAGAAGAGGGACAAATAGTAAATTATGAGGCAGAAATCTGCCCTTGGCAAGGTGAATGATTTTGCTAAAACGTTCATTATACATTAACCACCTGACAATTCTCCACTAGAAATAGGAATTTTGTTAAACTCTTACACTAAATATTTAACCCATAAAAAGTAGTACATAAGTATACATACACTGCAAACTATTATTTAAGAAAGCAAAGACTTAAAAGGTCAGGATTTTCAAGCTTAAATAACTCAAAAGAAATTATAACTATCTGAATGTTCAGAAAACATTCTCTATAAACTAAAGATATGGGGAGTATGTCTCTACTTTGAGTATGACTCTTTTATAATATAAAAAATAACAAATCTTATTTTTCATCTGTGTTGAAAATAAATATGAAGGAATGAATACAGTATTTTAAAAATTAATTTATATTTCACTAATCAGAACAGCTAGTGCATACCACTGAAACTAAATGTGCAGAAACTGTGTGGGTTCCTGGCTAAAACCTGGCATATAGATTTGCTCAGACCATGACCTATCTCTGGAGAACCTCTGGGTGCCGGGCATAATGAGGTCCTCTTCTTTCTAAGAGATCAAAGATCTTTCCTATTTTAAGTCTTATTCTTTACTACCAAGAAGTAAATTCCTGGAATAAATCTATTCTTTTCTATTGTCTTCTCCTTGCAGCTAAACATCATTGTAGTGAAGCTTTTAAATTAACACAGTAGGGCTGGGCATGGTGGCTCATGCCTGTAATCCCAGCACTTTGGGAGGCCAAGGCAGGAGGATCTCTTGAGTACAAGAGTTCTAGACCAGGCTGGGCAATATAGTGAGCCCCCGTCTCTACAAAAAAATTTAAAAATTAGCCAGGCATGGTGGCATGCGCCTGTGGTGCCAGCTACTTGGGAGACTGAGGCAAAGAATTGCTTGAGCCAAGGAGACTGACGCTGAAGTGAGTTATGATCACACCACTGCCCTCCAGCCTGGACAACAGAGCAAGATACCATCTCAAAAAAAAAAAAAAAAAAAAAAAAAACTGAAAACAGTAATACTGCCCTGTATTTTTTTTTTAATGTGGTTAGAGGATGTATTTGAACACATCATATGGTTATGAAATTTTTAAAATGTCGGCACTAAAAAATATAATAGACATCATAGAAACATATATCATCTTGAGACACTGTCTACATATTATGCAAAGAATATCACTAGACAGTTGTTATCAAGTAAAGC
This sequence comes from Homo sapiens, assembly GCF_000001405.40. Lineage (NCBI taxonomy): Eukaryota > Metazoa > Chordata > Mammalia > Primates > Hominidae > Homo > Homo sapiens. The sequence goes on along the minus strand of NC_000001.11, from coordinate 61,862,830 downwards.
AAAACCATACTCTAACTGCAAAGAGCAACATAAGTATAATTCCTTTTAAGAATAAAAAAGGAAAGCTTCAAAATAAATTTTCTAAAATTAAAGCATAAGGTAGGGTTTGACTAAATAACTCTTCTTTAGAAAGTATTCAATATGAATACTTTTTGTGTAGTTCCATTTTTATAGCATTTTAAATGCAGGTCTATTTTCAACAATATGTTCTACCATCCAAAATTTTAGGAATACATTAGTGTATGTTTGTTCTTTGAAAATGCTTTACGTCGTGCCTTTATCATTTAGAGAGGCAATGTGATATGGAAGGAAAGAATTTAGTTTTAAAAAAATAGGCTGGGCGTGGTGGCTCACGTCTGTAATCTCAGCACTTCGGGAGGCCGAGGTGGGCACATCACCTGAGGTCAGGAGTTCGAGACCAGCCTGGCCAACGTGGCGAAACCCTGTCTCTACTAAAAACACAAAAATTAGCCAGGCGTGGTGGCGCACGCCTGTAGTCCCAGCTACTCGGAAGGCTGAGGCAGGAGAATTGCTTGAACCTGGGAGGCAAAGGTTGCAGTGAGCCGAGATCACACCACTGTACTCCAACTTGGGTGACAGAGTGAGAGTCTGTCAAAAAAAACAAAATAACAACAACAACTATATATATATATGTATATATACAATGAGGCCAGGCACAATGGCTCACACCTGTAATGCCAGCACTCTGGGAGGCTGGGGCAGGTAGATTGCTTGAGCTCAGGGGTTCAAGACCAGCCTGGGCAACGTGATAAAACCTCATCTCTACCAAAAATACAAAAAATTAGCTAGACGTGGTAGCACATGCCTGTGGTCCCAGCTACTCAGGAGGCTGAGGTGGGTGGATCACTTGAACCTGGGAGGCAGAGATTACAGAGATCCCAGATCCCACCACTGCACTCCAGCCTGGGTGACAGAGGGAGATCCCATCTCAAAAAAGAGAGAGAGAGAGAAAGGAGGATTAGTTCATTTATATCTATTTAGCCAGGGATGGGGACAAGCTTTTGTCTTCTTTATGTCTTTATTTATTTCTACTTAGCCAAAGGATAAGGACAAGCTTTTGTCTTATTTTCTTTTTATTCTTTCTACATAGAAATTTTAGCTCATAGCAAATCATTCAAATGGGAAATAAATTTATTAAATACCTTGGGTGCTTCGAGTATTAAAGATGAATTTATATCATGAATTGTTCCTGAAAATTCAGTCTTGTCTTCATTACTGCTTGAATGTAAAATATAACAACTTTCTTCTTCATTATCTTCCTGAAAATATAAACCACTTTTATTTATAAATAAGAAAATATTGTGGGGTGGGGAGCAAGGGGAGGGAGAGCATTAGGACAAATACCTAATGCACACGGGGCTTAAAACCTAGATGATGGGTTGATAAGTGCAGTAAATCACCAATGCACACATATACCTATTTAACAAACCTGAACATTCTGCACATGTATCCCAGAACTTAAAGTAAAAGAAAGAAAGAAAAAAGAAAAGATTCATTCACGTAAAAAAAAAAAAAAAAAAAAAAAGAAAGAAAGAAAATATCCTGGTTTCAAACTCTTCAGATTCTCATCTTTCCATTAAGACAAATACACAACACAAAATTTATTCAAATTGTTTCATTAGAACAAACTTTCTTTAATAACTAAAAAGAACTCCATATTCAGGTCAGAGCTTCCCAAACTTTTTAAAGTATTTCTTAAAGAAAAATCACTTTCCCAGGAATAGACCTTGTATATATAACTATGTACCTGGCACAAAATTAAGTACTGTAAATATATTTAATATATTAATTAATACATTAATATATACTCTAAAACGTGGGTCCTCTTATTAGCCCTATTTTACTGGTGAGCAAAAGTGGACACAGTAATTTGCCAAACGCTACATATCCCAAAATTTCGACCCTGGCTGTCTGGTACTAGAGCCTATGTTCACAATTATCATGCCATGCAATCCTCATCTTTTTTTTTTTTTTTTAAATTGAGACAGAGAGTCTCGCTGTGTCACCCAGACTGGAGTGCAGTGGTGTAATCTTGGCTCACTGCAACCTCCACTGCCCCAGTTCAAGCGATTCTCCTGCCACAGCCTCCAAAGTAGCTGGGACTACAGGCAAGCAACACCTTGCTGGCTAATGTTTTTGTATTTTTAGTAGAGACGAGGTTTCGCCATGTTGGGCAGGCTGGTCTTGAACTCCTGACCTCCCAGGTGATCTGCCCGCCTCCGCCTCCCAAAGTGCTGGGACTACAGGCGTGAGCCACCGCGTACAGCCAATCCTCATCTTACAGATGAGCAAAGTGGAAGCTGATGAGGTTGAATAACTGGCACAAGGACACGTAGCCTTGCAAACCACATAACTAAGCAAAAACCCATAGCTGTCTGGCTCAAGAGTTTTATTGTCAGTTCTGCTCCATCACTTCTGAAGATATAATGCAGTTTTTAAAGTCATTTCAGCCAGGGCGTGGTGCCTCACATCTGTAGTTCCAGCACTTTGGGAGGCTGAGGCAGAAGCATCACTTCAGCCCAGGAGTTCAAGACCAGCCTGGGCAACATGGAGAGACCCCATCTCTATTTTTATGTTAAATAATAAAAATAAGTCATTTCATTCATTTTTGGGGTCTGATATATTTGAGGCTGCACTTATCAACCTGTCACCTAGGTTTTAAGCCTCTTTTTAGAAAAGAGCTAAGATGAAAATATATAACATGAAGTGTATAGATATATACATACTATAGCTATATAAATACAAGACTTAATACAAATAATTTGTTCTCATCACCATTATATATTCACAGTCTTTCTGCTCTACCCTGACTTGGGATCTGCTTATTCACATTCTCTGTCCCCACTTGCACTGTGGATTGAGTAAATGTTCAGTAAACATTACTTAATTAGGCCAGGCGCAGTGGCTCACACCTGTAATCCCAGCACTTTGGGAGGCCGAGGCGGGTGGATCACCTGAGGTCAGGAGATTGAGACCAACCTGCCCAGCCTGGAGAAACACTGTCTCTACTAAAAATACAAAAATTAGCTGGGCATGGTGGCGCATGCCTGTAATCTCAGCTACTCGGGAGGCTGAGGCAGAAGAATCACTTGAACCCAGGAGGCGGAGGTTGCGGTGAGCTGAGATCACGCCATTTGCACTCCAGCCTGGGCAACAAGAGTGAAACTCCATCTCAAAAAACAACAACAAAAAAAAATTAGTTAATTAGATAAGTGGCCGTCAATTTTACTATGAGAGAGAGAGAAGGGGAGAGAGAGAGGGAGAGAGAGAGAGAGAGACACCTCAGAGAAGATCCATGCCTGGTTCCTTGAATCACTATTTATAGCTCATGAGCAGTTTTCCCAGAAGACCCCAGATGTTAAAGGAAGCTTACTTAGTAGTTAAAAAGAAAAAAAATTCTTGAAATTGACCTTTCTCTCAATCCCTTCATTGGCCTCCCACTCCTAAGTATTCTTGGCAGCCTTGGACTCACTGAGGGAGGCCTGGGTGAAGTTCCACCCACAATCATTATGTTCCAAAACACTCTCAGAGTAATGCTCCAAGGTCCTTCCACCAGAAATAGCATGAGGATCCACACCCAGTTGCTACCAACTCGTTTTTGTTTTGTTTTGTTAAATGGCCCGAGACTTCCTAAAACTGCTTGAAGGTAAAGGCTCTGCTGTTGAAGTGCTCTAGGACACAAATAGTTTGGGATGTCCCCATGCAGCCACACTAATCTGGCAAATAACCATCAGGGAAAGTCTAGACAAAGTTCCTGCTACAACCCAAAACATTAAGAAGATGAGGTCCCATAAAAACATTAATAGTTTTCCTGTCCTTAATTTATCCAAAACACAAACCAAGCACCTCATGGCATCATCTGTTGACCACGGCAATACCCACACCAAATACACAAAAGGTCAAGAACTTACTTAGCTATGTGCTATATTCCACTTTGAAATATTTAAAGTGTCTGATAGATGTAATACACAGGCCAGAATAAAAAAGTAATACATGAAGACCACCTTTTGGTCTCCCATGCAAAAATACCATATGCTGTACATGAATCTATTTATATATGATTGATACAGTTTGTATATTTGTCTCTGCCAAAATCTTATATTGAATTTTAATCCCCAAAGCTAGAGGTGGGGCCTGGTGGGAGATGTTTGGGTGACAGGGGTGGATCCCTCATGGCTTGGTGCTGTCTTCGCGATGGTGAATGAATGAGTACTCATGTGATCCTGGTGGTTTAAAAGTGTGTGGCATGGCCAGCTGTGGTGGCTCACGCCTGTAATCTCAGCACTTTGGGAGGCCAAGGCAGGTGGATTGTTTGAGCTCAGGAGTTCAAGACCAGCCTGGCCAACATGGTGAAACCCTGTCTCTACTAAAAATACAAAAATTAGCTGAGCGTGGTGGTGAGCGCCTGAAGTCCCAGCTACTTGAAGGCCAAGGCAGAAGAATTGCTTGAACCTGGGAGATGGAGGTTGCAGTGAGCCGAGATTGCACCACTGCAGTCCAGCTTGGATGACGGAGTGAGGCTCTGTCTCCAAAAAGAAAAAAAAGTATGGCTCTGTGGCATCCCCCACCCCACTCCAACTCTCTCTCACTCCTGCTTTTGCCATACGAGTGCCTGCCCCCACTTTGTCTTCTGCCATGAGTAAAAGCTCCCAGAGGCCTCCCCAGAAGCAGATGCCACCATGCTTCCTGTACAGGCTGTAGAACTGTGAGCTAATTAAACCTCTTTCTTACAAATTGTCCAGTCTCAGGTATTTCTTCACAGCAATGCAAGAACAGCCTAATACAATGAACACATCTATCTATATTTACCTATCCATCTATCTATACATATGAGCACTTATAGTATGTTATTCGTATGTTAAGTTAAAATGTTTCATACATTAAAGAATTGGAGTTAAAAAAATACCTTCGGAATTCTCTAGTCTTATTCAGTCTTTTCAAAGATGAAAAAAATAGGCTTAGAGAAGTGGTATACCTATTGATCAAATTACTAGTACGATGTTTCTCAAAGTACAAAATTCTGCATCAGAATTACATAGGTGACCCATTGAAGAGGTAGATTCCTGAAGAGCATATCAGAATTACTAAATGAGAATCTCTGGGAGTAGAACCTGGGAAACTGCATTTTAACTACCTCTCAGGTGATTCTTATATATATTACATATCTTTAAGTTTGAAACCTACTGGGCTAACTCATAGCAAAGCCAGGGGGCAGAGCCCAGGTTTCTAGAAATCCAGACTAACAATTTATTACAACCAAGCTATCTGTTTCAGACATGCTGCATACAAACTAGGCAAGTGACAACATAGTAAGACAGGCATGTACAGCACTGTGGCTAAGAGCACAGGGTTTGAAGGTGCCCTGCTGGGTGCACATTACAACTCTGCCCCTTACTAGTTATAAGAACTTGGGTAAGTTACTCAATTCTCTGTGCCTCGATTGATTCATCTGTAATGAGGGTAACAAAAGGACTATTCTTAAAGTTGCTGTAAGGATTAGGTTAGTTAATAGTTAATAAGTGTAAAGGGCTTGAAAGAATGACATTTAGTAAGCACTTAATAATAATAAAACTGGCTGAAAATCATCATCATTAAGTTTTTGTTGTTGGTGGTGGTGGTGGTTTGTTTTTTGCATTAGAGGCCTCCAGAGCACCATAACTGTAATGTAGCCTTCAGTCATAAGCAGTAACCTGACCATTAGATAAAGCAACAAGATGACTTCAAGATGGTTTGACATTATAGGGGTTCTTGATGCTAGGAGTTACAAGGTGCTTTGATGGAGAGAAAAGCATATTAAACTCTCAGTGTTATATGGTTAAAATGCTATAGCTGCAAGGATTTCAACTTATCATACCATCTTGACACCATTCCCAAATGAAAGTTAAAATGGATACTTATTTTAATTTACATATAAGAATAGCCAGGTGCAATGGCTCACACCCCTAAAAAAGCACTTTGGGAGGCCAAGGCAGGCAGATTGCCTGAGCTCAGGACTTCAAGACCAGCCTGGCCAACATGGTGAAACCCCATCTCTACTAAAAATACAAAAAATTAGTAGCCAGGCACAGTGGCACATGCTAGTAATCCCAGCTACTTGAGAGGCTGAGGCAGGAGAATCGCTTGAACCCAGGAAGTGGAGGTTGCAGTGAGCCAAGATCGTGCCACTGCACTCCAGCCTGGATGACAGAGAGAGACTCTGTCTATAAAATAATAATAATAATAATTTACACATAAGAAATGTGCTGAGAGCTTAGAAGTCTGTGCTAAAAGCATAAAGATGAAAATAGTAGTAAGAGTGGTAGTAGTAGAACTAGCAACATTAGCAGCTAGTATTTATGTAATAATATGCTATGCACTTAATGAATATAACCTTTAAATCCCAAAACCCTATGAGGTAGACATTATTTTTTCTGATATTGTAAGTCAAGGACATTAAGAAACCTGCCCAAGGTCACACACATAGTAAACAGTAGAACAGAAATTCTTGGCCAGGTATATGTGTCTCCAAAATCCATGTTTTTAACTGTTGCACTATTATCACTTCCTATATTAACAAAATACAACACTTACCACCAAAGGCTTACAGATGCCAAGGTGTACTAGGCCTGGTGGCACAGCTTTCAATATTTCCACAGCTTCAGCAAGTGAGGTGTTGTCCAAACAGTATTCATTGACTGAGACCAGGCGGTCTCCAGGTAATAGTCCCCCACTTCTTTCTGCTACACCATCTGCTACCAGGGAGCGGATCACAATCACTGATCTTGTAGGATCTAAAGGGTCCTGTGAATCGAGCAAAGAAGAAGGATGAGTCCATGCACTGAAAATAAATATGCAGCCTTAGGACAGCTTGAGTTGACTGATGAATCTTATTTGACCACTTACTTCATGTGTCTGGCACTCTGGTGATAATCTTCTAAACAGGTAAAAATAAATTAAAATCTCACTCTAAGCCAAGTATGGTTGTACACCTCTGTATAATTCCAGCTTCTTGGGAGGCTGAGGTGGGAGGACTGCTTGAGCTCAAGAGTTTGAGATTAGCCTAGGCAATATAGCAAGACCTTGCTAGAAAAAGTTTTTGTAATTAAAAAAATTAAAAGGCCAGGTGCAGTGGCTCATGCCTGTAATCCCAGCACTTTGGGAGGCCAAGGCAGGAGGATTGCTTGAGCCCAGGATTCAAGACCAGCCTGGACAACATGACGAAATCCCATCTCCGCAAAATATACAAAAATTAGCCAGGTGTGGTAGTGTGTGTTTGTAGTCCGAACTACCAGGGAGGTGGAGCAGGGGGTGCTGAGGTGGAAGGATTGCTTCAGCCCAGGAAGTCAAGGCTGCAGTGAGCTGTGGTTCAGAGCTCACTGCAGAGCTGTGGTGACAGACCAAGACCCTGTCCCAAAAAATAAATAAATAAAACATCACGCAAATATCAGGTTGTATCAAGGTGAAAATATAATCTTAACAATTTCAGTGGCATGTCTGAGTGCCCAAAATATATAGATTTCCTGTTAAAATTTTTGGTGATTGATATTTGGCTGGACCATACGAGGTCTGGGAACAGCTGGGCAAGATTCTCTGACATTCTCAAGCACAGTCATATGATGGACCAAAGATAAGCCTGTCTGTTACTCCTCTAGAGCCGTAAGTAAGCTCCAAGAAAAGCATGAACGTAATCATAAATATAAAATGGGAAATGATACTCCGTTCTTATACCTTCACCAGTAGTACAGAATCCTCCTATAAAACCACACAAATCCAGAAAAGACATGGAAACCATGGACGATTCCACTGTATTTTAAAAAGTATATTTATAAATAATGTGACCTAAAATTATGATATAGTACCCTTAGGTCACAACTATTCCAATACACACTTAAATATGAATTTATGAACAAAAGCAACATACAGATCTTTCACCCGTTGGGAGAGCCCCATATTTCTTGATATTAAACACCGAGGACAACATTGACATTCAATACATCTGGTTAATGAAAACCAATTTATATCTCCACTACTGTTTTTTAATTTATTTAACCAACTGATATATAGCACTTACTATATGTTGGGCTTGACAATCACTAACTTATCTAATCCTTACATCTCCAGGATGTAGGCAAATTTATTGTCTGTGTTTTACAGATGACGAAACCGAGGCTCAGAAAGTTAAGGAAACTAGCCAATATCACCCAGCGTATATGTGGCATAGCCAGAATCCAACCAGGCAGCCTGGCTCTTAAGTCCTTACTCTTGACCACCTCACTCTGCAGCTTGCTCTGCATCATTAATGGTCAGAAGAAACGGGAAACAAAGAGTTGTAAATTGAGAAGAAAGAAATATTCATATGGCCATCTTATGATTGAGCAGAGTCTCTTAATTTGTCTTAATGGTGGAGGTGTATGGCACTATTACTGAACTTCTAACTTAGCAAGGGAGAGAAAAAATGACATCCCAATCACAGCAGCATTCACGTTGGTTTCTCTATGCTTCTCCCATTGTTTCATTATGCACATGCTGTTCCACAAGGCAACATATTGTAACCTGAGATTCTACTACTCTAGCCTCTCTTAAAACCTTCCAGAGAAAGTAGAGAAAAACTGCTAGGTTTTCTGTGGGAATTACAAAACTTTGGAATTAGCAAAGTAAGAACTTGCCAAGTTCCCGGCTATGTCTGTTTGAAGTGGCTGATGATTCTTTTGAAGTTTTCTGATCCAGTTTTCTATGCCTCTGTGTTTCAAACATCAGGGTTCATTTTCAAAGTACTGCATGGAATTTTAACCAAATATACCATATTTAAATCAACAAAGGCTACACAGCTAATTCCTTGAAGAATGCCTTCAAATGTAACTTATCTTGCTTTTTGCAACTAACCCTGCCTTTCTACCCCCGAGTCAAGAGACTCTTCAAAATTTTCTTACAGGCTCTGATGTAATATAACACCACATATTTATGAAGAGGATTAAAAGTAAAAAAGAGCCCAGGGAACTCACTAATAAAGTAGTGTTAAACTATAATTACACCAGTATTTTCAAGTAGAGGGAGCTATTGCATAGGAAGAGAACAGAAGAGAACCAAAAAGTACAGTGGCATATCAGCAGGCAATCGACGTGGTAATATAAAAGAGCTGTCTATTTTGTCACTGGCAACCATGAATCACAACACACTTTTCATCCTGAAATATGAAACCATTACATTTTAAGTTTGACACACTAATAAATAAGCTGTACAATTATTTCCTTCATTTAGGATGTCAGTTTTTGATGAAAGGCTTTTTTATTGGGGGGAGAAGGGAGACTACATAATAGCTTATTCCTCTCATGAACTGCCCAGCAGCTAACATTACTTCATATTAATAATTTCTACACTTCCTTAGAGAAAACTGCAACAGCAAAATATACCAAAAGCAAATAAATGGTTGCACCAAGTTGTTTGTGAACAATCTCTGCAGTTTCAGATAACACCAAAATTTAAAAATATTATTTTTAACCCAAATAGGTGAGGAGGTTTTCAAAATGCAACCCACTGAATTGATAATTTAGGAACATTCTAAAGGACGATTCACCAGAAGGAAATGGAAATAGACTTCTACCCTTGAAAGGTGAATATATTTTCCTTATTGCCAGAAAAGTCATTGTGAGCACTAATTTACACAAAGTGAGGCCTTCTTTAGACCTCAAACTAGTGACAGGAATGCTTTCTTACTAAAATGTATTCAGGTTTAGACCACTAGTTATGCTAAACACTAAATCCAATCTACCACCCCTTTTCCTGGACGACAGAACCCAAAGGCAGCTTCTTTGTCATTTGGGGGGCAGGGAGGGGACAAACTAGCTACCTCTGAAGATGCCCCATTATGTATAATCACTGCTTCATTTTTTATGATGACTTTTCTGCCTGTGATTTCCCACGTAGCTGAATGAAATCGCTTTAATGAGTAACAGTCATTTCCTTTCATTTCCTTTACATCACATGCAGCAGCCACCCTATGGAAAAACAGCAGCTGCTACTGCCTACTGAGGTGGCTGCTATTCTTGAGGCTTTGCTGCATAAAAATGCTCAAACACCAGCCTGACTCAGGCTGCTTCTCATCAGAAAGGTCCATTTTCTGAAAATACAATCTATGATATTATGTGCATGTTATAGCAAACAAATGTTATAGAGACACTTCTCAAAACCCTTACCCAACCCCCAGGCCCCCAGGCATATTTACATAGATAAATATATGAAGCGCTTCACAAATGTGCATGTTATTCTTGCACAAGGGTCGTGCTGATCTCTGTATCATTCCAATTTTAGTACATGTGCTGCCAATGTGCACACCCCTGATGGCACCTTGCTGAAATTATTTTAACTGTCTTCCTACTAAAAACAAAATCCCCATCAGTTTTTATCACCTTTCATCATAATTGTAAAATCTCTAATATTTCTTCTTTTGGTAAATAACACTGCAAGGAACATTGTGTTTAAGAATCAAGATGCCGCTTTAGACTAAATAGCCAATAGAGGGCACCAGAGACCAATCATAGAACATGAGAAACATGTACTATGGGAGCCATTCTCTTCTGAAGGAATTTTTTTCCTCTTTATTCAAAAGGCTTATATTATTATACACACTGTAACAGTGTACCATATGTTTGGTTCAGCCCATTTATTTCTGAAAGTTGTACCCTACACCTCTTTTTTTTTTTTTTTTTTTTTTAAGACAGAATCCCTCTCTGTCACCCAGGCTGGATTCTCATGCCTCAGCCACCTGAGTAGCTGATGTTACAGGTGTGTGCCGTCACTCCCAGCTAATTTTTCTATTTTTAGTAGAGATGGGGTTTTGCCATATTGGCTAGGCTGGTCTCGAACTCCTGGCCTCAAGTGATCCTCCCGCCTTGGCCTCCCTATATCCTCTGAGTGGCATCAGCATATACTCAAGCATTCCCTTCTCCCCCTCACCCCTCCATTGAGTTGCTCACTAAGGCATGTCAGTTCTTTTTATCTCAGCCTTTTATCTCTTCTGATTCTTCCTTTCCATTTCCACTGCCACAGCCTTGGTTCAGCTTCTCGTTACTTCTGAGCAGCTGCTACAGTTTCCTGATAAGTCTACCTGTCTCTAATCTTGCCCCCATGAGTCAATTTTCTAGAGAGATAATAGAACCATCTTTAAAAATAAAAAGGTGATCATAATTCCTCCTCTGCTTACAGTACTTCAGGGATACCTACTGCCTTCAAGATAAAGTCCTAACTCCTTTATTCTTCGTGGAAGGAAAATCCTTCAGAACTGCAGTTCTGTCTCGTCTCTCACTTTCCCCATACATATCACTGCCTGCTCCCGTTTGCCCAACACTTTATCCCAGGTATTGTGAAAGGCCTTGTCATGCTGCGTGGCTTAATGCAAACCATCCCCTCAGCCACGAACGCCCTCCCTGACCCACTGCCACTTGTCTAGAGTTTGCCCCAGAGTCAGCTCAAGTGTCTCCTCCAATGAGAAGCATTCCCTTACTCCCTGAAGACCCAAGCACTTCCTACTCTGTGATATCCCTAAACCAAAAAAGACCTTCAATTACAGCATTTATCATAATATATTTCCTTTACTATTTGACCTTCTAGAATTAGTTTGGTCTTCCTGTTAGATGTATCCACAGCTTGTTGCATTTTCTTCATTAAAATACTTTTTACATTTTACTGAAATTATTGTAAATTATTTCCTTTAAATTACTTCCTACTAAAAGTAAGCTTTATGAGACCAAGAATGTGTTTGCTTAGTTTTTGCTTGATTTTCAGGGCCTACTACAATGCTTGTCATGGAGAAGGCACTGAAGAGTAGTTAAAATGTTGAATGACTATCTATTTAGTTTGCGTCTTCCCACTGGACGGCAAGTACACCAAAAGCAAAAGCCACATCCCATCATATAGGAATAACAACAACAGCTGGTAACACTTACTAAGCTCTTGCCATACCAGGCACTGTTCTCAGAATCTTATTTATTTGAACCCATTTAATTCTCACACCATCATGAGGTAGGTATGTACCAACATTATCCCCACTTTCCTGGTGAGGAAATTGAGAAAAATTAAATAACTTAACCAAAGCACATGGCTGGTAAATGGCAGAGCCAGAAATTAAGCCAGCCAGTCAATTCCCAGAGTTTGTGCTTTTAGCCACACTAAGCAATGCTGCTTCTCTAACTTAAGTATTTGCTAAATGAATGAAATGTTGAAAGAAGACAAATATGTTAGAAGATATTTTTATCATCTTACCAAAGTGTATAAAACTGAATCCCCTAAATATTGCACTTGGCCACCAGAGGTTCATGTTTCAGTACCTAGCAGATGAAAAGTTAGAGGGTACAGAATGTGCAGCATGCCTGCATGTACAGGTAAAACATGCATTTGTTTGCCAAATTTCAATGTACAGTTACTTTCTCAAGAATCCATTCATTTGGTGGGCGTAAGAAGACTGTTACATGAACAGATTCAAACATGTGATAATCATTATGCCCAAATGGATGGGATTCAAAGTTTCTGATGTGTCTATAAAATGTATTATATGAATATTTGTGTACATTCCCAAAGATCAAAGAGACCAGATTTCACATAAGCTAAGGGAGAGTGCAAGAGCATCACCTAGAGCGGAGAGGTGGTTCAGCGGAAACAGGCTCTGTCACAGACAGAGACATCAACTCGAAGATGTGGAGAGCTCTAGCTGTGAAATTGCTCTAAAACCTAGATGACAAATCCAAGCTACCATGGCAAACTCAGTGAAAAGACACGAAGTAGAGAATGTGACATAAAGAGGAGACAGAAGGAATCAACAAGAAAAGTGTCATAGGTAATAAACTGGCAAATGCATCAATAAGAGGCATTTAGGAAATAAGAACAGGAGATATATACCAAGAATTGTTCTAATATTTAACATTTATATGCTTAGCAGTATTACCCCAATAAAGAAACACAAGGTGTAACAAAGACTTAACTACATTCAAAATGAAGAATATCTTTTGGGTTTGTTTGTTTTTAAAAAATTTATTCTGTATGTAACACTCAAACTTTTAAAGACATCAAATAACAGGATAGGAATTTAAAGACCACACAGCAGGATGGCAAAGAGATGGATCATAGTTTATTTCCTTTGATAATTTTGACTCTTACTGTCAACTGAGTGTATTACATATAAAGTTGGTCAACTAAACTCATGAGAGGAAATATGGTTAACTCATAGAGTCTCTTTTTTCTTTTTTGAGACAGGGTCTCACTCTGTCGCCCAGGCTTGAGTGCAGTGGCACAATCACGGCTCACTGCAGTCTCGACCTCCTGGGCTTAAGTGCTCCTCCCACCTCAGCCTCCTGAGTAGCTGGGACCACAAGTGTACACCACATTCAGCTAAATCGTTTTTAATTTTTGTAGAGATGTGGTCTCCCTGTGTTGCTCAGCAGATCTCAAACTTCTGGGCTAAGGGATCCTCCCACCTCAGCCTCCCAAAGTACTGGGATTACAGGCATGAGCCACTATGCCTGACCTAATTTATATAGTCTTAATGGTATGTTATTAAAGTTCTAGGCTGTGTTGTATAGTTCACCACACCAAAATACCTGCTCTACAGCTGTATTACAGAGGTCCTTCACAAGGATGAAATGATTCCAAGGAAGGACTAGCAAAACAACTTCAATCAACTCTGAAATAGAAAGTACTCTACAAGTGAAAAGAAACAATCTACCAACCAACAAGTTCAATGCTGTACCACATGTCACTACAGAACTAGGCTTTCAGCTTCATTCCACAGATATGTATTTTTATTTCAGTAAGAGAAAGTATGTTTCAAAGATAATTTTAAAGGGACTACACACAAATTTCTGGACAACATGAATAGTTAGCTCTGTAATATTGGATAAGAGAATTATTCCAACTTAATAATGGTCAACTGAGGAAACTATGAAACAGCAGGTAGCCAGATATTGGCTTCTTGAAAAGTATACTCTTAAATGTGGCCATTATTATTTGAACTAAGGAGTATTAAGTTAAAATCTAAATTAATTAACAGCTAAATTAATCTTCAAAGCAACATCTCAAGGAAGTTGCTAAAATAGAGAATGCAGAAAGAAACCATTAAGTTTAAAAGGGAGACAGCTGGCCGGGCATAGTGTAATCCCAGCAATTTGGGAGGCCAAGGGGGTAGGATCGCTTGAGTCCAGGAGGTCAAGACCACCCTGGGCAATACAGTGAGACTTTGTCTCTAAAAAACATTAAAAATAAATAAATAAAAGGGAGACAACTATTTCATTCTGGAGGTAGGCAAAAGGAGGAACTGGGTACAAAGAGGCAAAGGAAAGGTTCTTTTATACACACGTACACTCACACACAGATTTGTATACCTTAAGGAAAAAGGAAAACAGTGATCGGCACAAGCTCGGTGGCACAGCTAGCATGAATTAAAATTTCCGTTGTGAGTAATGTCAGAAAACAAGAATTCCAAGATTTTTAAAAAGCAGAAAAGATATATAAGAGACAGACAGAATGAAGGCAGATATTCAGCCCATTAGTGTTAAGATGAGTGTGGATTAGAAGAGACAAGTTTTGAGACCTAGCCCGGTCCCCACCTGGATGTGTAGAGTTTCACGAGTGTCTTCGTTTCTCTGAGTCAGTTTCCTCACAAACATAAAATGAAAAAGTTGGATACATGAGTTATGATCCCTTCTTTCAACTCTAAAATCCTATAACTTAATTTGACAGAGTATCTTGACTCAAATTTGTCCCTAGTTTCTATCCAAACATTCACAAAACCACTATAAAAAGTAACGAAAGACAGAAGTTAATTCAAAACACTGCATCAGCAATGAAATTGATGTACATTTTGGTCACAAAACTCAAAAAGGGTATTTACTATAAAAAAAAACAACAAAATACATATGACAGCATGTCTCCTTTTTTGATAAGATATATCTTAAAACACCTCTTCTTTTTCCTTTGCCATTTTCAGAGCAACAGAAGCCATGTCAGGAACCATTAGCTGAATTAAAATCACGAGAACAGTTCTGGTTTAAAACAATAGGGTATAATTAATCATTTCAAAAGACTGTCTTCTGATTTGACC
The DNA here is from genome assembly GCF_000001405.40 of Homo sapiens. NCBI lineage: Eukaryota > Metazoa > Chordata > Mammalia > Primates > Hominidae > Homo > Homo sapiens. Next base: position 61,847,742 of record NC_000001.11, on the reverse strand, counting down.
AATAAGCTAAGCATTTACTTTTGGGAAAGAGAAATAAATGTGTTTATAGTGAATGCAAAGTAATAACTAATTGATTCTAATGAATAATGAGCAAGCTATCTTATCTAACATCTAACTCCATTTTTAACTATTTTATAATATAGCAAAGTATTACACTAATCATACCAATTACCACAGCACCATCATGTTCAAAATAAGTGCCCACAAAGTACATTCAGTCCACTCAAGATAGATTAAACTGATACGGTTCCTGGCTCCTTGTGTCTTATTACTTCCTAAACACTATTAGGCAGTAAGAATAGATTTTTCCACACATCAGACATAGAACTAAACAGTCCCAGAGCTGCACAGTAAGCACAGCACAGAAAGCAATAAAAAGCAAAATGGAAGAGAAGTGGACAAAGGAACCTGCTAAAAGATCAAAATATATTCTTAAGAGGAACAAAAAGTACATAAGCTTGCACATACTTTTATCCTATAAAGCTTAGTACTTTAAAAACCTATTTTAAGCACCCCAATATTTTAAATGGTTTAAGCAGGAGTCCCATGGAAATCACTTCTTGAAGACTATTCCTTTCTCATAACCCTTCTGGTCTCCTGTTGAATAACTTCTTTCTGTATTAGATACATTCCTTGGATGTTTCATCTCTTGAAAATTTTATGTTATGCTGGAATTGTTTACATGGTTACCAGTCAGTCCTGGTCCAGGACTTTTGCTAGTTGTAAGGAAAACAAAACAAATCATACAACTATCCTTTATCTAAAAGCCCCATCATCTTGCTGAAATGCCTAAGGTTCCACCAGGCAGACAGTAGTACCCAAGCACTAAAATTACATTAGTTGTAGCTGGGTGCAGTGGCTCATGCCTGTAATCCCAGCACTTTGGGAGGCCAAGGCGGGCAGATCACTTGAGACAAGGAGTTCGAGGCCAGCCCGGCCAACATGGCGAAAACCCGTCTCTACTAAAAATACAAAAACGTTAGCCAGGCTTGGTGGTGCGCACCTGTAATCCCAGCTACTCGCGAGGCTGAGGCAGGAGAATTCCTTGAACCCAGGAGGTGCAGGTTGCAGTGAGCCGAGATAGCACCACTGTACTCCAGCCTGGGCAACAGAATGAGAATCCCTCTCAAAAAATAACAAAAATTACATTAGTTGAAATGTGAATATACTTAACACTACTAAACTATTCATTTAAAAAGTTATGATGGTAAATTTTATGTTAAGTGTACCTTACAATTTTTATAAATGTAGAATATGAATTTATAAATAAGAAATAGTCCATTATCTTCCAGAAAAAAGTTGTATTAGTTGAAACTGTATTATGATGCAGGGAAAGTACAGACATATAAAACTTAAAAGCTTTGCAAATACTGATTTTGGAATTTAATTTTCCAAACAAATCACTGTCAACTTAACCTAAGCACAAATACTAGCCGAATGATAGTGATCAAGTTGTTTAATCATGAAGATTTGAGTTTCTCATTTGTAAATGGAAATAACAATAGTACAGATTTCACAGTTATTAAAAGCATGTAATGTGCTTAGTCCATAGAAATCGCTTCATAGTAATAACTTCTTTTCCATCATAATTCTCACAGTAATAATAACATTATTATTATATTAACATTACTATTATTACTATGAGAATTATGATGGAAAAGATGTTAAAAGGACATATGGGTTTGAGGAGTTTCCATCCGATTTACTGCCTTCTAAATTCAACTGAGCATATGTAACTTAGACCAACAGTGCTATCATCTGCTAAACCCCTCACCTCGTGGTGTTACATTCAAATATTAAAATATGAAAACACAGGGTTGAATCTATGCCCTCCAGATATGCAGATCTATAACCTCTTGAATGCATAAAGAAAGGCTCAGAACAGCATGGCATCCTCAAACTTCATTCTCCCTGAGCAGACACTGTAAGATTGGAGCCATCTCTAGACTGGGAGATTGTCTGACAACACAGCCACGTCAAAGTCACAGGATGCCCTTCATTCTTTAGAAAAGATTCTGCAGTGTTTTGCTCTTTTTAATCCTTGAAAGGTCAACCAGTGTTGATATACAGCACACAATATGTAGAAATAAAACTTTGCTAACTTTGAAACTGTACAGGAAAAAGGCCAAGGAGTCCTGCTAGGAAATGCAAGGTAAAGCATACAGTTTATACTCTCGGGTGACAAAAAATAAATAAATAAATAAAAATTATGTCAGTGAAGAGCTTTGGCCAGGTGAGAGGAGTAAAGGCAAGGGATCATAAGGCTTCAAGAATAATCTGAAGAAAAGCTTTTAAAATTATATTAAGTATGTTTCTCTAGAATGACAAAATAACTAGAAATTTCTATCACCTTTCAGTTGAGCCATAATTATGAAGAATTAGTATTGTTTTTGGTCTACAGACTATACCTGACAAAACCACAGACTCAGGAGCTCAGCTCCATTTACTAACTGGGTGGTCATGAGTGAACTCCTTAACCTCAGCATCAGTTTTCCTTATCCATAAAACAAGGATGATTACAGGACCTACAGCCTGGAGGTTGTAGAAGATTTTATCAGTCAATATACCTAAAGTGTTTTAAACAATTCCTGACACAGAGTACAGTAGTCCCCCCTTATCTATAAGGAATACGTTCGAAGACCCCCAGCAGATACCTGAAACCACAGATAGTACCAAGTCCTATATATATTATGATTGTTCCCTTACATACTTACCTGTTGTATTAGTCCATTTTCACACTGCTCTAAAGAACTACCTGAGACTGGGTAATTTGTAAAAGAAAGGAGGTTTAATTAACTCACAGTTTCGCATGGCTGGGGGGCACCTCAGGAAACTCACAATCATGGTGTAACGCAAAGGGGAAGCAAGGCACATCTTACACAGCAGCAGGAGAGAGAGAGAATGAGGGGGGAGCTTCCACACACTTTTAAACCATCAGATCTTGTGAGAACTCACTCATTATCATAAGAACAGCATGGGGGAAACCATCCCCATGATCCAATTACCTCCCACCAGGTCCCTCCCCTGACACATGGGGATTATAATTTGAGATGAGATTTGGGTAGAGACACAGAGGCAAACCGTATCACCTATGATAACGGTTAATTTATAAATTAGGCACAGTAAGAGATTAATAACAATAATAAAAAAAGAACAAGTATAACAATACACGGTAATAAAATTTATGTGAATATGGTCTCTCTCAAAAATAGCTTAATATTTTCAGACTGCAGTTGACAGTGGGTAATTGATGCCATGGAAAGGGAAACCTCAAAAAAGAGGGAACTGTAAGCAGTACGTAATTGTTAGCTATTAAACCATGTGGCCATGTTTTCCAAATAAAAAATCAGAACACAAAGTTTTCAAAGGATTTTTCATTAAAATAAATAAAATTTGAAAGTTAAGGAAAATATTAAGCAATTTAGTTACAAAAGAAAATAAAAACATGAAATCAGGACTAACTTATTAATTCTGGGTTATTCACTGTGGCTGGAATGTCCAATCCCTTACTGTCCACACAGCAGACCTCAATTCCCCCTGGGGCCTCTCTGGATCCCAAGAAATAACACTCAGAGAGTCTTTTAGTCTTACTTTCACCATTGCTAAAATTATAACATATTGTACAGAGCTGTTGCCAAGTCTGTTCTCTTTATTCTGTTGTAATATATGCTTATTTGTCCGCTGTCTGTCTACTCCAAATTGAATTTAAACTCCATGAGGACAGACTTCATCTAATTTGTTCACTGCTAGCTCCCCAATGCCTAGAACAATACCTGGAAGAGGAGATGCTCAGCAAATATTTATTATATATAGGAGTATACCTTTTCATTTTTATAGTCTCCATACTGGCTCGTATCTTTTAAAGGTGAGAATGAATAACAAGCACAACAAATCTGTACCCAGATTCTATCTTTGAAAATCTTCATTATCATTATCATCATTTTTCAGTAAATATAATAGGAACACTGATTATTTTGAGTTAAGAAAAGCATAGGCATTTATATGCATTTTTTTTTTTTTTTTGAGACCTGATCTCACTCTGTCACCCAGGCTGAAGTGCAGTGGTGTGATCGCAGCTCACTGCAGCCTCTGAACTCCTGGACTCAAGCCTCCCGAGTAGCTGGGACTACAGGTGCACGCCACCATGCCTGACTAAGTTTTTTTGGTTTTGTAGAGACAGTTTCACTGTGTTGCCCAGGCTGGTCTTGAACTCTTGGCCTCAAGTAATCCTCCTGCCTCAGCCTCCCAGTGTTGGGATTACAGGCATGAGCCACCACACCCAGCCTATATTCATCTTTTTATTTAGTCCTTGTAATCTTATAAAGCAAATATTACTTCTATTTTAGATATTATCATTTTAGTAAACAGAGAATAAGAAAGACTAACAAGCTTGCCAAAGTCCCAAGAGTATATCCAGAATGCAAACCTGGACGTTTGGGAGCTTTCTGACTCGTAAGCTAGTCCTCTCAACCATACCATATGTTCAGTGCTGTACTGATAAATGTAATATCAGATTAAAATAAAATACAGAGGAAAGGGCTGAAAGGGAAACTTGAGCCCTAGAAATGGTGTGTAAAAATCAGCCAGTCAAGTCAATCTGCTTTCAAGCATCATTCACAGACTAGATGTTTGGTACCAGAAGGAGGCAGCACCACTTCCTGGCACTCACTGGGAAAGCCTGGCTTTTCTGGATCACTGCCTGCTCCAAATGACACTCACAAACAAGGTGGAGGAGCACAAATCATCACACCTTGAACAAACAGATTTCCAATACCTACTTGTTAATCTGATTCAATCACTCTGGCACACTCTAGGAAGGGCTATGACTTTATCTACTACCATGGTTCTTAATACTGACATCACACTCAACTGGGAACTCCAGAACACATCCATTGCTACAGGTAGAAGACTGGTGATGAAACACCTCTGGGGACCGAGTTTCTTCTTTCGATTAACTGTTCCTATTCCTTTTTTTTTTTAATAGCTGTTCTGTTTTTTAATTACATGAGGGACAGATGCATAGCCAGGCTGATACCCACTCACTTCCTGGATATCTTGAGCACTTTGCAGGAGAGATGTGATTACCAGTTATGGCAGTAAATCTGAGCACCTTTATGGCCACATTTTAGCTCTCCATGGCCATTCCAAAAACACTAATATTTATAGTTTGGCCACGTCTGAAACACTCACTAAAGGTAATACAGTAGATTCACCATCTTCAGGATCCTCTCCTCCTCAACAATGCCTTCAAGTATGAAGCAGAAACTGTCATGGATAAACACGTGTTAAAAGGAAAGCTACCCTATGAGAAAGCTGACAAGCATTTGCTGCTTGCCTGTTATTCTCTTTCGCCCCCACTAGACACAATGGGATTTTTTGCCACATTCGTATTCCAGAGCGATGAAATCCCTGCAAAGTTCAACATCAGGCCTGACTTAAGATCTTTGAGGCCTCCTGCTAACTTTATCCCCCTGCAGCTGCCTCACTAAGGCAAGCTTTTGATCTGTACTATCTGGATTTCAAGCTGATATACACACAGCCTCTTTGATCTCTTATTAAGTGGCTTCTGGTCTCCTGATGCCTTTAGTCTTGCTGCACTGAGGTTTTTGGAAGTCAGTCGTCATCCTGAGCACACTACAAACTGCACACACCAGGAGTGGGCTCCCTTCATTCACCCACTTTGCAGGCTTGAAAAGCAAAACTTAAGCCATGAGAGAATTTCCCCAGTAGCCACAATCAATCCACTCCATGAGCACACCACTAAGAATTATTTTTCAAATGAAGCAGCTTAAAATGATTTAAGGGATACAGAACTTTCCCATAGAGGGAAAGGAAGCAAATCCTCTGTGAAAAGAAATCTTCAGCCCAGTTGGCACTGGAACTTACAGTACTTTGATGTTAATAAAAATAAATGTGGATAGGAGTCAGGGATGGGCAAAAAGTAGCCTTTATCAGTTCCCCTAAGTTCCGTTAAGCAAAAAGTGACCTTTAAATGCAGCTGTGTGGTTTGTTCAACAGTAAGGCATATGATATATCTGCAAGACTACAGATACTGCCATTAGTAGCAGATTGACTGCATTTTGCTTAGTACCAATATCTTATATGGGTGACGTGGACCCAAAGAGCTCCCAAAAAAAAAAAAGGCAAGAGAAAAAAAAAACCTAGATGTCAGTGGCCATGTTATAAGATCCCTTGAGCATTAATGTGAAACTGTATAATAACTTATAGTACATGCCTATCCTTTATATTTTAGATTCTGGAAATAATATGGTTACATACCTGACTTTATAGTGTTACCACTCTATATACTATTAATGTGTTAAAATTATATCAATACCTATCAAATGCTAAATCCTACATTCTGTAAACTGATTAGCTAAGATGAACATGAAGACAGTAGGCTTGCACAGGCTATTGAAAACTATATACTGATATTAGCATTTACTCAAATTCTCAAATCTCTTGGTAAAAATTAAAGTCCTAATGCCCTCCCCCCAACCCCACCACTTTAAGCTAAATTCTCTAATAAACAAAAGTAAAACAAGATTAAAATTTGTGGAAGAAGAAATAAATAAATAAAATTAAGTGGAAGAAATAGAAATAGAGTTTGGGGCACTAATATCATAGTCTGAATATAAACACTTTATGCCCACTTAGCTACAAAGGCCAATAAATTAATTACCGCCATATATAAAGTTGAAACAAAATTGATAGTTATATATTGCTATCACTTAATCTGTCCACATCATAGAAAACCATTAGCAAATTCATGAATTACACACCTGCTTACACTATCTTCCATGAGAATTATCGGAATAAAGAAATAACTCTACATAAGAAAGGATCCATTTTAAGTGGTCTAAATATATTTGAGTCTCACAAACTTAAATGCAAGCTATTTGGTAAATATGTACCAAAATTTAAAAGATACAGTATGCTCTTCTGATGAGTAATTCCACTTCTAGGAATTTATCACCTACCTATTACAAGATTTATTCCCACCTTTTAACAAAAGAGTATCACAAAAATATCCACTAAAGCCTTACTTAAAATGCCCACCAACTGGGTACAGGAGGCTGATGAAATAAATTATTGTACATCAACAATAAAAATACTATGTAGTCATTAAAAAGAGGTAGCTCTATAAGTACCAAAATGAAAGAGCATATAATTTTAAGAAAAAAAATACAGAGCCTTTAAAGTGTGTATGATATAATCCATTTATATGTCAAAGTTTTTTTAAAATTAAATAAGTACTATTACTTATATAACCATGTATATATAAAATGTTTCTGGAAGGATGGACAAGAAAAACCAAGGTTTTTTACCTGGAAGAAGTAAGGGATTATGGTCAGAGGTAGATTTACTTGTCACAGGATATCTTTATACACCTTTGAATTTTTCTGCCATATGTATGTATTACCTATTTTTAAAACATTTTCAATGTGCTCAGAAAGTCATTCTGTTGTGCATAGGGTAAGGAAAAAGACAACTTAAAGACATACATGAAATGTATACAATCCCGTCCTACAACTTTTATAAATCTTTTAAAAAGAGAATTCTAACAGAGTTAATAGGCAGTCAAAACTACACACTAGATTTTTTGCACAAATACTAAGGCATACTATATTCAAGACTCAGTAACACTGCAATATTTTATATTTTGGTTTTATAACCCATTTCCTCTTTTAAGAAAAATTAATAACTGTCAATTTTTATAGGGAGAAATATTTCCACTATTCTTTTTAATGAGTCGCCATTTGACTTTGGTTTCGAGCAAATTTTTAAAGCATTACTAACAGTATTTACATATGAATCACCTCCCAATGGCTATGTTATTATGATTTCTATTTTTATCTCTCTCAGACTTTGAGAGAGATAAAAATAGTGTTTCAAAAATATCAGCTTTGGCAAAAATTGAGTCACTCAAGAGGGGAGAGGAATGAGGAATAGGATGTAGGAGGGAGGAGAATTATTGGTTAATAAATTTTATCTTCTAAATCACTGAAATTCAAAAAGTACCAAGGATGGCAATATCATGGCTAATGTTCAAAAATTAGCTAATGTCAAACATTTCCAGTGAATTATAATCATGAGGGGTTATTCAAAGTTCAACATAAATCAAAACACCAGAAAATATCTACTTGCCATGTTTAATTTATAAGGTCAACTGAAGGTAAAATCCATACAGTTCTAATTTTTTTTCAAGCTTTTTGGTAGAAATTAAAAATTACAGACTCTTGGACTACCTAATCATTGTTTCATTATTGAACATTAACCCACAACAAATTACTTGCACTAGTTTAGGATTCTTAAATTTGCAATGATGGTCTTCTGAAGCAATAAAACTAGCTCTTACACAATGCATATGAGCACACTATATTAATTTTTAATACCTGCTAAACTTTCATATAAGCATGAAAAATGAGAATACTATCTAGTAGCTTAGTTTTTAAGATATGAAATTTTTCACAAGCTGAAAAAACAGAAAGGTCTTCTGTAATAAGTTTACTGTATGGATGCCCTATAATAAAATGCACATGGAAATAGCACTCACAAAGGAAAGAGCAGTATAGTATGATGGTTAAAGGCATAGACCTGGTGGAGGAGTCGGCGGCAGAAGAAAAAGAAAGAAAAAAAAAGACCTGGGGCCCAACTGCTTCAGTTCTACCATATACTACCTGTATGAATTGGACTAATTACTTAAGTTTTCTGTGCCTCAGTTTCTTCACTTCTAAAATGACAACAATAAGAGTATCTCTTTCATATGGTTCATGTGAGGAATACATAGCCTAATACATGTAAAGCAATTAGAACATTACCTGGCACTCAGTAAACATTCAGTAAATGTTACCTAACATTGTTATTAATACTAGTGGGAGTATCAGTAATCTTCCACGGAGACCATAGTCTAAGGAATAAAGACATTACACATAAATACTAGGGAAAGAAGACAGAGATAACTAAGGTATAATATAAAAACCTCACCTACAAACTGGCAAGAAATTACAGTATAAAAACTTATAACCAAGTTTCTGAAGAGTTTTGTTGCTTAGAAACAGAGTACTCAGTCGGCCGGGCGCAGTGGCTCACGCCTGTAATCCCAGCACTTTGGGAGGCCAAGGCAGGTGGATCACGAGGTCAGGAGATCGAGACCATCCTGGCTAACACGGTGAAACCCCGTCTCTACTAAAAATACAAAAAAAAAAAAAAAAAAAAAATTAGCCAGGCGTGGTAGCAGGTGCCTGTAGTCCCAGCTACTCAGGAGGCTGAGGCAGGAGAATGGCGTGAACCCGGGAGGTGGAGCTTGCAGTGAGCTGAGATCGCGCCACTGCACTCCAGCCTGGGCGACTGAGCAAGACTCCATCTCAAAAAAAAAAAAGAAACAGAGTACTCAGTCAAGCCATCATATTCATGCTCTTGACAAATTACACGCATTGTTTGCCATGACACAATCCTATAAGGCATGACAATGGAGATCAGTGAATCTCCTAATACGGCACACATACAGAGTGGGATTTTAACTAGCCACTACATGAAGTGGCTAGGCGTATTTGAGACTAACAAATATTCTACCTCTGTTCAAATAATAGCCAACAAAGCTACTACCACTGTACCCTAAGAGCTAATAAAGAAACTTATAACCTAATCACATTTATTGTCTTCCCTGTTGCTTTCTCTTTTGTCTTTGACCCAATCTAATTTAAAATGTCTTTAATGAAATGAATTTTCACACTTTGTACTTTGGCCATATGACTCAGTTGTAGAACTGTGTATCAGACTCAGCTGATCATTTCACGTATAAAGGCATACCTCTTTTCTCTGCTCAGTTACACAACTTTCATCAATATTCTGAGTCACTGACCGGTCCAGAGAGCTACCCTATTGTTCTATAGACTAATTCAAGCTCCTTTATCTGCTCACTCATCTTTCCCTTTTTTTTTTTTTTTTTTAAGACAGAGTCTCACTCTGTCTCCCAGGCTGGAGTGCAGTGGCGCAATCTCAGCTCACCGTAACCTCCGCCTCCCAGGCTCAAAGGATTCTACTGCCTCAGCCTCCTGAGTAGCTAGGATTACAGGCATGCACCACCACGCCTGGCTAATTTTTGTATTTTTTAGTACAGACAGGGTGTCACCATGTTGGCCAGGCTGGTCTCAAACTTCTGGCCTCAAGCAATCTGCCCACTTTGGCTTCCCAAAGTGCTGGGATTACAGGTGTGAGCCACTGCGCCTGGTCTCTTTTCCTAAAGTTCAGTTCAATTTATATAAAACGCAAACTTCTGGCCAATAATCCACAATTGGGTAATTCACATATGGCTCATCAAGAATTGGCTGCATTTTAGAATACAATTTTAAGATTAAATTTAGACTTCACTAAACAAAGGCATCTACTTATTAATTTTTGTAATCTAACTAGAGAGTTAAAGAATTGATAGAGTACAAACATTATAGTGTGGTGCCATCTTTGAGGACAGTATCAAAAACTTTTGTGTTTATTTTCTAAACTGAATAATTGTTAATATATTTCCATAATAACATAACATTTCCTATTTCCTTACACACTAATTCATTTAAACCACACAATCCTTTGTGCTAGACATTACTATCTCCATTTTATAAATTTGGAGGTACATAAACACCAATGAAATAGATTAATGTAATTTTGTTAGGCTCTTCAAAAAGTTCTTGTTCTAGAGAAAAGGCTGTTCATGAGAAAAGTGGTTAAACTGAAATGAGATATTCCAAAGTAAATTTTCAATCTCTACAATAATGCTAAGTAAGCCCTTTACAACGTAAAAGTTCTCTCCCTCTACCAATACTTTCTCTCTGTAGCTAAATGTTTCTGCAGTACTTTTTGTTCTGAACATGCTAGGCCTGGCAGGGCAAGAATTTGCCTTGGCCCTACTCAGCTACCTAATAAATTCATACAGGACATGCTGAATGCAATAATAGCCAGGGACGTGGCCTTTCATGGCTTTTGCTAAACCCTTTGCCTGGCCTTGCAAAAAATATTCTTGAACTTTAGAATTTATTACCTAATTACAACAAGGGATGGTATAACCGATTAATTAACTTGCCCAAAACCAAATTTGAGTTGTGTTTACCTGTCATCTAAATGTCATGGTAGATAACAGTTCTAGGTACCACTGACAAATGGTGAAAAATGTGCTGTACACATCTGTAAGTACACTTAAGACTGACTTAAGAAAAGCATCCAAGTTAGGATTGAATGTGTTCCCCTCCCCATTCCCCAAGGTTTAGCTGTAGAAGTAAATAAGATGAGCCCTTTAATCTGAATCAAAATGGCCTTTAGGAAATTAAGTAGTTATGTTCTATAAGAAGCACAAAGACAAAAAGAATATCTAATCCTTTGTTGGCAGAAAATTATTTTACATAATTTGTACAGAAACAAATGTCAGTATGTGTGCTGCTGATTGAGAGGTAAATAAGAGGAAAAGGAAAATCCTATAATTCTATAAATTAAAAATAAAATTTCAAGAAACAATAGAAGTTACAATACATACCTACAGGAATGCAATGAAGAACAAAAAATTCTACATTTAGAACTGACTATAGATGTTTTTAAGCGTAAAGCTCAGAAGGGGGTTTTCCTTTTAACTAGGGATTAAATTCTTAAGGACTATCTAGTTTTTCTTTCCATCCTTTACTGAATTTTTTTGAGTTCTGAAACATTTCTCTGACTTAATATGTGCACTATTCAAAATATAAAACTTACAGATAATGTCAGTTAAGAGCATCAGAGCAACCATTATGATATAAATATGTATTATAAGAATGCAAATATATATAGATTCCTACAATAATAGAAATGCAAATGTACCTGAATATCTAAGACCACATCTGAAAGGTATCTTCTAAATTAAATCCCAATTATCAAAATCGATTATTAACAAATTCCCATTAAATCTGTTCATTCAATTCCAGTTAATTTTGGCTAACCTAGGCTGGGCATGGTGGCTCATGCCTCAAATTCCCATTAAATTTGTTCATTCAATTCCAGTTAATTTTGGCTAACCTAGGCTGGGCGTGGTAGCTCATGCCTGCAATCCCAGCACATTAGGAGGCTGAGGCAGGGGAATCACTTGAGGTCAGGGGTTCGAGACTAGCCTGGCCAAAATGGTGAAACCCCATCTCTACGAAAAATAGAAAAGTTAGGAGGGCATGGTGGTGCGTGCCTGTAGTCCCAGCTACTCAAGAGGCTGAGGCACAAGAATCACTTGAACCCAGGAGGCAGAGATTGCAGTGAGCCAAGATCGCACCACTGCACTCCAGCCTGGGCGACAGAGTGAGACTCTGTCTCAAAACAGAAAACAAACAAACAAACAAACAAAAAGGTCAGGCCTATTTTTGGCTAACCTAAACTTTATTAAATCATTCTGCAAATATTTATTAACCACCTAGTGGTTCTAGATAATATAGCTACAATGGGGAAGGAAAAAAAAGAGTCCCTGCCATTTGTTTTATATACTCTAATATTAACCAATATATAAACTTGCAAATGCTTAACTGTGTTCAGATTTCTTGATAAATATATTTTCCAAAATATTTGGAATCAAGAACTTATCATTCAGTAATATTCCAAAGAGAAATTCTAAAAAGGAAGAGGGCTATCTGGCACAGAACTATGCCAGCAAAAATGAAATAGATTTCTTTTTCAGTAAATTTAAATCACACTGCCAAAATACAGAATTTAGACTGAGCACAGTGGCTCATGCCTGTAATCCCAGCACTTTGGAAGGCCAAGGCAGGCTGATCACTTGAGGTCAGGAGTTCGAGACCAGCCTGGCCAACATGGTGAAAACCCATCTCTACTAAAAATACAAAATGTAGCCAGGTGTAGTGGTAGGCGCCTGTAGTCTCAGCTACTCAAGACACTAAGGCAGTAGAATCACTTGAACCAGGGAGATAGAGGTTGCATGCTACTGCACTCCAGCCTGGGAGACAGAACGAGACTCTGTCTCAAAAAAAATAAATAAAATAGAACGTAATATTCTTATACAATGCTCAAACTATTTTAATTTATTCCTGATTGCCTTATTATATTAAAAAAGAATTGATTTTTAAATATCACTTGGCATTTTATGGGCTTTAACAGAGTACATTTTGCTTTACTAAACCACAATGTGTTAAGGCAGCACCAAAGTAGTAAAATATGCATCTTAAAAGTTAAGAGATTTCTTGGCAACAATTTTAATTCCCCCAAATAATCAGCAGTCTGAATATATGACAGTAACTGGTAGAACCGTACAACATAGATGTCTTGTTGTGACCTTTTACATCTCCCTCCCCCAAATGTATTGGTAACTTTACCCTAGTTATAATTGGAGTAGCTATAAATAAATACATAGATATTATGTATTAACATAAATGCAATATATAACTTGACCAAGAACACTTCTATTTATTTAAGCACATTGAAATTAATAGGTAAGCTAAACTATAAACCTTCATGTGAAGGGGAGGGAGAGGAGAGTATGAATTGGGAACGAATGCTAATGTGTATGGGATTTCTTTTTTGGGTGTTGAAGATGTTCTAAAATTAGAGTGTGGTGATGGTTGCACAACTCTGTGAATATACTAAAAACGACTGAACTGTATGCTTAAAATGGGTGAATTTTATGGTATGTGAAAGATATCTGAATAAAGCTGAGGAACAAAAGTCCTCCATATAAACAAGTTCATCAAGATCCTGCTCTAAAAGCACCCATGGATATATAACTATTGCTTCCCTTATTGTCCAGTTCCTATATAATCCATCATTTTATTCACTAAGGGAGCTACTAATTTTAAAGGTAACAATTGAAAGTAGTATAATATCCCATCTTTGGGATTCAGTTTTGCTTAAGTCAATAGGGGTCTTAAACAATTGCTACTTCCCATAACTTTAATACAAACCAATCACTCCAAAGAAAACACCTCTACACAGGTTCTTATACCTGGTAATCCAAAATGCTGAATCCCAAACCTTTACAATCTTTTACTAGTTCAACAATCTTGACTTCAGGGGACCACAGTGCTAATTCCCCATCATCATCTTCTTCAGTATTGACATCCATATTGTGGTCAACCTGAAATACCAAAGAAGATAAATGCTTCAAAACACTATGCTTTCAATTCTGAAAAGAATGCACACATCAAGAATCTCACAGCTTCTTCTCAAACTGAGAATTCTCTTTGGCATGCGTAGTTTTTCTTTTTAATCTTTGTAAAAGGGGCATGCTCTGGGGCACACACACTCCAGGATAAGATCTTATAAAAATTCAAGTGCTTAAAAATTCAGACTGTTCATACAGTTTTTTTTATTAATGTGAAGAATTTATTTCATTCAAAGTATTAACACTGACCTCTTATACTTCAATGAGTTCTGTCATCCCATTAGAAGCATAAAAGGAAAAATATGCAATTTAAGTAAATGAAAACATCATACAAAGTAGAAGCTTATAAGATACGTAAGTAGCAATACCTGGCTTCATAATTACAGAGAGAGACAAAGAAAGAAATATCAACACAGAGATAGGCTGGAGCAGAACAGGGAAACCACTTCTGCTGGCTCCAGGAAGTTTTCAAGAAAAGCTTTACTAGAAAATAAGGTGAGAAAAAAAAAATCCAAGTCTTTGGACATCATTTAAGTCTAAAATGAATAAAAATCACTGAGTTGAAATAATGAAAATCTGATCTTAGAAGAAATAGGTTAGCACAACTGCCCAGTATACAGGTCCTTTGTTACTTTTCTTGATTTTACTCCTGAAAGTCCCTCTATTCTAGACTCCCTGTCTTTTTAGGAAGAAGAGTCATTGCTATGTGGAATTCCAGGAAGTTAAATGAGAGGGTCAATGAATCTACTATGCAGAAGAATGGCTGCTTCAAAAAACCTTCTGTTTTTATACTAATTATAGCATTGTACTATTGTTTTCATCTGATTGACATTCCCCCAAAATACTCTAAACTTCTATCTGAAGCTCAAAAATTATCTTTTACAGCCCAAGCAATGAACAAAATACCTGGCTCCTAAGCTAGAATGGAAACTCTGTGAGGGCTACCACAGAGTTTACCATGGTTATCAGCTCAACTATATAATGCCTGGCTCATAGTAGGCACACAATAAATAGTTGTTCAATACATTAAAAATTACCTATCTTTGAGTGTGTTTCTCTTGAAACTCCTTCTCAATAAAGGTACCAAGTAAATAATTTTTAAAAGTAGACTTTCTAAATCTTTGGGTAACCTCAGTAAATAAAAATGCATCATCTCTACACACATAATTTTGAAACACCAGTATAAGAGAAGCAATTTAATGTAAACAAAAAAGGGAAGGGAAAAACCCTCTATAATTAGGAAAATAGCTAGTTTAAAAAATTTATTTTATTTATTTATGTATTTATTCTCTCCAACATTTATTTTAGGTTCAGGGGGTATGTGTGCAGGTTTGTTATATGGGTAAATTGTGTGTCACAGGAGTCTAATGTACAGATTTTGTCACCCACATAATAAGCATAGTGCCTGACAGGTAGTTTTCTCATCCCCACCCTCCTTCTACCCTCTACCCCCAAGTAGGCCCCAGCGTATATTGTTCTCTTCTTTGTGTCCATGTGTACTCAATGTTTAGCTCCCACTTATGAGTGAGAACATGTGGTATTTGGTTTTCTGTTTCTGTGTTAATTTGCTTAGGATAATGGCCTCTGGCTCCATTCAGGTTGCTGCAAAGGACATGATTTCATTCTTTTTTATGGCTGGATAGTATTCCATGGTGTCTATGTACCACATTTTCTTTACCTAGTCCACTGTTGATGGGCATTAGGTTTGTTCCATGTCTTTGCTATTGGGAATAGTACTGTGATGAACATACACATGCATCTTTATGGCAAAACAATTTATATTCCTCTGGGTATATACGCAGTAATGGGACTGCTGGGTTGAATGGTAGTTCTGTTTTAAGTTCTCTGAGAAATCTCCAAAATGCTTTCCACAGTGGCTGAACTAATTTACACTCCCACCAGCAGTGCTAATTGTTTCCTTTTCTCCACAACCTCCCCAGCATCTGTTATTTTTTAACTTTTTAATAATGGCCATTGTGACTGGTATGAGATGGTATCTCATTGTAGTTTTGATTTGCATTTCTCTAATGATCAGTGCTATTAAGCATTTTTTCATATGGTGGTTGGCCACGTATATGTCTTCTTTTGAGAAGTGTGCGACGTGTCCTTTGCCCATTTTTTAATGGTGGCTGTTTGTTTTTGCTTGCTGTTTTAAGTTCTTTATAGATTCTTGGATATTAGATCTTTGTCAGATGCATAGTTTGCAAATATTTTCTCTCAGTCTGTAGGTTGCCTGTTTACTCTGTTGATAGTTTCTTTTGCTGTGCAAAAGTTCTTTGGTTTAATTAAGTCCCACTTGTCAATTTTTGTTTTTGTTGCAATTGCTCTTGAAATCTTCATCATGAAATCTTTGCCAAGGCCAATATCCACAATGGTAGTTCCTAGGTTTTCTTCCAGGGTTTTTATAGTTTTAGGTTTTACTTTTTTTTTTTTTTTTTTGAGACAGAGTCTCGCTCTGTCACTCAGGCTGGAGTGCAGTGGCGCCATCTCAGCTCACTGCAACCTCCACCTCTCGGGTTCATGCCATTCTCCTGCCTCAGCCCCCCCAAGTAGCTGGGACTACAGGTACCCGCCACCACACCCAGCTAATTTTTTGTATTTTTAGTAGAGATGGGGTTTCACTGTGTTAGTCAGGAAGGTCTCAATCTCCTGACCTCGTGATCTGTCCCCTTGGCCTCCCAAACTGTTGGGATTACAGGCGTGAGTCACCATGCCCGGCCTACATTTAAGTCTTTAATCCATGTTGAGCTGATTTTTGTATATGGTGAAAGGAAGGGGTCCAGTTTCAATCTTCGGCATATGGGTAGCCAGTTTTCCCAGCAACATTTTCCAAATAAGAAGTCCATTCCCCATTGCTTGTTATTGTTGACTTTGTTAAACAACAGATGCTTGTAGATGTGCACCTTTATTTCTAGGTTCTTTAACCTGTTCCATTGGTCTATGTGTCTATTTTTGTACCAATACTATGCTGTTTTGATTACTATAGCCTTGTACTACATAGTTTGAAGTTGGGTAGTGTGATACCTCTGGCTTTGTTCTTTTTGGTTAGGACTGCTTTGGCTATTTGGGCTCTTTTTTGGTTCCAAAAAATTTTTCTAAAAATTTCCTTAAAATTTAGAAAAATTTTAGAATAGTTTTTTTCTAATTCGGTGAAAAATGTCACAGAAATAGCACTGAATCTATAAATTGCTTTGGGCAGTATGGCCACTTTAACACTATTGATTCTTCCTATCCATGAGCATGGAATGTTTTTCTATTTGTGTCATCTCTGATTTCTATCAGCAGTATTTTATAATTCTCATTGTAGACATCTTTCACTTCCCTAGTTAGCTGTATTCCAGTTATTTTGTTCTTTTTGTGGCTATGTGAATGGGATTGAGTTCCTAATTTGGTTCTCAGCTTGGATGTTACTGGTGTAAAGAAATGTTACTGATTTTTGTACAGTGATACCGTATCCTGAAACTTTCTGAAGTTGTTTATCAGATCTAGGAGGCTTTGGGCAAGAGACTATGGGGTAGAAAAACATTTTTTAAATTAGGATTGGTCCAGATCTTAAACTGTCACTGCAAGACACGGGTGGTCAATAACCGATCCACAGTGGATTGAACCTAACATGGGAACAATATGAAGCTGAAAACTTGAAATGAGTGGAAACATTATGGATCAATAACCTCTGCATATTTCAGTCTGATGTGTGGAAGTGATATACTTAAAAAGAAAACACTTATATCTTCCAACAAAAAGTAAAGTTCCAATGGCTAATACAACATGATTGATGTTTTACTGGGGCATTTAATATCCTCACTGATTAATGAGTATTAGAATTTTGGCTAAGCTGCCTAACCAGATAGGGTTTAAGAATATAAGATGGTATTAGGAGAAATGAAAAAAGAGACAGATGGAAAAAGAGCCAAGACTTTAAGAAACCACACACAATTACAAAACCTGTGTTTATAGAAATTTCAAGGCATTCAAGGTACATAAGATATTATACTGCAACCTGAAATATATCACTTTGATACAATCAATTCTGCATAACTCCTGTATTTACAGAATGGAAAGCAATCAACTAATGGGCAGGAAGGTTGACATTTAGCATGATTCAAAGCTGTTGTTCACCATTGTGGTAAAGCATGACAGACGGGGGCAGAGAGTCAGCAAGTGGGGTTTGTGATTTACACACCTTGCAAGATTAGATTAAAGGCATTGTTATCAGCCTTTAGAGGGAAGCCACCACCCATATTTCATTTTGGTAAGGACAGCAAAAGTCACAAAAGTGTGGCATTTGAGTACCCTCCTTGAAATAGTTTTTACACAAGTTAAACATTTTTTTAAAAAAGAGTCAACCAATAATCAAAAATTTACCAAGCCCCTCTTATATGCCTAATATAGACTAAAAACACTATGAAATAGAAAATAATTTTAAGATATGGCCTTTGCCCACAAGGAGCTGACAGTCTTCTTGGATAAACAAGATTAATACATACTAAAGTATCTATAAGACAGTGTTAGACTCTCATGTACTTCAGGACATAAGAAAACAAAAACGGATGGACTGGCAGAGACTCAAACAGCCATAGCCGACTGTTACTGAGCACTTCCCACGTACAAGGCATTGTGTTAAGAAGTTGCTCACATTACCACATTTCCTTCTTGCACAAACTCATGAGATGGGTAAGTATGATAAGTATCACCATTTTTCAAAGGAAAAATATGAACAGAAAGTCATTTGCCCAAGATTCACAATTATGAGGTAGTAGGGGCAGGATTAGTTTCATGTATACTGAAATCCAGAACTTAAGTAAAAGGCCCCATGAATCTGAACTGGTGTTAGTGGAATTACAACCTAAAAGAGATTGAAAAGGGGGGAAAGTAGCATAAAAGATGAGGTTACAAATAGCATAAGATGGCAAAGTATGTGCTCAAAACTCTTCCAGCTGGGTACAGTCGCTCACACCTATAAACCCAGCATTTTGGGGGGTTGAGGTGGGAGGATTGCTTGAGTCCAGGAGTTTGAGACCACCCTGGGAAATACGGCAAGACCCTGACTGTACGAAAAAAATTTTTTAGTTAGCTGGGTGTGGTGGCATGTGCCTGTGGTCCCAGCTACTTGGGAGGCTGAGGCGGGAGGATTGCTTGAGCCCAGAAGGTCGAGGCTACAGTGAGCCATGTTCAAAACACTGTGCTCCAGCCTGGGGAGATCCTGTTTCAAAAAAAAAAAAAAACTCTTTTCATAGTAACAGTGCTCTTTAAAAAAATAAATAAATAAGGAGTACCAAGAGCATATAAAGTGTTATTTCATTCTCTGATCTTCTGAAGGGTTTTATGGCAATTTCCAGACTCACTTTGAAATTTATCATAGAGTTTCTTTTTTTTTTTTTTTGAGATGGAGTTTCGCTCTTGTTGCCCAAGCTGGAGTGCAATGGCGTGATCTCAGCTCACCGTAACCTCCGCCTCCCGGCTTCAAGTGATTTTCCTGCCTCAGCCTCCCAAGTTGCTGGGATTACAGGCATGCGCCACCATGCCTGGCTAATTTTTTCTACTTTGAGACAGGGTTTCTCCATGATGGTCAGGCTGGTCTCCAACTCCCGACCTTAGGTGTTCCACCCACCTCGGCCTCCCAAAGTGCTGGGATTACAGGTGTGAGCCACCGCGCCCGGCTGAGTTTCATAATTTTAAGGCTCTTAAAAAGGGGAGTACATTAGATATGCAACACTCGCAAACACCTTAAACTTATATAAGACAAACTGCGTTGAACTAGAAGCCAAAAGTAATGAATCCAGGCAATTACTAAAAACAAAGATTCTCTAAAATCAAAATCCATGTGCATCAATGTTGCCAACATGTCAAGGAAAGGGAAGGAAAGAATTTTTTGATGTTAAATGAAGAGTAACAATTTGAAAAGCTATGCATTGTTGCCTTAGTCAAGCAAAAAAAGAGCAGAGTGGAATGGTTTCCCCTCCCTTCTTATTGCAGCACAGTCTTCGGGGCATCTTTGATGAATGGGCATGCCTATGGGAAATGCACTATATTCATTTAGTACCTCTGTCTCAGGAAGAGAGGTTTCAGTGCGCCTTGGTTCATCTACAGAAGCTTCATCATCAAACAACCTCCGACAGCAAACCAAAGTAAAAGGGGGTGGCACTTCTTTAAGAAAGGAGACTGCTTCTCGGCGAGATTTTCCATAAAGCTGCATGCCATTGACCTAGGAAGACAAGGGGATAAGTCAGAACTGAGCCAGCCCCAAATGAAAAAACAAAAATCTCTTATTTATATCCATCTACCAAAATGAAAATAGGACATCATTTTATTTTCCCTGTAAACAAGGGGCCTCGCTTTCATCATATTATTTATGATTAAATAATATGCAAATAAAAATGTTAGAAATCCTTAAAATTTTTAAAATCTAAGGCTAAATCTTTGCATGTATTGATGGATAAAGTACAAAATGCATGCAGCATACGCCCTTACTGGGTAAGGGATCTACCAAATTTTTTGCAGCACTGTGGTTTCTCCTTTCAATACTCCAATGTCATACTCTCTTACCTACCTCTACTCAGCTCCCCTTAAACACACTAAGTATCATTTACAGCCCTTTAAGACTGTTTCCCTTTGCATTTTCATTTTATAAGAATATCACTACAGAAATTTAAGGATGTTAAAAAAATGTTTAATTTACTGCTTAAAGTATAGCTAATAAGTCTAGAATACTTGGCTGTCAAAATTTAACGTCAGTCCACAATATTCTTTCACATCCCACACACTCTTAATACCATCCTAGAAAAATAACTTCTATTGAAAAGAAATATACTTTTGCATCAGTTACATGCTCTGCTGATACAGCAATCAAGCATATATAGAAAATACTAAAATAATTTTTAAAATAATTTTATGCAAGTGTCTCATATGTTTAAAAGAAAAAAGTATTCTTTATTAATGATTAATCCTTGTCACCAAAAAATTATCTAAATTTCATATTACTTTTGGCACATAATAATAATACTTGGCTCCAAAGATGATTTGGCTACATAATTCTAATTTTTCATATATATAACTTGAGCTCAAAGGGTCCTGTCAGTTCTAACTATAGGTCTCTAAGAGCTGATCTGTCTGCTACTCCCAAAAAGCTGAGGCATGAACAGAATCCAGGCAACAAATAATCTTTTCGCATCTGACTCCTACCCTCCTGGGAGGGTTTAGAAGCAAGCATTATTTGTTTTAAAGATATTTCTAGTCTGGCATTAATTTCTAATAGGTGCCGTGCTAATGTTCAGATAACTGGCCAGCCTGACTTTACTCGGAGAAGCCCTTCTACAAATCTTTCACTGCACCAGAGAGGAAGAGGACACTGGGTTGCTGGAAACCTTCAGCAGCGGGCTGAGTCTCAGGTCCACTATTCCTGGGAACCACTCTCAAGCCTGTAACATATCAAGCACTTTGCCATCAAGTCAGACATATCTCCCTGCCTCTTAATTATTTACAAAGAAACCACCACATGGTAAAGAGACCCACGTGCACTTTAGGAAGCTAGCTCTACTGGTAAGTCTTCATGACAAATGAAGAGGTCTAGGCGACAGCAAGCTCAGCAGTTGATGAAAGGTTTTTCCTTGGGATAACTGCAAGTCAACCTTTACACAAGAAGAGGCAGGGAGGTACCCATCACTGGTCACACCGTATCCATGATTTCAACTGGTGTCACAGGTGCACAAAGTTCTAAAATCAACTAAATGGGTAGTAACTTACACTAAAAAAAGGCACGGAGATAGAATCAGAGCAGGAATTCTTCCCATACATGAGTATGAGTTTGTGTTTCACTTCAACAAATTAGAAAGTCACTTTTCAGGTTTTTATCTTGGAGTGCCTTTAAATATTTATTTATCTCATTATTTATTCATTTGAATTGTCTCCAATTATTATACCAGTGCCTGGTAGTCCTCCTCACTGCTCTGTTGCTAAAGGGATTGGTCTCATTTCCCATTACCAACTCCTATCTAAGGGGATTTATAGCTGCTGTAAATAGCTGTTCTGGGCTGAGACTTGGCACAGTGTTCTAACCCCAAAGCATATTTGTGTTTCTGGTTTTAAGTTCCAAGGAGTACATTAAACACACACACACACACACACGACACTTTGAGTTCAGGAGTTTATTTGGCTAACTGTACTGAGACTTTTAAATTTTGTATTTTTGGTTATTCAGAAGCAGCTAATTTTTATTTTAGAATTCACAATACTTCTCAAGGTCCTTCAACTTGTGACCCTCCTAAGTGCTGTCAAATCTCAATTATCCCAAGTTTTTGACTGGAAAATGCACACACACATACACACTTCCAGAGTACAGAACATTGCACAAGTGTGGCCCCACTATTTTACCACATCCAACCATTATCCCAGCCCATATAGCCTGTTAAAATGCCTTCTTCACAGTGATAATATTGCCAATACCCCAAAATGAGATAATGCTTTATAATTTACATGGATGGTATTTCATTAGATCCTTACAAGCACATAGTGAAGTGGGCATTTATTGATGAAGGAACTGATTCTCAACAAAGTCAAGTGACATGCCAAGGGACACATGCTAACCTGTGGCAATTCAGACCAAAAGTGGCTTTTCTGACTCCAAATCTGTGCTTCCTTCCTTATCCCAAGCTCTTTCACCAGATTATCTATATTTAAGAATTCAAAAAATCTTCACACTACCTTATTATAGCACATTCTTTTACAAGGTGGTAGGCCCATGGGATCCTAGTCTTGGCTAAATCATACAGAATTCAGCTGATGGCTGGGATCACCTATACTTTCTATACTGTGATCCAGCCAACATTTCTTTAGTGCCTACCACATACTAGTAGTGATTTATACTTAATACCACCAAATTTCACACTTAAAAATGGTTAAAATGGGCCAGGCATGGTGGCTAATGACTGTAATTCCAGTACTTTGGGAGGCCGAGGTAGAAGAATTGCTTGAGGCCAGGAGTTCAAGACCAGCATGGGCAAAATAGCAAGACCCTGTCTCTGCAAAACAACTAAAACTAGCAGGGCATGGTGGCGCACAGCTATGGTCCTAGCTACTCGGGAGGTTGAGGTGGGAAGATTGCTTGAGCCCAGGAGTTTGACGCTGCAGTAAGCTATGACCACACCACTGCACTCCAGCCCAGGCAACAGGGTGAGACTCTGACTCTAAAAAAAAAAAAAGGAAAAAAGGTTAAAACGGTAAATTTCATGTTATATATATTTTGCCACCAAAAAAAAAAAAAGTGGACCGGGTGCAGTGGCTCACACATGTAATCCCAGCACTTTGGGAGACTGAGGTGGGTGGATTGTTTGAGTTCAGGGGTTTGAGACCAGCTTGGGCAACATAGCAAGACCCCGTCTCGAAAAAAAAAAAAAAGTGAATTAAATTGGTTATACTCATACCTCCATTTCTCCCAAACAAATATATCTCATTTCTCAATACGTAATAACTACATACTACAGCAATAGTTTCCAATCTACAAATGATCATGTATGATATCCACAAAGATATGGCCGTGCCCAGCCAATAAGAAGCTGGGTCAAAAAGAAAGCATAATTATTCTAATAAAATGTAGGGCATTAATCTGCAATAAGAAACCTAATACCATTCCCTTGAACACCTCTAAAAATAAGCAACTTACTACATCTTAAAACAGGACTCCAATACCCTACCCTCCCATGCTTATGACAGAATTTGATAACTAGTCATAGCACTTTTCCCTCTGAAATTGAAATTCAACCAGAATCCTTCCCATTATACTCCTTTAGGTGGCTGGACACTACTAATAAATTACAATTACACACAACATGAGACCTACTTGGTATCCCTGTCATTTCACTATGAGCAAACATAAATTTTAGAAAAAAAAAATCTCTAAAATCAAGGCCCATGGGATTCTGATCTTGGCTAAAGCTACTAGGTTGATTCTATTGAATCCAACCTAGGGCTTCTTGTGTATCCTAACACTTGGGAGAACCCTCTTCTATGCAGTCTTTTTGTGTGACCATTCCCCAAGACCTTTCCTCTCAAGAAAGTCCTTTCAAAGCAGAGGTGCTCTAGAACTGCTTTGATTAAAGAGAGGCTGGAGAGCCTGGGCAAGCCCAATAGAGGCTGCCATTTTGAGGGAGAAGTCCCAAGGAGAAAACGTGAAAACCAGTATGCCTGAGGTCATTCAGCTGTAGTCCTTGTTAGAAATAATCAATAAAACCTGCAAATAAATGTGGTTATATGTTGCAACAAGGCTCAGGGATTCAAATTTTGCTAAAAAAGAATACTAATATGCTATCAAACTTCTTTCCTAGTCATTCATTTAAATAAAGAACATCTCAGGAGCCTCAAAGATGGGGAAAATAAACTGAAAGCATAGCTACTTCCTTTATCATCCAGTAAGCTGTTCGGTTTTTTCAATCTAAGAGGCTCATATTACATTGGCATTGGTGACACTATAACTCAGGGGATTTGTGATGAGAACACGTTTTCCTAAAACTTACAGATTCTTGCCTGTGTCTTTCTTTCCCCATAAATTTTACCTCAAGCAGCTCATCTTCTGGCTGTAGGAGACCCAATGTATCAACAGGACCACCAGAAACAATTGAAGAAATATAATGGTGCCCATCAAAGGAATCCACTTCCACACCAAGCCTCAGAGTGTGAATAGGCAGCAGCTGTAGCAAAACACAAAGCAATGATCAAACATGACAATGACACATCCGGCTATTCATCCTCCATCCAGTGCTATTTTGAAGTGAAAAACCCCACCTCTTGAATTAGATCACCAAAATCCTAAAAGAGGACAATAATAGGAAAATTAGCTTCAGGTAAAATTATGAAGTCATTGGTCATCTTGTTCTCACTCCTCTTTTCCTTCCGGATTCCCTGGAAATGAGGAGACAGATGTATACAGTCTTACCTTCAATTCTAAGCTCCAGGCAGTCCACACTTCCGTAGTCCCCAGTATATATGCTGTGTTTCACTTTTCTATGGGACTCCCCATCCCCTAGAACATCCTAACTTTTCTTTATTATCTAATTAACTTCTACTCACACTAAATACCATGGCAGGAAGCCCTGAGTTCATGAGCCTCCATCTGGGGTTCAAGACTGCCCTCTGTACATCTCCATCACATCTCACAACATACTGGGCTTAGAATTTCTTTTCTTTTCTTTTTTTTTTTTTTTTTCTGACACAGTCTCGCTCTGTTGCCTAGGCTGGAGTGCAGAAGCATAGTGGTGCAATCTCAGCTCACTGTAACCTTCACCTCCCGGGTTCAAGCAATTCTCATGCCTCAGGTTCCCAAGTAGCTGGGACTACAGGCGTGCGCCACCATGCCTGGCTAATTTTTTTGTATTTTTAGTAGAGACGAGGTTTCGCTATGTTGAGAATTCCTAGTCTCTTGACTGTCCCTCTTCCACTCCTTACCTGAATGCAGAGTCTGTACCTTTAATCTCCATAACTTCAGCCCTGGAACAGTACCTGGCACTAAACATGGGCTCATTAAATGTTATTTGAACTAATCCATGAAAAATAGTGCCTCATTTAAGATGTCCTTTTCCATCTAGCCAACTTAAGTGAAAACATTTCCGATTTGGGAAAGGCAATCGTTTATCCATTCTAGGTCTGTGAGGATTCATATGGGCTGAGATACGAGTCAAGGGCTGAGAAACTCTAGCCAATGTCGAGTAAAGAGATGAGTGTCTCAGTTGCACCCATCTTTGTTGGTTGTAACAGTCAAGGGCATTCACCAAACTCCATTCCCCTGACTTTCAAAGACAGACTAAAGATTTCTCATTGTGGCCTTATAATCTCAAATACGGTAAATGGTACTCATGATGATTTGCATTTCCTGTATCAATAGTCTGATACCTAAAAAACACCAGACCTACCTCGAACTATATTTTATAAGGAGAAAACCCTACACAGGGTGGCAGTGCATCTACCATGTGGCTCTCTTCCTCTTCTCTGTGATCTTCTATCCCTGAGCTTGCCACCTCCCTCAGTCTTCTGCTTTCAGTCCCCAGAGTGCCACAGGCCTTCCTTCAGACAACATCTGAGGCTCACTTCTGTCTCACTATAGACATGCAGACAAATGTGAAGTGGCAAGGAGTCTGGCTGACTAAGACCTCAACACGCACATGAGGGACTTCTAGCCCTGGGATAATTTCCTGAAAATTAAGTGCTCCTGACCACTAAGCACTTCAGGATCTGCGACCATCTCTGGCAAGAAGATGTTCTAGTTCTCTAAATGAAAGGCTAAGATAGTTTTTCCGGCCGGGCATGATAGCTCACGCCTGTAATCCCAACACTTTGGGAGGCCGAGCGGGAGGATCACAAGGTCAGGTGATCGAGACCATCCTGGCTAACACGGTGAAACCCTGTCTCTACTAAAAATACAAAAAAATTAGCCGGGCATGGTGGCAGGCGCCTGTAGTCCCAGCTGCACGGGAGGCTGAGGCAGGAGAATGGCATAAGTAAACCCGGGAGGTGGAGCTTGCAGTGAGCTGAGGTTGCACCACTGCACTCCAGCCTGGGCGACAGAGCGAGACTCAGCCTCAAAAAAAAAAAAAAAGATAGTTTTTCCTCCCGTTCCCTCTCTTGTGCTTTCTTTCTTCCTCACTGCTGCCACTTCATTCTCCTGTCATTGTACCAAATCATGGGTATGGATAGCTAAGGAGATATTAGTGTCATGTAGCAGGACATCTAAAGGAGGTGAGGAAAAGCTCTCAGAGAAATGCTTCTGTATTAACAGTTTACCACTCATCTCTGCCAACTGTCTTCCTTCCTTGTTTATGAGCCAGATGCTACAGGGCAAAGAGTTGCCAGTGGATCCACCATAGCTCATCCCCAGTGCGGTGCTGGGTCTTATACTGGCTTGAGAGCAGACTGCTAAATTTTCACTGATTTTGCAAGCCAGTTGTTAAACAATTTAAAATTAAACCATATAAAGTTACAATTAATAAAAATAAATGTAGGCCGGGTGTGGTAGCTCACACCTTTAATCCCAACACTTTGGGAGGCCAAGGCGGGCAGATCACCTGAGGTAGTGAGTTCAAGACCAGCCTGACCAACATGGAGAAACCCCATCTCTACTAAAAATACAAAATTAGCTGAGTGTGGTGGCACATGCCTGTAATCCCAGCTATTCGGGAGGCTGAGGCAGGAGAATCGCTTGAGCCCAGGAGGCAGAGGTTGCAGTGAGCTGAGACTGAGCCATTGCACTCTAGCCTGGGCAACAAGACTGAAACTCCGTCTCTAAATAAATAAATAAATAAATAGGCCAGGCACGGTGGCTCACGCCTGTAATCCCAACACTTTGGGAGGCCGATGTGGGTGGATTGCCTGAGGTCAGAAGTTCAAGACCAGCCTGGCCAACTGAAACCCTGTCTCTACTAAAAATATAAAAATTAGCTGAGCATGGTTGGGCACACCTGTAATCCCAGCTACTTGGGAGGCTGAGGCAGGATAATTCCTCGAATCCAGGAGGCAGAGGTTGCAGTGAGCCGAGATTGTGCCACTGCACTCCAGCCTGGGCGACAGAGCGAGACTCCATCTCAAAAAATAAATAAATAAATTAATTAAATACAGTAAAATAAAAATAAAAATAAATGTAACAAGTACTCAAAATGCATCACTTCCTAATTATTTTTCACTCTTTTACTAATATCTATGTTCATGAAGTGATTTATATCTACTATATCTGTACAGAGAGGAACACTCTCTATCAGAACTCAAAGAACACTGAGGGGTGGACAACTGAAAGAGACACATGAAGTGCTTGGTTTGGTTAGTT
Organism: Homo sapiens; assembly: GCF_000001405.40. NCBI lineage: Eukaryota > Metazoa > Chordata > Mammalia > Primates > Hominidae > Homo > Homo sapiens. The sequence continues at coordinate 61,819,822 of NC_000001.11, read as the reverse complement.
GCTAAATGCAGGTGGGACAAGTGATTAAACAGTCTTACTCCTACAGAGAAGCCTGCAGCATTGAAGCGCTACTGTGCATTGCCTCTCAGCTCACTGATCAGTGACGCCATTTTGGTAGCTTTATATCTGCCATGGTGGGAGTATTTACACCACAGATATTGGTACATGCTACAAATTGGAGCTGCCTTCCCACCCGCGCCCCCCCACCGCCGCCTGCCGCCCCACGCTGCTTTTGAGAGCTAGAAACTTACCAGCATACCACTGATCTATAATATAGTTTGGACATGATATTCAGCATATATGTACGGGGTATAAACTGTGTGCAAGGCATTGGGCTATGAGCTGGAAATATAGGATGAAGTCTTTGCCCTCCTAGAACTAACATCTAGCATGGCAGACAAATAAATAGGCAAAAAGGTAAGTAGACAAAGCAAATACATAAATAAACAACCAATCAACAAGCAGCAGGATTATCACAGTCCTGATATGATAGGCAAAGAATATAAGGAAACACATCCAAGGAATGTGTGACCGTTGTGTGAAAAACAAACAAGCAGTTACTAATTGTGTTAAGTGCTGCAAGGAAGGAATCAGGGTTATGATATCAGAGCCCCACTAGTGGAGGTCATTTTGGGAAGTTGGTCAGAGCAGGCTCCACAATGAAGGGGACACTTAAGGTGAGACTTGAGGGATAACAGTGAGTCAGCCCTACAAAAAAGCCTACTGGGGGATGGCTGTGGGAGGTGAGCAAAAAGGATAATTGCTAAATTTCTGGTTTGAGCAAATGAGTACATGGTGGTAACAACTTCTGCATAGAAATAAGGGTCCAAATTAAAACAAAGATCCCACTGTACACACAGAGATCTTTGCTACTTACATAATGACATGCCCTCATACAAGATAAAAGGGTTAAGGCAAGAACTGGTTCCAATCCTCTCCCAATCCGCATCTATTCATATGATGACCCCCATTCCCACCTCCATGGAACAGCTGGAGTCAGGATTCGCAGAGGCTCACCCATGTCATCTCGTGCCCTCCAGACATGGGCTGTGCCTTCTAGGCTATTCCCCCAGGTATCTGTAAACACCACATGCTCCCTAGAAAACTTAAATGGTGAACAAAACATGCTCTATCTTCAATTAGGGTGAACAAATAAACCAGAAACAATGCTTATGAAATCTGTCAATCTGAAGGATGCCTACCTAATATTAGTTCTGAATCTAAATCTGAGTACAGCTGGGTTTCTAAGATTTCATGTTACATTGCTGCAAGCTTCTCTGCGGGAGCAGGACTGTTTAATTACCTGTCCCAGCTGCATTTAGCAACTAAACAAATCAAGCATTTCATCTGTCTCTTTTAGTTGTCCACCCCTTTCAGTATGCAGAGTTCTTAGCAGCAAGTGCTGAAATGACAGAGTGAGTGAAACAGACGACTGGTGCCTTCACACACACCGCATGTCATGCTTTTTGATGCTTATTCAACGTTTTGTGAGGGGTTCTATTTAAACTGACAAAGTTAATGAGCAACAGGATTTTCATGATCCTGATATAAGTAAAGGATACAAGGAAATGTATTCAAGGGAAGCATGGCCATTGTGTGCTTTACTGTCAGTGCAAAAATGAAGATCAAATGAGATCAAGAAGGCTTGAGGCCTTCTGCCCACAAGTGGCGAGACCTATCATGAAACAAACTACAGCCCATTCCTTTTGCTCAAAGCTTTACTTTTAGGATACTATAACAGGATATCAAAATGCTTAAGCGGGAATATAAATGATATTGCTTCAGGGGGAGAAGAAACTTCTGGAAAGGTATGCTTCAAAAAGGTGTCGGTGGGATGGGGAAGGATTTTCCAAAAATGTTGAACTTGACAGAAAACAGAACAGAAAGAACCCATGATTGGTTCTTGTAACTCTCACACACAAAGTATTAAATAGCCATTTATGTTTAAAGATTAGGGAGTTACTAAATTTACCATAAATAAAAAACAAACTTTTCAAGAATGAGGCTACAAGTTTTAAAGTAATGGAAAACCACAAGCATGATGGCCTCCGAACTTAGGTGTGCCCCCTCAGAGGTTATACAAAACAAACGATCCATTAGAGCTTCATTTATGTTTTGTTTTTCTCACCCTTCCAAAATTTTATTTTATTTTATATTTTTTGAGACAGAGTTTCGCTCTTGTTGCCCAGGCGGGAGTGCAATGGTGCGATCTCGGCTCACTGCAACCACCGCCTGTCAAGTTCAAGTGATTCTGCCTTAACCTCCCCAGCAGCTGGGATTACAGGTGCACACCACCATGCCCAGCTAATTTTTGTATTTTTAGTAGAGATGGGGTTTCATCATGTTGGTCAGGCTGGTCTTGAACCCCTGACCTCAGGTGATCCACCCACCTCGGCCTCCCAAAGTGCTAGGATTACAGGCGTGAGCCACCGCTCCCGGTCCCCTCCAAAATTTTAATTCAGAATGTTCAAAAAATGTGTAACAGGTACTCTGTTATACAGTAGTAAATTGAAAGTTCTCTTCAGTCACCTAATACTAAGGTCAAACATCAGTTGCTATTTAGCATTTTATATATAATTTATGTTTCCTGCCTGGCCCATGTGATATATCTGAATTTTTGATACTTGAACTAACACTTTGCATTTGGCTTTCTCCCCCTACCTATGTTCACGGTAGTGCCTTCACCTGAAATACCCATTGTACTCATTTGTACTCCAAATCTATTCTTCAGAGCATAGTTCAAATGCCATCCTACCAATAAGCTTCCATCTGTCTTGAGGAAGTAATATCCTTCTAGAACACACATTAGGCATTTTAGCAGTATCTGAATAATAATTCTCTACGGAGTGAGGCAAGAAAGGAATCAAAATTCCCTTTAGGAACCTTACCCCAAACCTACAGAATCAGAGTATCAGCAAGGAGGAACAAAACAGGGCATGTGTATTTTGAAAGAGCTCCTGGGATGTTTCTGATATGCCACCTGCACTACTAGGTAACCACTGCTACTATAGTTATTTGATTCTGTGTCTTACGTTCTCCACTTAAAAAGAGAGCAGCAAAGTATAAAATTACATCCTGGAGAACTGATAACAGCATTGCTTCTGTGGATGAGAGGACTGGGGTGGGAGAAAAAAATCACCTTTTGCAGTACATATTTCTATACCTTTTAAATTGTACGTCTTGCCCATATATTATCTATTTAAAATTTAAAAGAAGAAAAAAGAATGATGCCAGCTTAGAAGCCAGATAACCCTTGATTTGTTTCCTTTTTTGAAAATTTTTTTATAAATTTATTTTTTAATAGTTCTGGAACACTTCACGAATTTGTGCGTCATCCTTGCACAGGGGCCATGCTAATCTCTGTATCATTCCAATTTTAGTATATGTGCTGCCTAAGCAAGCATATGATTTGTTTCCTAATTCCACCCCCTTACTAGCTGCATATGATCTTGGGCAATTTACTTTTACTGCCTGACAGTCAAGTTTCCCATATTAAAAATGGGAAGGGGAAAATGCTTGCTGACCAATAAGGTTACTATTAGAAATATAGGAGAAAATATATTTAAAGCAAAGAACCGGCCCTGGTAACTGAACAGTAACATCCACCATAACTCTTGGAAAGCCCAGTACATCCCTCTTGCCTTAAAAATTATATTTGTTCATTATAAAGTGGTTGGGGAGAAACCATATTTTAATGTTCTCCAGGTCAGGAAATATAACTCAAGAGAGAAATAAAGTTAAATTTGTCAACTTTTTTTGTCAAAACCAGAGAGCAGGACCTGGTGTTTTTGTTTCCCACACAAGCGATATTACTGATGCTCACTTCATATTACAATTGATGGCCAGCAGAAAGGTCACTAGAATGAGCTTAATGCTTCTCCCTCATAGAGCTGTTATTATCTTAATAGTAAACACTTGCCAAGAAAGCCATCCCTAAAAGTGCAAGTCTCCCTAGATGCGGGAAAACTGTTCTTGTGTCATGATTAACAGCTTCCTAGAAGCAGTGCAGCTAATGCTTAAGTCACTGTAAATAGCTTTCACCTCCCTCTTTCTCCACAACTCCACCTACCTCAGAAGAAAATCTTATCTATTAACATTAGCCCATAATATATGAAGATGCTTCTTTTTTTAAAAATATAGAGACAGGGTCTCCCTCTGTTGACCAGGTTGGTCTCAAACTCCTGGCCTCGAGATCCTCTGCCTCAGCCTCCCAAAGTGCTGGGATTATATGCATAAACCACCCCGCCCAGTCATGTAGATGCTTCTGGAATCATCCCTTCAAGAGTGATGGCCATGGGATGGCAACCATCTAAAAGCAGCTAGACCCATAGAAACATAATTGTTCTAATCAGAAAGCTGATGAGACAGAGGAAAAACCTCCAGCCTGGACCTAAGATCATAGACAAAACCCTGCTCAAAACCTCCCACTGGTGTTACCTGTGACTGAGGATAAAGTCCATACATATCACAGTGGCTCCCAAGGGGCCCTTTAACACCTAGTCTTCCTCTGCAGCATCATTTAACAATATTCTGCTCTTCACTTAGTTTGACCCAGACACTCTGAAAGAAACAACTTCTATTCCCCCAACACACAAGCCCTTTCCCACAGCAGAGCCACTGTACTTGCTGCTTCTCTTTTCCACATTCTTATCCTTCAAGCCTGGGCTCAGAAAGGCTTTCCCTGGCTCCCTCTGAAGTGTCCCCCACCCCAGTTATGCTCAATTTACTGTTTATTCATTTGCAGCACTTCTTACAATCTACAACTATCTTATCAAGTTATTTTTTACTTGTCTATTACCATGCCCCTATACAATCGCAGAATCTAAGCTCTATGAGAGCAAGGACCCTTTCCATTTTGCTTCCCACAGATGGTAGCACAGTGTCTGGCACAGAGTAGGAGCTCAGTAAATAGTTCAGGAATGGATGAATGCATTCTAAGCTACCACCTGCCTCTGCTATGATCTAGTTGTATAATTTCGGTCAAGTCATTCAACCTAGGCAACCTTTACTATCCTCTTGTCTGTAAAATCGGTTTTGACTGGTTAGTTAAAATCTCCCTTATATATTGTAGGGAGAAATTAGTAGCTACTGAATTAGGACGCAAATTTCCAATTATAAGAGGATTTTTAAAAATCATAGCTGATCAAAATGAAGAAAAATTCTATGGACATTTAATAAGTAAGAAATTAACGTAGAAAAATGTAAAAATATATGATAATGTTACATGGAAAAACTACACACCCCTTCTATCCCACATACATGCGCGCGCGCGCGCACACACACACACACACACACACACACACTAAACAAAAGGCAGGTAATACTGACTGCAAATACATAAATATGTAGCTAACAACTAAATACGTAAAGAGAATAATGCGGCCGGGCACGGTGGCTCACGCCTGTAATCCCAGCACTTTGGGAGGCCAAGGTGGGCGGATCACCTGAGGTCAGGAGTTCAAGACCAGCCTGGCCAACAAGGTGAAATCCCGTCTTTACAAAAATACAAAAATTAGCTGGGCGTGATAGCAGGTGCCTGTAATCCCAGCTACTCGGGAGGCTGAGGCTGAAAAATTGCTTGAACCCAGCAGGCGGAGGTTGCAGTGAGCCGAGATGGTGCCATTGCACTCCAACCTAGGCAACAGAGCGAGACTGAATCACTGAATCTCAAAAAAAAAAAAAAAAAAAAAAAGAAGAGAATAATGTAATTTTGGGTGACTCTTTTTCTTCTAGTGAAGAAAACAGGGAAACAAGAAAAGCAACTTTTTGCCACAACCAAATTTCAATTAATTAAATGTTTTTAAAAGCATATTAAAAGAAAAAGACCTTTGGAAGTTCAGTCTAAAAGTGCTAGAGGCATATAACTGGGAAACAAAACTACCATTTATTGGCCATTTCTTATATCTTGGCACTAAGCTATATTAATTAAGGTATATACGAAATACTATTTCTCTTTAGTCTTCTACAACACAATTATTATTGTTCATATTATTTAGAGAAAAAATTAGGCCAGTTATTACCTCCGAAAGCATTTCATCAAATGTTACTTTCTTAAACCTTCCCTGACCAACCTATCTAAACTTGCAAATAAACCCCCACTCCTGAATTTCCTATGTTCCCTGCCTTAATATTCTCCATGGCACATATCACCTATACGGTATAACTTACTTATTTTTGGCCTCCTCCCATTAAAATATAAGTTCTATAGGACAGGAATTTTTCTTCCTGCTTTGTTCTCTTCTGGAACCCGAGCACCCAGTAGCGGACCTAGCACAGTGTACATATAATACATATTTGATGAATGAATGAACAGCCAAATGTACTAGTGAGTTTTTATAAGGTGGTTCTGAAAGTGTGTTCAACTCAAAGCCCTTCTGCCCATTTATACCAGAGTTACTGAGTACAAATATGTATATGTGTGTATGTGTGTGTGTGTGTGTGTGTATATATATATATATATATATATATATATATATATATATATATATGTACATTCCATAGAGGTTGATCAGGAAAGACAACACAGTAAGTGTGGAGGCAGAGAACTAAGGAGTGAGAGTGAGAAAGAACATCTTCTGCCTGGAGAAAGAGAATCACACTCTTCAAAAATGTACACAAAGTGTGCTTTGTGCCTTTTTTCCTTGCTGTCTTTTACTTATTATAAAACATGATGATTCAGGGTCTTAGGCTTTGAATGTGGGAGGACAGACAAGTAAAGCTGAACCACGTGATGAATGGAGCCTGATCAGGGCAGGACTTCCCTGAAAGGACATATCCTGAGTTCTAAAGTAATATGACACAGGAGGCTAAAAAGCTAATCAGGAAACCCTGGAAAAGCAAAGCAAGTATTTCAGCAGTCCACACTACTAAGGAGAGAAGATTAGAGTTCAGGTTCCACCAGGATAAGAGGACTGGTAAACACCCCAGGGTCTTTCGTGGATTACCCGGGAGGCTGTGTCTTTTTTTATTTTTTTTAGACAGAATCTCGCTGTATTGCCCAGGCTGGAGTCCAGTGGCACAATCTTGGCTCACTGAGGCCTCCACCTCCCAGGTTCAAGCAATTCTCCTGCTTCAGCCTCCCGAGTAGATGGGATTACAGGCACCCACCACCATGCCTGGCTAATTTTTGTATTTTTAGGAGAGACGAGGTTTTATCATGTTGCCCAGGCTGGTCTTGAACTCCTGACCTCAGGTGATCTTCCTGCCTCGGCCTCCCAAAATGCTAGGATTACAGGTGTGAGCCACTGTGCCTGGCCAAGACTGTGTCTTAAAAGTGAAGCAAATCAGAGGTGGTCTGACTCTTACAGAACTGTACCTCTGCCCCGTCTCCAAGATGAGCACCCACCAATACCACCACACACACACACACACACACACACACACACACACTCTCTCTCTCTCTCTCTCTCTCTCTCAGTCACTCACATTCTCTCTCTCTCTCTCTCTCTCTCTCTCTCTCTCTCTCTCTATTCCCTCCCCTTCCTCTATCACCACATTAGCAGGCACGGTAAGACCTCTCTGGACAGAGATAACTGATATCATCTGAAGCCTTTTATAGTTGTCAGATATTTAATCAAATTTTGGCATAACAAGAGATATACCCAAACAAAAAGACAAAACATCGAATGACAGAAACAGATCCAAAGTTGATCCAGATATTGGAATTACTTAAAGTCTTTATAAGCTATGGTTAACATGTTGAAGAAATAGAGGAAAAGATGGCAAATACAGAAATAGATGAAAAATATAGTGTTTTTTTTTTGAGATGGAGTCTCGCTCTGTCGCCCAGGCTGGAGTGCAGTGGCGTGATCTCGGCTCACTGCAAGCTCCGCCTCCCGGGTTCACGCCATTCTCTTGCCCCAGCCTCCCGAGTAGCTGGGACTACAGGCGCCCGCCACCACGCCCGGCTAATTTTTTGTATTTTTAGTAGAGATGGGGTTTCACTGTGTTAGCCAGGATGGTCTCGATCTCCTGACCTCGTGATCCACCCACCTCGGCATCCCAAAGTGCTGGGATTACAGGCGTGAGCCACCGCGTCCAGCCTAGATTTTTTTTTTTTACTTTGGGAATTTAGCTGGAGAATTATAATGTAAAAAGAAATAAAATGAAAATTCCATACTAGATAAATAACTAAAATTAAGCACTTAATAGATGGGCTTTAGCAGCTGATTAGGCACAGGAAATTTAGTAAACTAGAAAACATTTAAATAGAAAATATCTAAGAGTTTAGTGTAAATTAAAGAGCAATTTCATGCAACACTGATTTATATGATAATAATAAAAATAATAATAAGAGCCTGGCTGGGCACAGTGGTTCACACCTGTAATCCCAGCACTTTAGGAGGCCAAGGCTTCACCTGAGGGCAGGAGTTCGAGACCAGCTTGGCCAACATGGTGAAACTCCATCTCTACTAAAAATAGAAAAAATTAGCCAGGCGTGGTGGTGGGCACCTATAATCCCAGCTACCTGGGAGGCTGAGGCAGGAGAATCGCTTGAACCCAGGAGGCGGAGGTTACAGTGAGCCAAGATCACACCATTGCACCCCAGCCTAGGCAATAAAAATGAAACTCCGTCTCAAAAAACAAGAGCCTACTATGTGCTTGCAACTATTCTAGGCATATTACAGTTAATACCTATATAAATCTATGAGGCAGGTACAATATTAAGCATAATAGAGTTAATTCCTATATAAATCTATGAGGCAGGTATTAATATTTCCTTTTTACATACAAAAAACTGAGACATGGACTTTAGATCATTTTCTAAGATTACACAGCTATGAAATTCTGCATAAGCCAGAATTTGAACTCAGGCAGTTTGGTTCTAGAATCCATGTAATCAGTACACTATAATGCAGTAATTAATAACAAATGAAGCTTGATGAGGTGTTTGTCTTTGAGACGGAGTTTCCCTCTTGTTGCCCAGGCTGAAATGCAATGGCGCGATCTCAGCTCATTGCAACATCCGCCTCCCGGGTTCAAGTGATTCTCCTGCCTCAGCCTCCTGACTAGCTAGGATTACAGGTGCCCACTACCACGCCCGGCTAATTTTTTTGTATTTTTAGTACAGACTGGGTTTATTTATTTATTTATTTATTTATTTATTTATTTATTTATTTATTTTTTGAGACAGAGTCTCGCTCTGTTGCCCAGGCTGGAGTGCAGTGGCACGATCTCGACTCACCACAATCTCTGCCTCCTGGGTTCAAGCGATTCTCCTCCCTCAGCCTACCAAGTAGCTGGGGCTACAGGTGCATGCCACCATGCCCGGCTAAGTTTTGTATTTCTAGTAGAGACAGGGTTTCACTATGTTGGCCAGGCTGGTCTCGAACTTCGGACCTCATGATCTGCCCGCCTCGGCCTCCCAAAGTGCTGGGATTACAGGTGTGAGCCACCACACCCAGCTTTGTATTTGTATTTCTTACTCTCATTTTGAATTAAATCCCTCTCAATATATTGAGATGGCATTAATATTTAGTCACTACTCTAATCTGACTTTGTAAATAATTTAAAATTAAACTACAAGGCGAGCCATATTTTCCTCAGATTTTGTACATCTGAGGAAAGCTTGGTCAGTTGGCCGACACAGTCACAACAATGAAGTGACTCAAGATGCAGGTAAACTGGGAAGGGAAGAAAGACTCTCAAGTGTCAGCCTTGAAAATTCAAACCTGGCCAGGCGTGGTGACTCATGCCTGTAATCCCAGCACTCTGGGAGGCCGAGGCAGGTGGATCACCTGAGGTCAGGAGTTCGAGACCAGCCTGACCAACATGGTGAAACCCCATCTCTACTTAAAAAAGAAAAAAATTAGCCGGGGGTGGTGACACATGTCTGTAAAGTCCCAGCTACTTGGGAGGCTGAGGCAGGAGAATCGTTTGAACCCAGGAGGCGAAGGTTGCAATGAGCTGAGATCATGCCACTGCACTCCAGCCTGGGCGACAGAGCAAGACTCTGTGCAAAAAAAAAAAAAGAAAGAAAAGAAAATTGAAACCTATAAAATTATGGCATACATAGCATAAAATCATGGAAGATAAATATTGATTACAAATATTCAACCAAGAAGAAAATGGTAGCACTATCTAAAGACTTTTCAACTTCTTATGAAACCTTCATGGGATGCAGAAAATACATTTTTAGCCTGGCGCTGTGGCTCATGCCTGTAATCCCAGCACTTTGGGAGGCCAAGGTGGGTGGATTACCTGAGGTCGGGAGTTGGAGACCAGCGTGACCAACAGGGAGAAACCTCGTCTCTACTGAAAATACAAAATTAGCCGGGCATGGTGGTGCATGCCTGTAATCCTAGCTACTAGAGAGGCTGAGGCAGGAGAATCGCTTGAACCCGGGAGGCAGAGGTTGCGGTGAGCCAAGATTGTGCCACTGCACTCCAGCCTGGGCAACAAGGGCGAAACTCTGTCTCAAAAAAAAAAAAAAAAAGAAAATACATTCTTAAAACTGCATGTGACAGAAGAGTTTAAGGTAGGCTCAGCACTTATATCCCATGCAGAATTACACTATGACTTCTGAAACCACTCAGGCAAGAACATCTTTCCTTTCTTATCAATTGTTGAGGAGGCCGCCTACAAGGCTTCTCTAAGTTTCAATTGCCCTGGCCTCTGCTTATCCAGAATGGGAATGTTTAGTGACAGGATGCTAAAAAATGTTGGAAAAAAAACTGTCGAAGTTGTCTTCTGGCACCTTGCCAACAGAAATAAAGCTTACCAAAAACGTTTTAAGTTCAAGAACAACTACTGCCTACACTCAGAAGATAAACCACTTTTCTTTCCTTGAACATCTGAACCTGAAGCCTTTTTTAAAGCCTGTATTCCCGGGTCTTGATTTTTAGGAAACATTCATTAAAGGACTCCTTATAATATCTAAAAAACTAACGCACACTGCACAATGTTACTCTGCATACTACCTCTAATGTGGGCAAAGGAGTCAAACCTGGGTTTTGGCTTCTGAACATGACATAGGGATCCTGTGTTCTTCCCAGGCATCATCTTTCATAACAGTGAGACCCATCACATTTCTAGGAAACATGCAAGACTAAATTCTGGAAACTTTAGGTCACAGCACTAATTTAGTTTCTTCAGCAAGAATTTAAAGAAAGTTCTTCAAACGATAAAAAAATGGGCCGAGTTCAGTGGCTCCACCTGTAATCCTAACACTTTGGGAGGGAAACACGGGAGGATCACTTTAGCCTATGAGTTTGAGACCAACCTGGACAACATAGTGAGACCCTATCTCTTAAAAAAAATAAAACTGTTAACTTTGTTATAAAAAATGCTTACCTTTGAATATTTCTGTAACTCAGCATCATCTGCAATCTGTGTGTCCAAAGTAGCAACCTAAATTTACAAAAAAAATTTCCAGTATTTGTAAAAGCATAACTGTATTTCCTCCTACATTTTCTGAAAATATCTGTAAAACCTATATATTGATAACTCTATTTGACCTACATTCCGATACCTTTCTTATATTTTTGAAATCTATAACACATAATGTGAAATTTCAGAGTATATTTGATTTTTTTGTTGTTGTTCTCCACAACAATCTTTTTTCCTAAATTACATAAATTGAACAGAAGGTGATGGGCACATATATATACTATTTTTAAAAATCCATGACCCCTAAAATTTTAATATAATCCTCCATTATCCTGGATGCATAAAAATTTTACTCTTTTGACAAAATCAAAAATATGGCCATTTTTACTTTCAAACCCAAGCCTCAAAACAAAATTTGCAAGGTCAGTAAAGTCAGATGTGTTTGGAAAAACTAAAGCATCTGACTTTCCACAACAAGCTCAAACCATTTCCCCAGGAGAAATAGCTGGCAAAGACATAAACGGAAAGACCTGGTCCTTGGTGGAAAGCTCATGGAATACTTAAAGCTTTTAATCCTGGCCTAAAACTATTGTTCTAAGCTTCAATGGTGGACATCCACAGAAGTGAATTCCTTGCAAGCAAAAGTATGTTACTGATGATTTGCATCTGTAACTTGTTAATAAAATATGATGCATCTGGCGGGAAGGGATAAGTTAAACAATGACCCAACTACAGCTTCTGAAAGTACTGCATTTCAGATAAGCAGATCCTGTAAGAAAGTTTTTTAACAAAATAAGAAATATTGGAGTACACGCATTCATTCATTCTCCATCATGCCTAGCTTCTTTCTGCCAACCATTCCTCGGTACAAGATGCTACAACTTTTAATGGATAGCTGTCACTTTAAATTTCCAACTTCAAATTCTGTCTCCTCTTTATAATTTGTCTGTTATGACCTCACCATGTAATAAATAAATGAAATTTAAAAGTTTAATTATAAGGAGAATAAAATTTTAACAGAAGGCTGGCAGTGGCTCATGTCTGTATCCCAGAACTCTGGGAGGCCAAGCAGGGTGGATCACTTGAGCCCAGGAGTTCGAGACCAGACTGGGCAACACAGCGAGACACCATCTCTAAAAAAATTTGAAAAATTAAGCGAGCGTGGTGGCTCATGCTTGTAGTTCCAGCCAGTCAGGAGGCTGAGGTGGGAGATCACTTGAGCCCAGAAAGTTGAAGCTGCAGTGAACTATGATTGTACCACTGCATTCCAGCCTGGGCAACAGAGAAAGACCCTGTCTCTCAAAAAAATGTTTTTTTGTTTTTTGTTTTGTTTTGTTTTGTTTTTGAGGTGGAGTCTCCCTCTTTTGCCCAGCTGCAGTGCAGTGGCACGATCTCAGCTCACCACAACCTCCGCCTCCCAGGTTAAGCAATTCTCCTGCCTCAGCCTCCTGAGTAGCTGGGATTACAGGTGCCCACTATCACACCCAGCTAATTTCTGTATTTTTAGTAGATACAAGGTTTCACCATGTTGGCCAGGCTGGTCTCAGACTCCCGACCTCAAGTGATCCACCCTTCTTGGCCTCCCAGAGTGCTGGGATTACAGGTGTGAGCTACTCCACCCGGCCTAAAAAATGTTTTTAACAAAAAAAAGAGCCCATCATAAAACTGGCCATTTGTAAATACTGTTACAGCAAATTTATTTGAATACCAAACCACTAAGATAAGTAGGAAATGCCATTTGCTAGGTGATAGCCTAATAACCATATTCAAAATCTGTGAAGCAAAGAAACAGCAGCTCATGAGAACTGACACACAGGCATAAAGTTACCAAGAGAAAGTGTGAATTGTATTGACTCATCTTTTTTTTTTTTTTTTTGAGGCGGAATCTCGCTCTGTCACCCAGCCTGGAGTGCAGTGGCATGATCTCCGCTCACTGCAAGCTCCACCTCCCAGGTTCACGCCATTCTCCTGCCTCAGTCTCCCGAGTAGCTGGGATTACAGGCGACCGCCACCACGCCCGGCTAATTTTTTGTATTTTTAGTAGAGACGAGGTTTCACCATGTTAGCCAGGATGGTCTCGATCTCCTGACCTCGTGATCCGCCCGCCTCGGCCTCCCAAAGTGCTGGAATTACAGGCGTGAGCCACCGCGCCCGGCCTTGACTCATCTTAATGACACTGAAAATTCTGTGACAACAGATGGTGGTTAGGTAATCTAAACCAAAAAGATTTTAAAAATCTCCAACCAGCCAACCAGTACTAATTATAAACATATGTAAGAAAATGTGAATGAGAGTAGAAATGTAAAAGAGTATTTTATTACTAATGCATTTAGTGAACACTGTAGAGGCTTGTCTAAGCACAACCGTCTGCCTTCATGTGGATTCATATGGGGAAATGTAATCAGTCCCTTACTCAATGAATCTAATAGCAGGTGAAAGGAAGTCTAATGGACCACTGGCACTATAAACTTATACCTAACCTAAATTACTTCCTGTTCTTCCAAATACATTTGATAATCATTCTTTCATTTTTCACATAAAACTGTAAGATTCTTTGTGAAACATAGGACTAATATCCACAGTCCTTTCAGTGTACAATAAAACAAACAGATCATAAAAGCAATCATAAAAATGCCAGCAATTTTAAGCAGCTGATACAGGTTATAAATTTAAAGGCAAGCCCTCTCTCCCAACAGTTTTCTGTCTATTGTCGACTTAAATGGTTTCAACACGAACTGAGTGTCTCCTAATGTTAACTGAAGTTTGTGTGCAGTCCTTAATTATTCTTACTGCTTAAAATGCTAAAGATGGGGGGAAAAAAATCGATTGATCCACTAGGGAAGAAAGGCAGGAAGGAAAAATAAAGTCAGGCGGGCTATTCTTTGACTCACCCATTTCTTTGGATCGTACTGTTAGAAACTTGATGTGAAATGAGACATGAATGTTTTTTATTAGAGCATTTTAACATACCATTACTTCATAATCAGGACCCAACAGGTTTTCCCATCTGGATTTCAGCTCATTTTCTGGAGAGTCTGGGACTTTTTCTGGATATTAAAAAAAAAGAGAGAGAGCGAGAGAATGTTGAAACTACTGTGAGCCAAACACACTTAACTGCTAAATTCTTCAATAACAGCCCAGTTTCAGTAAGTAAAGGGGAAATGAATAAAAAGGAAAATGCATTAACTTAGGTCTGCTAGGTAAAGTAAATCAGAGGTGACTTATAAAACTAACATAAAATGTAAAGATCAGCTGTGACCAAATTATGAAGGTGCTTTTGTTGTTAAGGGATATTTTAAAGGAAAGAGGACGTGATGAGTTATACATGAAATTTAAATTATATACAGTTTATATGTAAATATCCTATAGTTTACAAGTAAAATGCATGTGGCTTTGCTTTATAATACATTAGGACATAGAAGGATTTAATTTAAATGTTAATCACTTCAAAGTAGTTCCATTCCAGCTGCCCACTAGAAAAGTAAAAACTTACCAAGATATCTTTACTATCAGCAGCGCATATCAACACAATACATTCAGACTTTTCACATGGGTAGCTATAAAGGCTTGTCTGGTTTAATTCAGTCAAAGTTCCATGAGCTTTAATACAATAGAAACTTTGGTTTCACACTAGTCTTTTGTTGCTTGGTTATTAAGATATTTGTATCTTTACGACTTTTTTGAGTGGAATACTGTCTTTGTTGCATAGATAATTTTACAGTGCCAAAACAGATTTTAAGTGTCTTGCCTGTCCTCCACATGACTGTAGCCAGAAGCTCAGTGCACGGTGCATAGTATGAATAATGTCTAACAGGCAAAAGTCAAAGTACTAAAACTGAAGTTATACCTTATACCCATAGCAGTAGCAGAAAATGAACAAACTTCTACGTTTTTTAACTTAAAGAAAAACTGTCTCAATTTTGTCTTAAGATTAAACAAGTCACAGAACAGTTATCACAACTGATATAACCATCTGCCTAAAATCAAATGTTAACTTGCAGTATCAGCTCTTTCAGTCTTCAGCATGGACAGCTCATCTTGGATGCATATAATGTTTAATCACATAATACAAATCATTAAGTGAAACAGGCTAACCTCAAAAATCAGTGACTAAGACTAATGAACATTAAAGAACTTAAATTACTACATTTATAAAAGAATACCCATGAAATAACTATATCAATTGCTATGCTAGATTACATTTAGGTGATAACTAACCAAAGATCCTATTAAAAACAAAAAATCAAATTCATTTGGGCTCTGCACCTTTGCACCTATTCCTGTTAGCATTTCCTTAAGAAATTACATTAAGAGTTCTAACATCTTGCCTCATAAATTTCTTCTAGGCAGTAATTTCTTAACTGGTAAACAAAACTGAACAAAATTGGCAATTTATTTGTTGAATTCTAAACTTAAAAACATGGCTCTCATATGACAGTTAATATAAATGTATAAAATAATGTTGACATTTCACCAGCAATTTTTTTGACTATATTTTTACCTTTCAGTTGTACAATGAAAACACAGTCATGTGTTTTAAACCACAGTACAAAGGCCTAAGTGCTGGAGAAAAGAGATATGCTTTCAGCAGCTCAATAAATCCTAGGCTACACAAAATGATCAAAAAATGAATAACATGATGATCTGAAATAATTATTCCAAAGACAAAAAGAGAGCTAACCTCATAGCAGTTAGTAGATTTTGATTTTACTCTAAAGCTAAAATTATACATATGCAAGAAGAAAAAAACGTAGTGAAGTTGATCCAAAAAGCACACATAAAATATTTCTAAAACTAATACTTCCTGGTCAACTGTAAGTATAATTTTTAATTTTTGCATATATAACCAAAAATGGTATGTCATTTTTAAAATCTGTATTTCTTTCATTGCGAATGAGGTTGATATGCCAGTGTTGTTATTGGCTTTTTGTATTCCTCTTTCGTGAACCATCTGTTCATTGTCTTTACCGGTTTTCGTTTTAGCAAGTAGGACTTGATTTAAAACGGGAACATAACATATAAGATGCCAAGACCGTTATATTGATGACGAAAATCTTGTAGTGCATGTGTTGGAGTTAAAGTCTTAAGTATCAAGAAGTAAAATAATTTCATTGTTTCTATTACTAACATTAAAAGTTGAGTGCAAATTGTATAAAATTAGGTACTTTGATTAGTAAAAAAAAAATTGAATGTTTTATCTTTTATTTATTTTATTAAGCATGCCCAGTTATGCCAAGCATAGTAAATAATGTTTTTAAAAGGTCATGTAGCATTTATAATAGAGGAGTATTGTTATCCCTAGTATAAGTGTAATGGTGATACGAAAAACTTTGTCTTGTCATTGTAATAATAAAAAAATGAACATTATGGAAAAAATACTTCTAAAACTATATCTAATTTCAGAATGTACTTGATTTTCATCTGACATTTTTCTGAAAATCTGAGCTCAACTCAGATTTGCAAAGATAAACTGCAATCTACTTGAGTCAAAAAGAACAAGGTAAATTTCCAAATCATAGGCTATTCTTTCCTGACCTGAGACAAGACAAAGCCAAAAGCCAAAACTTCTCGGGAACATGGATGGTGTTAAGTACTCAAGGAGTTTCATTTAGCTGGCGAGGCTTTCCAGAGCACTTTTGTGCAGGGAACTGTGTGCAACTGTTACTCAATGAGCTTGGAGAGTAGAGTCCACTATAATAGCTAAGGTATCAAAATACAAAGTAAAAGGACAAAGCTGCAAATCAATTAAAAAAAATTAAAGAATAAAGGTATAACAGCTTGGCAATTCAATGCAACTTATAGAAATGCATACATTATTAATTTTTATAATAAAAAACATGTATAATGAAAAAGAAACATATGCTATATGTGTATAAACAGCAATAATCTATAGATATAGACATATCAATGATAATATATAAGCTAAGGTGGTTCACGCCTATAATCTCAGCACTTTGGGGGGCCAAAGTGGGAGCATGGCTTGAGCTCAGGAGTTTGAAACCAGCCTGGACAACATAGTGAGACTCCATCTCTACAAAAATTAAAATAAAATAAAATAATTAATATAAGTAAAGAAAGATTAAAATGTTAAATGTTGATATTGGCTGGGCACGGTGGCTCACGCCTATAATCCCAACACTTTGGGAGGCCCAGGTGGGCAGATCACTTGAAGCCAGGAGTTTGAGACCAGCCTGGCCAACATGGTGAAACCCATCTCTACTAAAAATACAAAAATTAGCCCAGTGTGGTGGCATGCACCTGTAATTCCAGCTACTCGGGAGGCTGAGGCAGGAGAATCGCTTGAACCCAGGAGGTGGAGGTTGCAGTAAGCTGAGATCATGCCACCGCACTCCAGCCTGGGCATCAAGAATGAAACTCCATCTCAGGGCCTGTCGTGGGGTGGGAGGAGTGGTGAGGGAGAACATTAGGAGAAATACCTAATGTAAATGATGAGTTAATGGGTGCAGCACACTAACATTGCACATGTATACATATGTAACAAACCTGCACGTTGTGCACATGTACCCTAGAACTTAAAGTACAATTAAAAAAAAAAAAGAAAAAAAAAAGAAACTCTGTCTCAAAAAAAAAGTTGATATTAAGAATATCCTATTTTATGTCTCCAAAATGCCTCTAAGATTTCTCATACTATATTAACTATAAAGACAGAAAATGGTTAACAAATGAAGAAGTCTGTTATCGCAAAGTGAATGCTTTGTGCCTACCCAATTTTTCTAAGGCTTGTATGTTGTCATTTTTTAAAGTATCAATTCTTTCTTTAATTTCCTCATCTTCACCATCCACATTAGTTTCAGTTTCCACTGCTCCAGTTAGAAAGAGAGCTGGTGGTTTCAGTGGTTCTACAACAGTTCCTAAAACAAAAAAAAATAATTTTTTAAAATTTTGTTAATGCTAACTTGAATTATTAGTTGTTGAGGACTATATTTAAGTGAGCAGATTTTACTGCTGTTCTCCCATTTCTCCCATTTCACAACCTTATTAAATCTGAGGTAACTTATATATATGATTCCTTAAACCCAAAATGCCATGTGTAATAGACAACCAATCAATTCCTTAAAAAATGAACTTATTAATGGATTAATGGCATTGAAAAGAATAAGGAACTAAACAATGGGAAGACACATGAAAAAATGCCCACCATCACTGGCCATCAGAGAAATGCAAATCAAAACCACAATGAGATACCATCTCACACCAGTTAGAATGGCAATCATTAAAAAGTCAGGAAACAACAGGTGCTGGAGAGGATGTAGAGAAATAGGAACACTTTTACACTGTTGGTGGGAGTGTAAACTAATTCACCCACAGTGGAAGACAGTATGGCGATTCCTCAAGGATCTAGAACTAGATACACTATTTGACCCAGCCATCCCATTACTGGGTATATACCCAAAGGATCATAAATCATGCTGCTGTAAAGACACATGCACATGTATGTTTATTGCGGCATTATCCACAATAGCAAAGACTTGGAACCAACCCAAATGTCTATCAGTGATAGACTGGATTAAGAAAATGTGGCACATATACACGATGGAACACTACGCAGCCATAAGAAGGATGAGTTCATGTCCTTTGTAGGGACATGGGTGAAGCTGGAAACCATCATTCTGAGCAAACTATCACAAGGACAGAACACCAAACACCACCATGTTCTCACTCATAGGTGAGAATTGAATAATGAGAACACTTGGACACAGGGTGGGGAACATCACACACCGGGGCCTGTTGTGGGGTGGGAAGAAGGGGAGGGATAGCATTAGGAGAACTACCTAATATAAATGATGAGTTAATGGGTGTAGCACACCAACATGGCACATGTACATATATGTAACAAACCTGCACGTTGTGCACATGTACCCTAGAACTTAAAGTATAACAAAAAAATTTAAAAAAAGAAAAGCTTCTGCATAGCAAAATAGGTAGTCAACACAGTAAACAGACAACCTACAGAATGGGAGAAAATATTTGCAAACTATGTCTCCAATGAACAACTAATATTCAGGTTCCAGAAGGAACTCACACAACTCAGTAACAATAAAACAACCCACCATTAAAAAGTGGGCAAAAGACATGAACAGACATTTTCTCAAAAGTAGAATATAAGTAGCCAGCAAACTAACAATCCTGCAATTAAATCCACATTCAAACCACAATGAGATACCATCTCATATCAGTCAGAATGGCCATTATTAAAAAGTCAAAAAACAACTGATATTGGCAAGGATGTGGAGAAAAGAGAACACTTATACACTGTTGGTGGGGATGTAAATTAGTACAACTTCTGTCGATGTGGAAAACAGTATGGAGATCTCTTAAAGAACTAAAAATAGCACAACAATTTGACCCAGTAACTCCACTACTGGGTTTCTACCCAAAGGAAAAGAAATAGTTCTATCAAAAAGACACATGTACTTGTATGTTTATTTCAGCACTATTTGCAAAAGCAAAGCCATGAAAGCAATCTAAGTGTCCATCAACAGATGATAGGATACAGAAAATGTGGTATGTATATATATATAGGCATAAAAAGAATGAAACTATGTTTTGTTTCATGGACTACTATACAGGCATAAAAAGAATGAAATTATGTTTTGTTTTGTTTTCAGCAACATGAATGGTGCTGGAGGCCATTATTCTAAGTGAAATGACTCGGAAACAGGAAATTAAACACTCCATGTTCTCACTAAGCTAAACAATGGGTACACACAGATATGCAGAAGAAGATAATAAACACTGGGGATCCCAGGATGAAGGAGGCTGGTGGAGCGGGGGTGAGGGTTGAAAAATTACATATTCAGTATGATGTTCACTATTTGAGTGATGGGTATACTAGAAGACCAAACCCCAACACTATGCATATATATCCATGTAACAAACATGCACATTTATCCCCTGAATCTATAAAAATAAATTTTAAATTAAAAAAACATTTATATAAATATTTATGTAAGCAATTTAAGGTCAATATGGCATTTGTGCCAGGCGTGGTGGATCACGCCTGTAATCCAAGCACTTTGGGAGGCCAAGGCAGGTGGATCACGAGGCCAGGAGTTTGAGACCAGCCTGGCCAACATAGTGAAACCCCATCTCTACTAAAAACACAAAAAATTAGCCAGGCATGGTGGCGGGCAGCGCCTGTAATTCCAGCTACTGGGGAGGCTGAGGCAGGAGAATCACTTGAACACAGGAGGTGGAAGTTGCAGTGAGCCAAGATCGCGCCATTGCACTCCAGTCTGGGCGACAAGAGTGAAACTCCATCTCAAAAATAAATAAATCAATAAATCATTAAAAAAAATTTTTTTAATGGCATTTGTACAATTTGGACTATTTAGGCAATTTTTAATTTCATACACTGGATGCAGTTGGCAGGGCATCTGTCTTTCAGCAACAAAAGTTCTACTATCACATAAAAGAGAAAAAGTTCCAATTTAAATACAAATCACTATCGGCTGAAAGCAAAGGCTTCCAGGTGTATTGTATCTTCAGAAGAATATTTTCAGAGGAAAAAAATGATCTTCTGTCAAATTCTAATTGAAGTATTTCTTACTCCCTAGTTATACAACTAGTCACTTTTTTTTTTTCTTTTAAGAGACAGGTCTCACTCTGTCACGCAGGCCGGCAGGCAGTGGCATGCTCACTGAAGCCTCAAACTCCTAGGTTCAAGTGATTCTCCTGCCTGAGCCTCCTGAGTAGCTGGGACTACAGGTGGGTGCCACCAGGCCCGGCTAATGTTTAATTTTTTGTAGAGAAGGGGTCTCTCTATGTTGGCCAGGCTGGTCTTAAATTCCTGGCCTCAAGTGATTCTCCTGCCTTGGCCTCCAGAAGTGCTGGAATTACAGGCATGAGCCACCAAGCATGGCTAGAATTACTGCACCCAGTAATTCACTCATTCTAAATTGAATATGTGTTTCCATGATTATCAACTTTTGTTCATCTATATGTTTCTAAGTTGATAATTAAAAACTGACATGCAGCCAGGCACCGTGGTTAACACCTGTAATCCCAGTAGTTTAGGAGGCCAAGGCAGGTGGATCACTTGAGCCCAGGAGTTCAAGACTAGCATGGGCAACACAGGAGAGACCCCATCTCTACAAAAAAAATAAAAATAAATTATCTGGGTATGGTGGTGCTCACCCGTGGTCCCAGCTACTCAGGAGGCTGAGGTAGGAGGATAACTTGAGCCCAGGAAGTAAGGCGGCAGTGAGCCATGAACATGCCACTACACTCCAGCCTGGGCAACAAAGTGAGACCTGTCTAAAAAAAATAAAATACAAATACGTGTTTTATTTTCTCTCAGTATACTTCAAAAAGTAAATCAAGAGGCAGATTAGAATAAAATATATTGTTAAAAGTAATAGGAAACCTGGCTGGGCGCAGTGGCTCACACGTGTAATTACAGCATGTTGGAAGACCAAGGCAGGCAGATCACCTGAGGTCAGGAGTTTGAGACCAGCCTTACCAACACGGTGAAACCCTATCTCTACTAAAGATACAAACAGAATTAGCCGTGTGTGGTGGCACATGCCTGTAGTCCCAGCTACTTGGGAGGCTGAGGCACGAGAATCACTTGAACCCAGGAGGCAGAGGTTGCAGTAAGCCAAGATCGTGCCACTGCACTCCAGCCTAGGCAAGACAGTAAGACTGTCTCAAAAAAAAAAAAAGTAATAGGAAACCCGAAGTCTGCAAAATGTCAAAGTATTAGACAAATGAGATTCCCCTAACAAAAGGTGTCAAAGCTTTATTATTCAAATATACGTAATCAATGAAATTTGAAAGCTTTTAGAAAAAATGATTTTCAACTCCATTTAGAGATGCTCTCAGAGCTTAGTGCATGTCGGGTGCACATCCTACCATTCTGACTGACATAGTAAGCAAAGAAAACACTTGCTTCAGTGAACAAATGAGCTGACTCATTTCTCCATCAGTGTATTACACGAGGTGGGACAACATTTCCTGCTGAGACTCATGGAGCAACTTCCATAATTGAACTGCTCTTCCAAATGTAAACTACTTGAGGGATAGAGGGGTGGCAAATTAATCACCTCTGTCTGAAGGTGGTTCAAGTGGAGAAGTAGATGAGGATGTCTTCCTTCGAACTAGGGTTAGGTGTACCACCTGCCCTGCATTTCGTAATACTTCAACAACATCATGGTTGGCAAAACCCTGAATGTTCACGCCATCGACCTAAAACATCAAGAGAAACATTAAGCAGAGGTTTTAAATTAGCTACTATTTTTAGCTCTGGCAACACTGAATAAAATGAGGCAATTTCTTTCATTCCAAAAATAAATTATTTAGGCCGGGTGTGGTGGCTCACGCCTGTAATCCCAGCACTTTGGTAGGTCAAGGTGGGTGGATCATGGATCACCTGAGGTCAGGAGTTCGAGACCAGACTAGCCAACATGGTGAAACCCCATCTCTACTAAACATACAAAAATTAGCCAGGTGTGGTGGCAGGCACCTGCAGACCCAGCTACTCGGGAGGCTGAGGCAGGAGAATCGCTTGAACCTGGGAGGCAGTGGTTGGAGTGAGCCAAGATTGTGCTATTGCACTCCAGCCTGAGCGACAGAGCAAGATGAAGCAAGGATAGAAGGAGGGAAGGAAAGAGGGAAGGAAAGACGGAAGGAAGGAGGGAGGGAGGGAAGGAAGGAAGGAAGGAGAAGGAAGGAAGAGAGGAAGGGGGGAAAGAAAGGGGAAGAAAATAGAAAGGAAGAAAGGAAGAAAAAAAAGAAAGAAAGAAAGAAAAAGAAAGAAAGAAAGAAAGAAAGAAAGAAAGAAAGAAAGAAAGAAAGAAAGAAAGAAAGAAAGAAAATAAATTTAGACCTTAGGATATATTTTTGAACAAGGATGTAAAACTAGTAAAACATGCTGAGAAACTTCCTCACACACTAGAAAGCAAATTCAAATTTGTCACTTAACTAATAGCCTGAGAGATATAAAGGACTTTAATCTCTGATGCAATTCAAAATTCAAAATGCCATAAAAGATGGCCAGTTATTACACAAGATGTATTAATAGAAGCCATTATTATCAAAACTGAAGAGGTCATCTAATACTTCATCCCTCTATTCATATCACCACATGATATTTTCAAGAAACACACTGATCTCCCTCCAATAGGTCTTCTAGCTTTCTGAAAAAGTGTGAGCAAGAACAGTATTCTTAATCTATGTCAAGCCCAATTCCTGAAGTCTATCAGAACCAATAGGCTTCCTCTCTCAATCTTCTTTGAGCTAGCTGTAAGTATTTCAACTTTCCCCATAAGGCTTTTAAAGCCAAGAGTCATGAAATGTGCTTTCTTAGATAGATTTGAAGGACAAGGATTCAAAGCATACCACCCAGCATTTGTTTCTATGTTAAGCAATGTGTGTGTATACATATGTATAGACATTAATATAAGCGTATATATAAATTGAACTAATTTCTACTAAATGGGGGAAAGACCAGTTTTAATTGATAAAAGGTGATATTATATTCTTAAATATGTAAAATACCTCAATTTTAGTTGTACTTATAATTATTGTTAACAGAAAAACTACTTTTACAAAAAGATAGAAAGAGCTGGTTAATGGCCTATTAATTATAGATAAAATGGGTGAGTTTAAAGAACACAGTGTGGTCCTCGCAGGGTTTTCTAGGATAATGCTAGAACATCTTTCAAACATACATGTATAGAAAAAATATACTTTTTTACCAATATGTTTAGTGAATCCTTTCTTCACTGACGGTGAAAAAAAATTTAATGTAGGAAGAAGAGTCCAAAATAATGAGATTTCACTGTATAACAAACTTAATTTTTTAAAAAACCTTATAAAACTATATTAAGCTATTCCCCCTCTCACATGTATTATAATAATGATCAACCTTTTTTTCAACTAGAATCAAACCTAAAACAGAGGCGAGTTACTTACAGCAACTATTTTGTCATTCACTTGAATGTGGCCATTGTGGTACGCAGCACTGCCAGGTATTATACTTTTCACATAAATCCCTGAAGCTTCCCCTTAAGGTGCACAGACATACGGAAAAAGGAAGAAAATTCTAATTAGGCCTTGATTGCAAAATTTGTATCAAGAGGTTAATTAGCTAACGGGGTTGACTGGAGGTTTGATAAATACTATTTTGAACACAAGCAGAGAAATTGATGGATTATTTCAAACTGCCACCATCTCAAGTGACCTGAATTTGAAATGATTTGACTGATGACTACTCTTCCGTTAAAATAATCAGTAGTGGAACCCTGATGAAATGTACTCTAATTTAAGCTGGAATTCAGGAGAGCCCAGAGGAAGTCTGACTCTCTCTCAGTCTGTCTCTACTCTTATTACTGATGTGGCATAAAACTTCTTTTTTTTTTTTTTTTTTTTTTTACCATCACTATGACAAGAGTCTCCTAGGTCTTCCTGCCTATATTTAGATCACTGCTCATGTTAGCTTCACAGACACAGAAATAAGAAAACTATATATGATCTTTTTGTTTGTTTTTTGAGATGGAGTTTTGCTCTTGTCGCCCAGGCTGGAGTGCAATGGCACGATCTCAGCTCACTGCAACCTCCACTTTCAGAGTTCAAGTGATTCTCCTGCCTCCTGAGTAGCTGGAATTACAGGCGCCCACCACCACACCCAGATAACTTTCGTAATTTTAGTAGAGATGGGGTTTCACCATGTTGGTCAGGCTGGTCTTGAACTCCTGACCTCAGGTGATCCGCCCACCTCGGCCTCCCAAAGCACTGAGATTACAGGTGTGAGTCACCACGCCTGGCCCAGAAAAGTACATATGGTCTTAACAACAACAACAACAACAACAAATTAGTATGAGCTCAGCAACATGAAATAATCTTTACATATTATAAAATAAAACATTGAAACAGACAAATGGCTATAAAAAATTTTTAAATTAAAACTTTGATTTTAAAGCATGCCTTCCCATGGGAAGGGACAGGAAGGGAAATTGGAAAATAAAACACAATAGATCTGCATGATTTTACATTTTTATTTCCAAATAAACTCAAAACATTGTTTGTAGGCCAGGTGTAGTTGTTCACAGTTGTAATCCCAGCGCTTTGGGAGGCTGAGGGGGGAGGATCACCTGAGCCCAGGACTTTGAGGCCAGCCTGGGTGACATAGTGGGATGTCATCTCACAAAAAATTTAAAAATTAGCTAGGTGTAATGGCGCATGCCTGTAATTCCAGCTACTCTGGAGGCTGAGGCATGAGAATCACCTGAGCCCAGGAGCTTAAGGCTTGTCTCTTAAAGAAAAAAAAAAAGTCCGGGCACAGTGGCTCACGCCTGTAATCCCAGCACTTTGGGAGGCTGAGGCGGACAGATCACTTGAGGTCAGGAGTTCAAGACCAGCCTGGCCAACATGGCAAAACCCTGTTTCTACTAAAATACAAAAATTAGCTGGGCATGATGGTGGGCACATCTAATCCCAGCTACTTGGGAGGCTGAGGCAGGAGAATCGCTTGAACCTGGGAGATGGAGGTTGCAGTGAGCCGAGACTGTGCCATTGCACCCCAGCCTGGGCAACAAGAGCGAGATTCTGTCTCAAAAAAAAAAAAAAAATTGTAGAAGAAAAATAAACATAAATCACTTTCCATTGCCAACGAAATAATATATAAATTTCATGGAATCATATTCAAGGCCCTCCATAATCTGCCCAAATTTATTTTTTGACTTCAATTTCCACTACAACTTTCCAAGAAAATAAAAGTCTGGACACACCAGGCTTTTTTTTTTTTTTTTTGAAACAGGATCTGGCTCTGTTGCCCAGGTTGCAGGTTGGTGTGCAGTGGCACAATCACGGCTCACTGCAGCCTCTGCCTCCCCAGTTCAAGCGATCCCACCTCAGCCTCCCGAGTAGCTGCGGCTACAATTTTTTTTTATTTTTTGTAGAGACAGTGTTTCACCATGTTGCCCAAGCTGGTCTTGAACTCCTGGGCTCAAGTGAGCCATCAGCCTCAGCCTCCCAAAGTGCTGGGATTACAGGCATGAGCCACCAAGCCCAGTCCGCAGCACGCACTTGACATTTCCCCAAAACATCTAGCATTTTCATGATTTTACCTTTTCTCTAGTTTCTTTCTTCTGGTAAACTCTGACCTATCGAAACCCTTCTTTTCCATTCATAGCTCAAATGCCGCCTTCTTTGTGAATTCTCCATTTCCCTCTGACAAACTGAATATGTCATCTGCCATACCATGATAGTTTGCTTGTACAGTGGGCCCCGCATATCTGTGGATTTCACATGCGCACCCATAGTCCCAGCTACTGGGGAGTCTGAGGCACAAGAGTCACTTGAAAGCGGGAGGCAGAGGTTGCAGTGAGCCAAGATCACGCCACTGCACTCCACCTCTGGGTGACAGAGCGAGACTCCATCTCAGAAAAGAAAAAAAATGATAATAATAATTTTTAAAAAAGAACTAAGTGTTTCTTATATGTTTGTCTCCCTGAACAGACTTCTCTTATTCATTTTTCTACCCTCTCCAGAACTGCTCAAAAGTCCAATGAATAGAATAAAGCAAAAATCATTTTCAAAGACTACTTGTTAAAAAGCATGTTGAGTTGTGTTTGGATTTATGTGCTCCCTGCCACCCCTAATTACCCAGTCCAAAAAACTTTTGAGGGTAAAGAAGTAAAATGGGTCAGGCACGGTGGCTCATGCCTGTAATCCCAGCACTATGGGAGGCCGAGGCAGGCAGATCACCTGAGGTCAGGAGTTTGAGACCACCCTGGCCAACATAGTGAAACCCTGTCTCAGCTAAAAATACAAAAATTATCCGGGGGTGGTGGTGTATGCCTGTACTCCCAGCTACCCGAAGGCTGGGGTAGGAGAATCTCTTGAACCTGGGAGGCGGAGGTTGCAGTGAGCCAAGATCGCGCCACTGCACTCCAGCCTGGGCGACAGAGCGAGACTCATCTCAAAAAAAAAACAAAAACAAATAAACAAACAAAAGAAGTAAAATAGTAAAATGATACTTTCCTTTATCCAGTAATATAAACATTAAATTTTCTTAATGTTCTACCAGTCATTCACTTTCACTTAGGAACAAAACCATAAGTTTAGGAACTAATGATTCCTCTAACCAGACTTAACATATTGAAAACTACTTGATGTGGTTTTTTGCAACATTATTATACAATCCACACTGAGCTCTTTTGAATGTCATTAAATTCTGAACCTAAATAAAGGTGGCACGTAGAATCTAAAGGTTTGAAAAAAGATAGTTCATTAGGCTAAAATAACACAAGGTGGTCTGACATGAATTTCATTCAGGACTTTGAATACATTAGCACTCTTAATCCTTCCACCTGCTGTAAGTATGCAAAATAACAATTTTTTTTTAAGGAAATGAACTCTGTAATCTTGCTCTTAAAAAAAATTGAACATTTTATAACTCTGAATTTTCATATTATTAGCAAATATTTGTGGAAAGGTTTATTTTTTCTTACCCTAATAATTCTCTTATAATAAAGGAATAAATCTTATAGTGAAAGTTACCAAAGCTTTGCAGATAGGAGTTGAGAGAGTTTTAGTCAGGGATACTTGAATTGTGTACTTATTCTCATAGTTTATTTCTTTCACATGAAAAGAAAATAGTTCTAATGAAAATGCTTGTTTTAACTTTTTTTTTTAGTGATAAAACACAATAGTCATACTTTGGGAACATTTACAATATGAAACATATACAGAAATCAATTTAATTATCACAAATCTAATCTATCATAATATGTTAACAATGTTCATAATATAGCTATTTTACAAACAAGAGAAGATACAATTCAAATATTATACACTAAGCTGGCCAATTATATTCTTTTGTTAATGGATATCAAGCCAGCTATAAAACTATTGAGATAAAAATGTGATTCTGTAATCACTGAGAAGTGACTGCTTGCTAGTATAGACTCATGGTTTTATTGTTCAAGATTTAAATTAAAATCTGCAAGTATTTAATTTCACTATCTAGAAACCTTAACATCCTTTACAATTTCCAAATATAAAATAGAAATGATTCATTTACCTGTATGAGATGTTCCAACATAGCCAACAATTCTAATTCCAAGACTCTGCCCATCTTTTCTCACAAGCTCAACATTATAAGTTTCAAAAAGAGAACTGTCCTAAAAGGAAAAAACAAATTTAATTATATATGCTTAGTGGCATACCTGTGTGTACATAGTCAATCTGTGCAAGGTTTGTCAAGTATTTTCTTAGCATCTATGGCAGGCAGAATTTTAAGATGGTCCCATGACCTTCAATTCCTGGTGCTACTCCCATATTGATGCCATATTACATGGCAAAATGGAGACTATCCAAGTGGGCCTAATCTCATCACTGGAGTCCTTTAAAGGCAGAGTTTTCTCCTGCTGGTAGCAGAAAGAGAAATGAAAAAGATCTGAATCATTAAGGACTCAACTTGTGGTTTGAAGATGGAGGGAGTCACGTGACAAGGAATGCAGGGGACCTTAAGGAGCCGAAAGAGGTCTCTGGCTGGCAGCCGACAAATAAAAAGGGACCTCAGTCCTATAGTTGCAAGGAACAAGAATCTGCCAACAATCTGAATGAGACTGGGTATGGGCTGTCCCCAGGGCATCCAGAAAAGAGCCCAGCCAGGCCCACACTTTGATTTTGGCCTTTGTAAGAAGCTAAGCAGAGGCCAGGTGCAGTGGCTCACACCTCTAATCCCAGCACTTTGGGAGGCTGAGGTGGGTGGATCACCTGAGGTCAGGAGTTGGAGACCAGCCTGGCCAGCATGATGAAACCCCGTCTCTACTAAAAATACAAATATTAGCCAGGCATGGTGGCACATGCCTGTAACCCCAGCTACTCCGGAGGCTGATACAGGAGAATCGCTTGAACCCAGGAGGCAGAGGTTGCAGTGAGCCGAGATCACACCACTGCACTCTGGCCTGGGCAACAGAGCAAGACTCTGTCTCAAACAAAAAAAAAAAACAAAAAAAAGAAGAAGAAAAAGAAGAAGAAGCTAAGCAGAGAGCCCAGCCAAGCCCACCCTGAATTCTGACCTACAGAACTGTGAACTAACTATGAACTAACAAAGGATATTGTTTTAAACCAGTAAATTTGTTATACAACAATAGAAAGCTAATATAACCACTTAGAAAAAAGGCTGTATTTGTATCTGAAAGAACTATGAACATAAATTTAGAAACAAAACATAAGACTAATTATTGTTCAGTAATATAAAAATATCGACCTAAAACTTATTTTATTTTCTTCTTCTTCTTTTTTTTTTTTTTTTTCTCAGAGACAGGATCATGCTCTGTCACCCAGGTAGGAGTGCAATGGAGCAATCACAGCTTATTGCAACCTCAAACTCCTGGCCTCAAGCAATCCTCCCCCTTCAGCCTCCCAAGTAGCTGGGACTACAGGCGTAAGCTACTGCATCTGGTCCTAAGACTTACTTTCAATACTCATCTTTTAAACATTTCTGTAAAGGAGTAAGGTGTCTAAATACATAATACTTAGCTTTTAATTCAAAACATTAACATGAAAAAGTAAATAATTGATTGGATCAAGTTTCCACTTATCACATATCCACATTTGTCTCTCACTACAAAGTAGAAGGCTCCAGGGAACTAGAGTAATGGAGGAAAAAGAAAATGTAACCACAATTTGGAGAAACTTTTTATTTTTTTGAGACAGAGTCTCACTCTGTCACCGAGGCTGGAGTGTAGTGGAAGGATCTCGGCTCACTGCAACCTCCAACTCCCAGGTTCAAGTGATTCTCCTGTCTCAGCCTCCTGAGTAGCTGGAATTACAAGCGTGTGCCACCAATCCTGGCTAACCTTTGTATTTTTAGTAGAGTCAGGTTTCACCATGTTGGCCAGGCTGGTCTCGAACTCCTGGCCTCATGTGATCCACCCACCTCATCCTCCCAAAGTGCTCGGATTACAGGCATGAGCCACCAAGACCGGCTGGAGAAACTTTTTAAAGGTTCTGATATTTCAAATAGAAAACTTCCACTCATACTGTTCCAAGTAGAGAAAGGCAACAACTTCCCAGAATACACAGAATGACATCTCAGGTGATGATAATCAGTGGCCTTCCACCCTTTTCCACCATAATCATTTCTCTTTCCTTTTGTTTTTGTTTCAGTTTTTTTTTGTCTGTTTTGTTTTATTTTATTTATTTATTTATTTTTTTAATAGAGTCTTGCCCTGTTGGCCAGGCTGGAGTGCAGTGGTGCAATCTCAGCTCACTGCAACCTCTGCCTCCTCGGTTGACATGATTCTCCAGCCTTAGCCTCCCAAGTAGCTGGGACTACAGGTGTGTGCCACATCTGGCTAATTTTTATATTTTTAGTAGAGATTGGGTTTTGCCATCTTGGCCAGGCTGGTCTTGAACTCCTGACCTCAGATGATCCACCCACCTTGGCCTCCCAAAGTGCTGGCATTAGAGGCGTAAGCCACCGCATCTGGCCCATTTCTCTTTTCTTTCCTCTTCCTCCTGGACCCTCCCTTCAAAACCTATTTCTGGTCATCATGGTGGCTCACGCCTGTAATCCTAGCACTTTGGGAGACTGAGGTGGGCGGATCACCTGAGGTTGGGAGTTCGAGACCAGCCTGACCAACATGGAGAAACTCCATCTCTACTAAAAATACAAAATTAGCCAGGCGTGGTGGTGCATGTCTGTAATCCCAGCTACTCAGGAGGCTGAGGCAGGAGAATTGCTTGAATCTGGGAGGCAGAGGTTGCAGTGAGCCAAGATAGTGCCACTGCACTCCAGCCTGGGCAACAAGAGCAAAACTCCATCTCAAAAACAAAACAAAACAAAACAAAACAAACAAACAAACAAAAAACTTATTTCTTTGCTTTTACTTTATTATGTCTTCATTAAAAGCCCATGTTGAGATAATGGGAAGGAGTTTGGAATGGACCAGAAAGATGTGAATTCAAATTCCAGTTTTGCAACTTACTCCCTATAAGGTCTTTAACATGATGTTTGACTTTATTTTCCTCATCTATTAAATGTATAATAAGGCCTATCTGGCAGAATTACTGTGAAGATTTCAGATGACCTGAGCAATTCCAGGTGCTTGATAATTTAAAATAATAACTATTATTATTACATAATTAAAATAATTAGTATAATAAATATTATTGATATCCATTCCCTTTAACCAGCCTGTGGCTACCAGTGATAATTCTCACACATCGGCCAGTGTTTACAGTTTTCCCTCCACCACCTGGATGTCTCCTCACCAGCCCAATGAAATAGACAAGGCAAGTATTATTATTCTTCAATTTATAAATAAGTCACTGACGCTCAGGGAGGCTGAATGACTTAACCCTGAGAAACAGTGAAACAGAAAACCAACATGTCTAATGTCTCCCAATAAGTTTTTTTTTTCCTGTTTCACTAGTGAGCGCACAACTCACACCAATGTGGTGCTTCAAGTTGAAAGAATTTCTTATCTTACAGTGTGTCACACCCAGGCTTTGGTTTAAGATGAAAGAATGATATGTATACTCACAGAACCAGGGCCCTTGCTGGCTACAGTAGGCAGGGCAACAGGTAAGGCTGCAGGGGCAGGGGGGGTGACTGAAATGTCACCAGCTGGATCTCTAGCAACGAGCATCCTGACTGAATTCCCACAGTTCCTTAGAACTTGTGCAACTTGCTCACTGGTCATTCCCTGCACGTTTGTGCCACCAATCTTCAAGATGTGGTCCCCTGTCTGGAGTCTTCCATCCTTCAAGAAAAAGACAAAATTATTTTGAGAAATAAATGCTGTAACTTCACTGGTTAATAACAATTCATCAGACTTTCAGCTCTGGCAAAATGGCTGACAAAGAAGCCACCTAAAATGCTGAATAAAATGGAATACTGTTAATAACTGGTTGAAATGGCAAGAGTAAAGGAATTTCATGTAGAACACAAAGGAATGGCTCAAAATGAGAAAAGTAATCAGTATTCTAAAAAAGGCCTTTGTTGAGGGTATAAGCTCATGCCTAATGGCCTAGAGTTGGGTGTTAATGGTCACGTGTGCAAGGAAGAGGACAGAAAGGCCAGGGCCTCAAGAAGGAAAGGTCAGAACAGAAGCCTCCAGCATAAAACTGGGAACTTCACAACCAACATCCTCAGTGACATGTTTGAGGAATAGAAAGATGCCAGTGCGGCTACAAGAAAATGAGGAAAAAGAAGAGTAGTCTAAGAGATGGGAGAGTTAATGGAGTCAGACAGTATAGGGCATCTTCTTTTCATGATTGGGAAGAGAAGGCATCGAGCAGAGTTTTGAAACAGAGGAGTGACATTACCTGACTGACTTTAACAACATAATTCAAGCTTCTGTGCTTAAAATAAACTACAGAAGAGGAAACAATAGAAGCAAAGATACAAGTTGGGAGGCCTTAGCAATAATCCACAATAGCTTGGGTGTGTTTCACAGTTGGGGTGTTCAGAAGTGAGATTCTAGATAGATAGACAGATAGATAGATAGTTTTTTGTTTTGTTTTGTTTTGAGTCAGAATCTCACTCTGTTGCCCAGGCTGGAGTGCAATGGCATGATCTCAGCTCACTGCAACCTCCGCCTCCCAGGTTCAAGCAATTCTCCTGCCTCAGCCTCCTGAGCAGCTGGGATTACAGGCGCGCACCACCACGCTCGGCTAATTTTTGTATTTTTAGTAGAGATGGGGTTTCACCATGTCAGGCTGATCTCAAACTCCTGACCTCTTGATCCACCCGCCTCAGCCTCTCAAAGTGCTGGGATTACAGGCATAAGCCACTGCGCCCGGCCAAGATATATTTTTAATAAACTGTCAATAGGATCTGCAGATAGCTTCTATATGGGCTGTGAGGGAGGAAAAGGAGTCAAAACTCCAAGTTTTTAGCCTGAGCAACTAGAAAGATAGAGTTGCCATGAACTGAGATGCAGACTACAGAGGTACAGATGGGCGAGGTGGAAATCAGGAGTTCAGTTTCAGAGCTGTTGTCTTAGATACCTATTAGACATTCAAGTAGAAGTAACAGGTATACAGCCAGATACACAAACCTGAAGTTCAGTAGAGAAATCCAGACTATGTATTTAAATTTGGGAGCTGGGGAGAGGTCAAACAAACAAACAACAACAACAACAAAACACCTTGCGGGTCATTAGCACATAGGAGGTATTTATAGTCATGATTCTGCCAGCACAGTGGCTCACACCTGTAATCCCAGCACTTTGGGAGGCCAAGGTGGGTGGATCACTTGAGGCCAGGAGTTCGAGACCAGCCTGGCCAACATGGAGAAACTCCATCTCTACTAAAAATACAAAAATTAGCCAGGTGTGATGGCACATGCCTGTAATCTCAACTACTCGGGAGGCTGAGGCATGCGAATCACTTGAACCTGGGAGGCGGAGGTTGCGGTGAGCAAAGATCACGCCACTGCACTCCAGCTTGGGCGACAGAGCAAGCCTCTACCTCATAAAAATAAAATAAATAAATAAATAAGTCAAGATTCCAGATGAGTTGAAAGAAAAGATACATAATGTTATATTTCTTAAGCTAGGTGGTATGTATTACACACTGGTAATTATTGTTTTGTTTTGTTGAGATAGAGACCCACTCTGTTGCCCAAGTTGGTCTTGCAAATAATTATTGTTTTAATTATCATTTAAAATGTGTACAGATATTATATACATTCTTTTATATGTATGTATATTTCATACACAGAAGGTAAATAATAATTTATCAAAATGAGTATCTGTTCAAAGTGTTCATCATTTCCCTTCTTTGATAAATTTTTGAAACAGCTAATTTTTACAAAATTTTTCCTAAATTTGTTTAGTCAGAAATTCTGAATTCACTTTATTATAGTGTATTAAAGATACCACAATGTTAACACAGCTGGCTTCATTTAAACTTATACATGCAGAGCACCTTACAGGTTCAAAATCACTTTCATGTACCATCTCACTTAGAGAAGGACAACTTTCAAATGAGAAAATTGAGATACAAACAGTTTGACTGACTTGACCAAGGTCACAAAGCTGATAAAAAGGTTGAACCAAAGCTGAATCCAAGTTGCTCACCGAAGACTATTCTCATTTCAGTTATTTGCCTTATACTTCAGTATCTCCAGAGTAACATTACTGTAGCAAGTCAATCTCCTACAAGCAAAGGCTGCTAGTAGATAGTAAATTTATTGCTTTCCTATTCTCCAAGAAACTGCCTATAACTCTCAAAAAGTTTGAATGAAATGAAGATGAAAAATAGATATCCTGCAACATGGAGAGAAAGCTTGAAAAGAGAGCAATGACTACTGGGTTAATCCAGTTCTGAGCTTCAAATTCCTAGTTCCAGGTGGCACCACCGCAAGCTAAAGACGACAATCTGAAGGAAGAAGTTTTTTAAAAAACCCTTAGACTGAAAAGTCTATTCTCCATCCTTCCTTTTCTCCAATTTTACAGGAACCTAAATGAAGGAATGCTTTAGATTGAAATAATACGTACAAAGCTCTGTGCTTTGTTGTAAATGCTGCAGAAGCCACTAGAAGGGACT
Organism: Homo sapiens; assembly: GCF_000001405.40. Taxonomy (NCBI): domain Eukaryota; kingdom Metazoa; phylum Chordata; class Mammalia; order Primates; family Hominidae; genus Homo; species Homo sapiens. The sequence goes on along the minus strand of NC_000001.11, from coordinate 61,784,962 downwards.
GGAAGTGTAGAGAAGTGGTGCAGCGGAAATGCAATTTAATTCAGAAACATCTGGAAAGACTTAGAAAACAGAAACAGAGGCAAGGAGGACATTGTTATGAAAAAAAGAATGAAGAATTGCTGGATTTCTACTTTAATAGTGATAATCTGATATTCTGTTTTCATGCATGCAACAGACTTGAAACAACATAAGCAACTACTTAAGAGAAAGTCAGTGGTGCTGATGAAAAATAAGGGTAAAGTTGCCTCTGTAAATCAAACTATTCTTCAACAGAATTATGCACTGATCAAAAAATTAAAAAATATATATGTCTAATAAGTGTTTTCATACTTGGCTTGGCCAAAGAAGGGCATTTTATCATAAAGTATATTTTTAGTCACTTCCTAGGCATTATTTTTCTTCTATTTTATCTCAACTCTTAATTTAAAATGATGTCGATAATTTGCATCTGTCACTGAAAGTCAAACATTTTCTTGCTACAGAAAAGCAGGTGTTCTGAAGAATTCATAAGTACAAAAATAGTCATTAGTCAGATTGATAGAAAGACACCAAAATGACAGCTACCTTGTCTAAGTCCAGCAGCCCCAGTCTGCATTTTATTGATATTTTCTGATCAACATTTTCCGTCCATAACCTGTCTTCTGTGTGAGGAAACTAAAAGGCATAAAGTCCCTTTTGTTCTTTAACAGAAATCATCAATCAATGAAAACCAATAAATAGCTATGCCAAGATTCAAGTACGTAGCGTGCTAATCAAACATTCACATATAAAAGTTTTATTAATCCATAGATTCTTTCAAAAGAGAAAAAAATTATGCATATTGGCAAAGATAGTATGAAAGGCAGAAAAATTAAAACAGCTGAAGCAACAGGGTATCACACACTTACAGTGAATGTACACCTGTAATCCCAGCACTTTGGGAGGCCGAGGTGGGCAGATCACCTGAGGTCAGGAGTTTTTGTTTTTGTTTTTGTTTGAGAGGGAGTCTCACTCTATCACCAAACCAGCCTGGCCAACATGGTGAAACCCCATATCTACTAAAAACACAAAAATTAGCTGGGCATGGTGGTGAGCGCCTGTGATCCCAGCTACATGGGAGGCTGAGGCACAAGACTTGAACCTGGGAGGTGGAGGATGCAGTGAGCCAAAATCATACCACTGCACTCCAGCCTGAGCAACAGAGCAACACCCTGTCTCAGAAAAAAAAAAAAAAAAAAGTAGCAACTCTGGGCTAAAAAAAAACTCACATTACTTTGCATTTTAACTTCTCTGATATGCTGTTGTGGATGATAATTTAAAAAAAAAATTTTAAACCTATAGGAATTCAGACCTGAGCTACAAAAGAAGAAATCAAATTTGTTTCTTCAAAAACTAAAAAATGAATCCAGGTACCATGGCTCATGCCTGTAATCCCAGCACTTTGGGAGGACTGCTTGAAGTCAGGAGTTGGAGGCTGCAGTGAGCTAGGATCGCACCACTGCACTCTAGCCAAAGTGACAGAGCAAGACTCTGTCTCTATTTAAAAAAAAAAAAAAAAAAGAAAAGAAAAGAAAGGAAAAAAAAAGGCACCAAATACTTCCACAACTCAGACAATGAAATCATAACTATGTTTGATTCCAGGCCAGTTTTATTATTGGTCTTCAATCAAAAGGCAACATGCCATTGATAGAAAAGGGTAACTTTACAAAATAAAATACACTGTTTCCCTAAAGGAATTAAAGAAACTATCCTATCCTACTCAAATTCCCAGAGCACTCATTAACTGATTTTTATAGATAAAGAAAATATCTGTTTATATAATCACTCAAAGCAAAATTGCTTGGGACTAACCAACCATTTAGTGACCTCAAGCTGGGCCTTCCTTACTCTACACTGAAAGTCTCTCAAAGTTCACATCCACCCTCAAACCCTTGCTTGGTTCCATTCCTTCCTAGTATTAGGTTACTGGGTAGTCAGTAGACTCATATTATAACTGTTTCATACCAAAATGTCAATCATTTATGACAACCTTTAAATAGGCTGTGTTCTGAAGACAACGAGGTATTCCGGTATACCTGACCGCCCTAGAACTTCGCCAGACCACATGAAAGAGGTTTCTGCACTTCAAGGGTTTTACACTGCCTGTTATCAATGTCACACAAAACAAAACAAAAAGTACCTCCCAAAAAAATGTTTAACTCTTGCCACAACTGATAGAATGTTCTCAAGGTGAGTGTTTCAAGCACTGTGAATTTTGGAGAGGCTCTGAGGCTTACAGGGAGATAGGCCTTTTAGCTACCCTTTTAATATCATAGAATTTCTCTATCCATGGAATTGGCCTGATTATATTAACTGATTGGACATTGTAACTAGATCTCAACAAATGTTTCTTAAAAGATTCCTATAAATCAATTTTTTAAAATAAATAAATGCTATTTTCTACTTCATTTCTTTTACATCATTAGCAGCAGGACACAACAGAAAGACAGGTAAGGGCTTTGGAGTCAGATGCACCCAAGTTCAAATCTTAGCTCTACTTTGGACAAAGTGTATGGCCAAAGGTCAGTTGTTCATCCTCCCTAAGTCTCAGATCCTTCTTAAGCAAAATGAGAATACATTTCTCTCCCAGTGGGTTATAAGCATTTTGGGAACTAAGAGGCATTGTGCTAAGCATGTTACATTGATTAACATTGAATTTTCACACAGCCTCTTATTTAAGGCAAGCAAAATTATCTCCTGCCAAAAAATAAAAAAAAGCATTAATGGCAGGCCTAAGACTACTTTCCTTGGAAAGGCCTTCTCACAAGGTTAGCCCTTGGCTAACACCTGGGAGCTTAGATTCTGTGAGGGTTCTCACCATTCCCTGGTAAAAATGGCTCTAGGTGCCTAAAGTGTAGTCTCTCCTGAACACCTGCATTCTTCTGCAAGTCTAGGACTTCGGTATATGCTACACAGTGTGTGCCTATGTGACCAGCATCCAGTAACAACCCTGTGCAGAGTCTCTGATGGGCTTCCATGGCAGACATTTCAGATGTGTGGTCATAATTCACCACTGGAAGACTTAAGTGTGTCTGTCCTATATGACTCCATGGGGAGCGGACTCGTGGAAGCTTGTGCCTGGTTTCCTCCAGTCTCCACCTCATGCACCTTTTCCATGTTGATTTTGCTTTGTATTCTTTCACTGTAATAAATATAGCTGTGGGTGTAACTGTATGCTGAGTCCTATGAAACCTCCTAGCAAGTCATCAAATCTAGTGGTCTTGGGGACTATTTTAGAAACATAGAATTAAGCCAAGAAGTCAATTGCCCAGGGTGAGAGGTGGATCCAGAATTCAAGCCTTCATCTGTCTGATTCTAAAGCTCACACACTATAATCCTATGCTCTTTCCTTTCAGAGGCTAATTTGGATGTAGGTGTGCTGAGAATTTCTCCAAAGGTAGATAATAGGGAGGGTGTATACCACATCTTGTGCCATAGCCTAGGGCCTGAGGGTGCTGCAGCTTAAGTCATTTCATGAGTTATAGAAAGCATAACATTGACTGGTAATAAGCAACAAATGGGGCCAGGCTGAGGAAGGAGATAAGTTGGTTATAGCAAGAAGGCTGAAGAGATTTTATCTGCCATCAGCTGACATGAGAGGAAAGGAGAAGTGAATAGTGCTCTGTCCCCTATGGCTAGGCCTTACCATATGCCCTAGAAGAGATAATAGCTCTCTTGTTCCTAGAGCTGGCTACTCCCTGTTGATGGATGTGAACAATTGTGCACAGGTGTATATCAGGAAAAGGAAAACACTAGGATTAACTTTGGATAAATTCAAACAACAAAGCTCAGACTTCAGAATCAAACAGGTACGGGCTCAATCCTGACTTTGTGGCTCACCTAGCTGCTGTAACCTAGGGCAATTTCTTAATGGTTTCCATATCTATAATTTGGGAATAAAACTTCTAAGAGTATTTTGAAGGTTACATGAGAATAATGTACATTAAGCAGATAACAATGTCTGGCGTAAGTACTTCCTTCTCTTTGAGCACTTATGACCCTATGACAAGCATACCCTCTACCTCCTCTTTGATGATCTGAAATAGTGACGATCCCTTCCAGTAAAGGGCGAAAATCAGACTTGGGCTTTTTCCAACAATGCCTCAATGGGATTAATCTGGGAAACTCTGCACATCTTATTCTTGTGAAAATTCATAAAGCATGTTAGTATTTTAAAAGCTCAGAAAATTCTTACAGTAAAGAAACCTATTGGATTTTGTTTAAATTTACTTGACCCTTTGTTGTTCACAATAACCACTCCACTTTGCATTTTGGAAAAAAAAAAATGCCACTCCAACAAACAAACCTATTAAAATTGCTAAGGCAGAGGCAGGAGGAGGGAGGGAATACAAAGAAAGGCATCCCAAAATTTTCTGCAATATTTTATTATTTCCAGGTTATAAAAATTTTTTTTAAGAATCCTTAAAGAATATTGTGTTGTGCCACAGATGTGTGTGGTTTTTGTTTGTTTGTTTGTTTTGAGAAAGAGTCTTGCTCTGTCGCCCAGGCTGCAGTGCTGTGGCGTGATCTTGGCTCACTGCAACCTCTGCCTCCCAGGTTCAAGCAATTCTCATGCCTCAGCCTCCTGAGTAGCTGGGATTATGGGCATGCACCTCCACACCTGGCTAATTTTTTGTATTTTTAGTAGCGACGGGGTTTCACCATGTTGGCCAGGCTGGTCTCGAACTCCTGACCTCAAGTGATCCACCCAGCTCGGCCTCCCAAAGTGTTGGGATTACAGGCATGAGCCACTGCACCCAGCCACAGATGTGTTTTAAAGGTCTATAAAATGAACATTCTCAAACATTCTGGTCTCAGAACTTGCTACAGTTTGGATGTTTGTCCCCCCCAAACCTCATGTTGAAATCTCATCCCCATTGTTTGAGGTGGGGCCCAGTGGGAGGTGTTTGGGTCATGGGGGTGAATCCCTCATGAATGGCTTGGTGCAGTGAGTTCTTGCTCTGAGTTCTCTGCAGTGCGTTTACTTAGTGCAGTGAGTTCTCACTCTGATTGTTAAAAAGAGAGTTGCCCCCCACCCACCACTTCCTCGCTGCCCACGTGATCTCTGCACACACTGGCTCTCCTTCACCTTCCACCATGGAAGCAGCCTGAGGTTTTCCCCAGATGCCCAATTTTCCAGCCAGCAGAGCTGTAAGCTAAATAAACCTATTTTAAATTACCCATCCTCAGATATTTCCTTATAGCAACACTAAATGGATAAAGACAGAACTCCTTTACATTCTTAAAAATTATTAAGGATGGAGGGATAGGAATTACAAAGTAGTACGGGAATCTGCTGGGGGTAATGAATACGCTCATTATCTTGATTGTGGTAATGATGGTATAACAGTTAAATTACATGTGTCATCTGGGCTGTGGTGCTGACTGTTTTGGTCAAACACTAATCTAGATGTTGCTGCAAAGGTATTTTGTAAATGTGATTAGCATATACAAACAGTTGACTTTAAGTAAAGGAAAATTACCCTCAATGATGTAGGTGAGCCTCATCCAATCAGTTGAAGAATTCACAAGCAAAAACTGAGCTTTCCTAGAGAAGAAATTCTGCCTCAAGAATGTAACAGAGCTTCCTCAGACATTCTGCCGGCCTGCCCTATAGATCTCAAACACAAGACTACAACATCAACACTTGTCTGGGTTTCCAGCCTCCTGGCCTTCCCTACGTATTTTGGACTTGCCAGCCCCCACCATGGCATGAGCCAATTTTTTAAAATAATATCTTTTTTAAAGTAATCACACGCATGTCCTATTGGTTCTGTTTCTCTGGAGAAATCTGGTAAAGATGAATCCACAAATGTATACATATGCAAAAATTGGTACTGAGGAATTTTTAAAATATTTAATATTTAGTATGTTAATTTTTATCATTTATGTATATTATGTCATTATATTTTTAAAAGAGCTATATTTTCCAAAACAAAAAATATTCGCCAGGCTTGATGGCTCACACCTGTAATCCTAGCACTTTGGGAGGCCGAGGCAGATGGATCATAAGGTCAGGAGTTCCAGACCAGCCTGGCCAACATAGTGAAACCCCATCTCTATTAAAAATGTAAAAATTAGCCAGGCATGGTGGCACATGCCTGTAGTCCCAGCTACTTGGGAGCCTGAGGTAGGAGAATCGCTTGAACCTGGGAGGCAGAGGTTGTGGTGAGCCAAGACTGCACCACTGCACTCCAGCCTGGGCAACAGAGCAAGACTCCATCTCTCTCTCTATATATATATATATTAGTAAGAGTGGGACTGTTTAATATTTTTACAAATCTCTTTAATATCTGGCTTAAAACAGCTGGACTCATCTGCTTCTGCATTCAGTATGTTACAATATACTGTTTTGGATGATGTATATGAAGAATATCTGGCCTCAATCAGATATATAGTTGGAAAGGGGAGGGGTATTATAATAGTCCTTTCAGCCTATTCTTTGATAACACACCAAAACTTGGCAAGTGGTGGTTTCTTATACAGTTACAATGTAGAATCTGGAACCATATCAACAAACTTTCAGACACTATTTTATTAAAATCCACTGATCTATCTTGATTTTTGAAAGGATCTTTTAGCTACATATTATTTTGTCATATCACATATTGGTCTTCAGAAAATATTGAGGCTGGGTATGGTGGCTCACACCTATAATCCCAGCACTTTGGAAGGCCTAAGCAGGAAGATCGCTTCAGGCCAGGAGTTTGAGACCAGCCTGGGAAACAAAGCGAGACTGTCTCTACAAAAAATAAAAATAAGGCCAGGCGGGTGCAATGGCTCACACCTGTAATTCCAGCACTTTGGGAGGCCAAGGCGGGAGGATCACTTGAGCTCAGGAATTTGAAATCAGCCTGGGCAACATGGTGAAACCCCACCTCTACAAAAAATAGAAAAACTAGCTAGGCATGGTGGCCTGGGTCTGTAGTCTCAGCTCCCCCAGAAGCTGAGGTGGGGGGATCACTTGAGCCCCAGAGGCAGAGGCTGCAGTCAGCCAAGATAGCACCACTGCACTCCAGCCTGGGTGACAGAGTGAGACCCTGTCTCAAAAAAATAAAAATAAAAATAAATTAGCCTAGCATGGTGGTACATGCCTGTAGTACCAACTACTCGGGAGACTGAGGTAGGAGGACTGCTTGAGCCTGGGAGGTCGAGGCTGCAGTGAGATAGGATCACGCCACTGCACTCTAGCCTAGGCAAAAGAGCAAGACTATGCTAAAAAAAAAAAAAAAAAAAAAAAAGAAAGAAAGAAAGAAAAAAGGAAGAAAATAGAATATCCATTCACAGTTATGCAGACCTTCCAAATACCGACATATTTCATCATATAATATCAAGACAATCATATTGGTTAATATCAATCAACAATCTAATCAGAAATGCCTTTCTTTTCTTTTGTTTTTATTTTTTTTCTTGAGACAGGGTCTTACTCTGTCGCCCAGGCTGGATGGAGTTCAGTGCCACAATCTCGGCTCAAAGCAGCCTCTACCTCCTCCCACCTCAGCCTCCCAAGTAGCACCATGCCCAGCTAACTTTTGTGTCTTTTGTAGAGACAGGGTTTTGCCATATTGCACAGGCTGGTATCGAACTCCTGGGCTCAAGAGAGCCTCCCACCTTGGCTTCCCAAAGTGCTGGGATTACAGGCATGAGCCACCACGCCCAGCCTTAGAAAAGCTTTTAAGTATTAGGGAAATGTCATGCTTATGGTAAAATACAAATTTTCCAAAATTCTAATTTTTTGCTTAAGCTCAAATTTTATTGTTGCTAACAAACAGTGTCAGTTGTTTTCCTTGAAATAACAGGTTCACATCATCCATTCTCAAGAAAACATCTTCCAAATACCCAAGTCTGGATAAACATAATTTTTCTGCACTTATTTTTATAAAAATAAAAATGTGTTCCACATAAAAAAGTAGCAGATTTGGCTGGGTGCGGTGGCTCACGCCTGTAATCCCAGCACTTTGGGAGGCTAAGGCGGGCGGATCACGAGGTCAGGAGATCGAGACCATCATAGCTAACACGGTGAAACCCCGTCTCTACTAAAAATACAAAAAATTAGCTGGGCATTGTGGCAGGCACCTATAATCCCAGCTACTCGGGAGGCTGAGGCAGGAGAATGGCAAGAACCTGGGAGGTGGAGCTTGCAGTGAGCCAAGATCACGCCACTGCCCTCCAGCCTGGGCAACACAGCGAGACTCCATCTCAAAAAAAAAAAAAAAGTAGATTAATCTTGCAGGTGACTTTCCTTAAGACAACCATCAAACTTCAGTACATAGCAAGAATGCTAGGTGGTACTTCCCATTTTGACAATATTCAAAAGACATGTACTAAATGCCATCAAACTTCAGTACATAGCAAGAATGCTAGGTGGTACTTCCCATTTTGACAATATTCGAAAGACATGCACTAAATGATCAAAATTTACTAAAATTAATCATTTTACTGCATCTTAAAAAAATTCAAGTAAAACGGCATTTTTTTTCTTTTTTGTTGCAAGCACATGGCAGAAAATAATGCAATCATTACTATAACGGTTTGTGGCCACTGCCTTTGTTTTGCACCAAGGCACCAGCAGTTTTAGCCTGCAGCTGCTTTTGTACCATCAGTACAAATGTTAGCAGGGTGAAAGGGATAATAACATTGTGGTATTATTGTAAAAGCTGTTTGGATCTCACAGACCACCTGCAAGGCTCTCAGAGCCCTCCAGAGGCCCACAGACCAAACTTTGACAACTGCTGTTCTAAATAAATACTCTTAGGAGCTGAAATGATGATAGGAACATCAGTGGCTCCACAAGCTGCATAAGGTGAAGCAATAGTGATCAGAAATGAAGAGCCAAGGAACTTGCCTTGAAGCTGCATTTGCATGGCAAGTTCATTTTTACTTACGTATGTCTATCAAAAGGGATAAATTTATATGTAACTGGGCAATAATCAGTGAAATTTTACATATCATTCTGATTATGGGAATAACTAAAGTTATTTCTGATTTATCATGCCTATTCTATATGATATGGGCTTATTATTACGTGGCTTCAGAGTCAAATTTCTAAACTAATTTCTAAAAACTAAATGTAGTAATTAACATTTCTTCAATATAAAATTAAGCAGAAACAGTTGCTAATTTTTTTAATAGCCCACTTTCAGTTTAAACACTGCTAAACAATGAAAGGTAGTCATTTAACTTATAAGACCATAAATTTTAATTCAAGTGAAATTTACCATGTATAATATTGGGACAAATGTTTATAATCACTGTATCTTCTGATTTTAACATTTAGGTCATCGAAAGACACACTAGAGGAGAATAATACAGATGTTCAAAATGCAATATTCATTAACAATGCTTTTCAATAAAAAAAATTGTCCTCTGATGTAATCATGAAGCCTGTCAATTATAAGCAAAACAAACCCCAAAAATGTTGATTTAGGAACTGTTTAAAATAAGACTGAGTGTAGCCTAATAATACTTACAGAATAAATCATTTTTAAGCTATACTTAAATTCTTGTTATTAAGTCATATATCCTGGTAACTCATGTTATAAAATTACATTTCAATTCATACAACTTAAATTTTATAAAACCAAAATGATAACAAGGAAGGTTGACTTACTCGATCTGCTAATCCTCCAGGAACTATAGTCCTCACAACCACGCCACTTGTTTTTCCTCCAACTATTCCAAAACCTAGTCCAGAGCCATCATTAATGAGCTCAACCTCTTCAACATGGCCCCAACAAACCTACAAATTAATGGCAAATAAGAGTCGCAGTATCAGTAATACACACAGGTTCTTAGCTTTCCAATACAATCATTACCAAAGTAACAGATTTGCAACAAATTGAACATTCATGCAATTAATCAAGGCAATGTTCTACAGGCTAAGATATACAGACAGAGATAATCATATGGTCCCTGACCGTAGGGATCTTATAATCCAGTAGAGAGAAACTAAAACACAAATAATTAAAATACAAGGCAGAATATTGGATCATAAGGCACTAGCCCTAAGAGCACAGGAAACATTTCTCATTCCTTACGCTGCACTGGATATCCAGCACAGGGCCCAGCACATAGTAGGGACCAGTAAATATGTGTCTGCTTGAAAGAGAATCACAAAATATTATAAAGATTTTTTACAGGGAGGGGAGCACATGAAGTCAAAACCAATGAAGAATTACAGAAAACTTCAAGGAAAAGGGGCATTTAAGTTGCACTACAAAGGAAGACATTTAAGCAAAAAGAAAATATAAGGGCAAAGCTAGGCCAGATAACACAATGGATGAAAGATATGGTCAAAGGTTGGATTTAACTGGGTAATCAAGTGGAAATAGTTAAAGGTTTAGAAGAGAAATGACAGGACCAAAGTAGTGGTTTAAGAAAATTCATATGTGAAGAATCTAATGGTGGTAGGACACGAAGTGTCCTATAGACGAAGTGGAGAGACTAATGAGGGAGAGGACAGGTAGGCCCCATTAAAGATATTAGCAATAGGACTATACAAATCAGACTAAAAGACATAAGTGTTTCCCCTCTAACTAGCAGGTTTCTATAAGAAATGTGCATTACTTCACATAATCCACCTGCAGAACAATATCCTCCCTCTCAAGATCATTAGGGCATACTCATTACTTAGTTTTTCTTTCTTTCTTTCTTTTTGAGACAGGGTCTCACTCTGTTACCCAGGTTAGAGTGCAGTGCATGATCAGAGCTCATGTCAGCCTCAAACTCCTGTGATCATCCATCCTCCAGCCTCAGCCTCCCAAATAGCTGGGACTACAGGCATGTACCACCACGCCCAGCTAATTTTTTTTTTTTTTTTTTTTTTGAGATGGAGTCTTGCTCTATCTCCCAGGCTGGAGTGCAGTGGTGTGATCTCGGCTCACTGCAAGCTCCACCTCCCAGGTTCACGCCATTCTCCTGCCTCAGCCTCCCGAGTAGCTGGGACTACAGGTACCTGCCACCACGCCCGGCTAATTTTTTGTATTTTTAGTAGAGATGGGGTTTCACCGTGTTAGCCAGGATGATCTCGATCTCCTGACCTCATGATCCGCCTGCCTTGGCCTCCCAAAGTCCTGGGACTACAGGCGTGAGCCAAAGTGCCCGGCCATTATCTTTTGTAGAGGTGGGGTGTTTTTTTTTGTTTTTTGTTTTTTGTTTTTTTGAGACAGAGTCTCACTCTGTCACCCAGGCAGGAGTACAGTGGCATAATAGCTCACTGCAACCTCCGCCTGCCAGGTTCAAGCAATTCTCCTGCTTCAGCCTCCCGACCAGCTGGGATTACAAGCATGCACCACCACGCTTGGCTAGTTTTTGTATTTTTAGTAGAGACAGGGTTTCACCATGTTGACCAGGCTGGTCTCGAACTCCTGACCTCAGGTGATCCACCCACCTCGGTCTCCCAAAGTGCTGGGATTACAGGCATGAGCCACTGTGCCTGGCCATAGAGGTGGGGTTTGACTATGTTCCCCAGGCTGGTCTCAAACTCCTGGCCTCAAATGACCCTCCTGCCTAGGCCTCCCAAAGTGGTGGGATTACAGATGTGAGCCACCATACCCATCCAGTTTTTCTATTACACTAAATTGCAAAGTTACTATGCAGTCTTAAATAAAAAGCATTATTGGAGGGCCGGGTGCAGTGACTCAAGCCTGTAATCCCAGTACTTTTGGAAGCCGAGGTGGGCAGATCATGAGGTCAGGAGTTCGAGACCAGCCTGGCCAACATGGTGAAACCCCATCTCTACCAAAAGTACAAAAAAATTAGCCGGGTGTGTTGGCACGTGCCTGTAAATCCCAGCTACTTAGGAGGCTGAGGCAGGAGAATCACTTGAACCCAGGAGGCGGGGGTTGCAGTGAGCCGAGATCACGCCCTGCAGTCCAGCTTGGGTGACAAAGCAAGACTCCATCTCAAAAAAAAGCAATATTGGGATTGTTTAATAAATTCATGTCTAGAACATCTACTATCTGGGAAACAATAATGTTTGCTAAAATAATGTGCCTGACAATACCAGCTGATAGCAGCCAATATTCAGAGAACGTATATGCAGCACCAGGCACAGTGCTTAGTTCTTCACGTGCCTTCTCATTCAAGCCTCATAACATCTCTGAGAACTAGACATCATATCTTCAAAGGAAGATATGAGGTAAAGGAATCTGCCTGGTGTGACACCACTAGGATATGGGAGAAATAGACTTGAATGCATCCAAACCTGACTCCAAAGCCCTTGTTCTTTATACGTTAAACAATGCCCCACTTTATTCACTGTATTTATTATGTAAATTCTGCTGTATAAATATTGCTGATTACAACAGGGAAAATGCCTATACATTAATTTTTGTTGTGACCTTGTATTGTACTGAGACAGTCTTATTTTTTCTTTTGTCCCAATGAATAAAAATTAAATAAATCAGCTAGCACTTAGTGTTATAAGAAAATAAGATTTATTAGCTTGCATTCTGACGATGCAAGCCAAAATCTGTAAAACGTTAAAAAGCAAGTTCAAGGGTTCCCAAAAGAGACATACACTTTTATTCTTTCAAATTGTTCAGTATGTATCTTTACATGAAAAAAAGCCTGCTATAATTTTGCAATATCAATAATCTGGTCATAAATCCCCTTATAATTTTCAAAAATAATGTTTTTCAAATAATCAAACCTTACTTTAAACACTCAACAGTAAATCTCTAATAAAAACTCTCAATTAATTGGCTACATCACCAAGGAATACAAGACTCTCCATCACTAAATAAATTACACCTAATACTTCAATTTGGCCTCCATATTAAATAATAATCTTAAAGGGACCCACAGGACATTGAAAAGACAAAAAAAAAAAAAAAAACGACCGTCATGAAACATCTTGTTTAAATATGCTAACGCTGCATTCAGAGATATGATCATCTTTTTTAACCATGAAAAGTAAAACGGGCCAGGCACAGTGGCTCATGCCTGTAATCCTAGCACTTTGAGAGGCCAAGGCAGGTGGATCACCTGAGGGCAGGAGTTCGAGACCAGCCTGGCCAAAATGATGAAACCCCGTCTCTACTAAAAATACAAAAGAAATAGCCAAGTGTGATGGTGGGCGCCTGTAGTCCCAGCTACTCGGGAGGCTGAGGCAGGAGAATCACTTGATTCCAGGAGGTGGAGGTTGCAGTGAGCCAAGATCTGGCCACTGCACTCCAGCCTGGGCAACAAGAGCGAAACTCCATCTCAAAAAAAAAAAAGGAAAGAAAGGTAAAATGACACCTTCTAAATGTCTTTACACTTCTTACGATCAATGGCATTATTCAAAATTAAGTATTTTTTCAAATTTGCAACTCACTGTTTCAGGCAGAGTTGTATCATTTAGGCTGCTAGAAGTACTGCTTTTTGTGTGGACTGGTTCCCTGGCCACAATCAGTCTCAAAGATCCAGTGGTTTGTTGTAATAATGCAATTGCTTGCTGATGGGAAATGTTCTGATCCAATGGCGTGTGATTAATGGCCAATATTTGATCATTTTCCTTTAATCTTTGATCCCTTAATCATGTAAGAAAAGAAATTTTTTAAGTGATCTAATAACCTGATTTTTAAAAATCTATTAAAGTTAAGCAGTTTGTTGCCTATGGTACTACTTTACTTAGTACATTTATCAAATAAATTATTTAATTATATAACAGAGCTCTTCAGAGTGTTTTTCACAGAAGTTATTAACTAATTACCTAATTTGGTAGTGCATCCTTAAACACACAGACACACTTTAAAAGCTATCTGCCTAGAAAAATAAACAAAAACAATCTATAGGACCCCACCGCCAAGGTTTTGCAAGTATGGACACTGCCTCCATTACTGCATGAACCCAAACCTCCCGAACCCCTTCCAATCTGATCTCTACCCATACCACACTGGGGTAACAATATTCTCAACTACACCAATAACCTCCTCTCACCCCATCTTCACTGTCTACTTGTCCAATATTTATCAATAGAGGCCAAACCCTCCTTGAAAATTCATAGAGATTACTTCCAAATTTATATCTGAGCTTTTTTTTTTTTTTTTCAGGCATGGTCTCACTCCTATTTGCCCAGGCTGGAGTACAATGGCACAATCACACCTCACTGCAGCCTCAGCCTCCCAGGCTCAGGTGATTCTCCCACCTCAGTCTCACGAGTAGCTGAGACTACAGGTATGGACTACCACACCCAGCTAATTTTTGTATTTTTTGTAGAGATGGGGTTTTGCTATGTTACCCAGGCTGATCTTGAACTCCCAAAGTGCTGGGATTACAGCCATGAGACACTGAGCTTGGCCAATCTGAGCCCTTTTAATCTCTCCCAAGCACCAATCTCCCAACTGCTAGCCAGGGTAAGAAGGACTCTTTTTAAAAGAAATTAGCAAAATCTCTAAAGAAAAATAGTATTTACTGAGCACTTATCATGAGTCAGGTACTATGTTGAGTGCTTTACATGCATTATCTCACATAATCCTCACAATCACCTTTTAAAGTACTTAGTAAATTTTAAATATTAAGGAACTGAAGCCTAGACAAGCCTAGCATCTTATCAGGAGTCAGATTCTGAAGCACAGGCTTGAACTTCTTATGTTAAAGTGCATCCTAAAGATAGCCTAGGATTTACTCTGTCCTGGTTTACTGTATTTGATTTTATTATCTCCCAAACACCAGATATTCTTCCTCTTCCTGTTTACCCATTCTCACTACAGTTCTTGAAGAAATGCTGCATTAGATGGCAGAACAAAGATGCAAAGTCACGGAAACTCATTATGTTTGAAATCTGAGTTGGGGAGACTAGAATTAATCCCCCAAGAATGGAGGATGTGAATTCAAAAATGTATTATCAACTAAGAATTTTATAATAATATACTACCATTGTTGCTATTATTCTAACACGTGCATTGGAATAGCATACTTATTAAATGAATAATAAACCAAAGACTGGAAATCAAACAGAGACAAAATAAAAGGCTTGCAAATACCCCTTAAAAAATAAAAGCAAATGCAAACATGGGAGATAACATAGACTTGAGGGGCCTCTTAACTGACAATAAGCATAATAAATCAGGTAGAGTAACATGACCACCAAAATGTTGTTATAATCTTAAGAATAATAAACAATATAATATGCAGAATGAGAACTTCAATATTCCTATCTTACTGATCAGTCCATAGCTAAAATACCATGTTCAGTTGTAAGAGAGGGAAATAGCGCACTAGCTTTGCAGTCAGATGGTCTTGGAATCACATCATGGCTCCAGCATTAACAGCTCTGTGACTATAGGTTGACCACTGAACCTCTCTGAATCTCAGCTTTCTCATCTACAGAATGGAATGATGATACCTATATAGTGGAACTGCTGCCATGGGGTATAGGATTTTCGCAAAAGGCCTGACAAATGCATAGCAAAAACGAAAGCAAAAATGTTAGCTGTTACTGTTACTGTTTTTATTACTAGTTTTTCACTCTCTTTATAATAGTTTTCAGAATTATCAGGAAACAATTAGCAAAATGAAAATAAACAGCTTCCTCACCTGTCTGCTACACTCCCTGGCTGGACATCCTTCACGAAGATATCAACTTTTCCGAGATTTTGACTTCTGAGGGCCACCACACTGAATCCAAGGCCTCCAGTTGAAGGCCGTTCTATATCTATATATTCAATTTGCCGGCCCTAATGAAGGAGCGTTAAAAAAAAAAGTCAATGGTGTACATTTAGCCAACATACTCTGTCTGCAGAACTGAAATTGCTTAGCATAAAAGCAGCTTCCCCTAAGAACCACATAAACTCAGCATTTCAGTAATAAATTATTTCTGGAAATCCTCTCACCTGATTATTTCAGTAGAACGTAAGAGAGAGTGTGTGCAGTGTTCTGCAACCTCAGGGAATCAGAGGTATTTTCACACTTCATTCACATTATGAGATGAATTCCAAGCTGGATGGAAACTCCTGAGAAAAATGCCTTTTCCCATAGTAAATTCTGAATTACTTTTTTACATTGAATTTCCTTAAATTCTCTCAATGCAAAGTACATTTTTATTTTATTTTTTTTCTTGGAGACAGGGTCTCGCTCTGTTGCCCAGGGTAGAGTGCAGTGGCGTGATCTCGGCTCACTTCAGTCTCCGTCTTCTGGGCTCAAGCGATCCTCCTGCCTCAGCCTCCTGGGTAGCTGGGACTATAGGCATGCACCACCATGCCTGGCAAATTTTTGTATTTTTTGTGGAGACGGGGTTTCGCCATGTTGCCCAGGCTGGTCTCAAACTCCTGAGCTCAAGCGATCCACCCGCCTCAGCCTCCCAAATTGCTGGGATTACAGACGTGAGCCACAGTGCCCAGCCGCAAAATATATTTTTAAATGAGGAAAATAGATATATCAAAAATGCCAGTATTTAGCCTGTCAGAACCAGCTGCATTTTATAGGGCTCTGTTTTTAATTCTATTGTTGATTAATTGATATCTATTTATTTATTTATTTATTTATTTTTTGAGACGGAGTCTCACTCTGTCGCCCAGGCTGGAGTGCAGTGGCGCAATCTCGGCTCACTGCAAGCTCCGCCTCCTGGGTTCACGCCATTCTCCTGCCTCAGCCTCCCGAGTAGCTGGGACTACAGGCGCCAGCCACCACGCCTGGCTAATTTTTTTGTATTTTTAGTAGAGACGGGGTTTCACCGTGTTAGCCAGGATGGTCTCGATCTCCTGACCTCGTGATCCGCCTGCCTTGGCCTCCCAAAGTGCTGGGATTACAGGCGTGAGTCACCATGCGCAGCCCAATTGATATTCTATTTATTAGGTAAATTCAAAAGACTCTGAAAAGGCCACCATTTACACGGGTTCTACCTGTAAGAACAGGTAGAACTGTTCTTGTGACAGCCAGGTATTTTATTGCTTTAGTTAGTAACTGCACTTATGAGAACTTCATAAATGTAATCAACTAAAAAAAGCACCACATAAAAATAATTACTAGTCAGATGAAAGAGATAGAACTGGCCCGGCGCAATGGCTCATGCCTGTAATCCCAGCACTTTGAGAGGCCGAGGCGGGAGGATCACGAGGTCAGGAGAGACTATCATGGCCAACATGGTGAAACCCTGTCTCTACTAAAAATACAAAAATTAGCCAGGCGTGGTGACACACGCCTGTAGTCCCAGCTACTCGGGAAGCTGAGGCAGGAGAATCGCTTGAACCCAGGAGGTGGAGGTTGCAGTGAGCCAAGATTGGGCCACTGCACTCCAGCCTGGGCAACAGAGCAAGACTTCATCTCAAAAAAAAAAAAAAAAGAAAAGAAAAGGAAAGAAAGAAAGGGATAGAACTATAAAGTCAAAAACTAGGACCAGAATATTATTTAATTATCACACCTTAAACAGATTCTATTTAACACTGCAACTTAAGTTTGTCTATTTATTTATTTATTTTTTAAGAGACAGGTCTTGGCTCTGTCACCCAGGCTGAAGTACAGTGGTACGATCATAGCTCACTACAGCTTTGAATTTCTGGGCTCAAGTGATCTGCCAACATCAGCCTCCTAGGTACCTGGAGCTACAGGTGAGTGCCACCATGCCCGACTATATTTTTATTTTTATTTTTGTAGAGATGGGGGTCTCCCTACATTGCCCAGGCTGGTCTTGAACTCCTGGCTTCAAGCAATCCTCCTGCCTCTGCCTCCCAAAGATTATAGATATAAGCTACCACATTCAAACTTCATTTCATTTTTAATGGCACTTGAAGGTCGAGGTGAACATACATAAAACTAACATGTCCAAAATTTTAATTGTTTATTATTTAATTTTTAATAGGTATTAGGGGCTACAACCAGATTATCCTTCCAAATGTTTTCTAGATTTTCCAAATTACATTAGTTCTAATTTCCATTAATTATGGGGTGTCACCCAGGCTGGAGTACAGTGGCGCAATCTCGGCTCACTGCAACCTCCGCCTCTGGGGTTCAAGCGATTCTCCTGCCTCAGCCTCCCAACTATCTGGGATTACAGGTGCCTGCCACCACGCCCGGCTAATTTTTCTATTTTTAGTAGAGACAGGGTTTTGCCATGTTGGTCGGGCTAGTCTCAAACTCCTGACCTCTAGTGATCCACCCTCCTCGGCCTCAGAAAGTGATGCAATTACAGGTGTGAACCACTGCGCTTGGCCAAAAATCTTATTTTAACAAGAATAGAGATGTGTTCAATTAGTCATTGTCTAAAAACTCTCCTTAGCAAGACCTTATCTCAAAAAATAAATGTTAATTTTTTTTTAAAAAGCTCTCCTTACCACATACATGGATACTTTCCTTATGTAATTTTAAGTCAATAAATTTTCAACACACAGGTTAGAAAATGGTGTCAGTTTCTCCTAACAATATAAAAATAGAAGCAAGCAAAATACATACTAATACATTTTACAGCAAAAAGAATGAGTATAAGCTCCTTTGTAAAACTAAAACAGGAGAAATGAAGCTAAATATTTCCATGAGAAGATACAACTTTACCTGAGCCATCTGTTGAATGACTGAGTTAAAGTCTTCATTTCCCAACTTCGGGGTCCACGGAAATAACCCAGATACAGTCGAGTTATTAGAGGGCCTGTGGACATTTCCATTAGTGATGGAACCATCTGTGAACACTAACAAACCTTTCCTAGAAAAATCAAAGTTGGCTGAACAATCTGAGGGTATATGGTTGAGCTGTTGGAGAGAAAAAAAAAGAATCAACAGAAATCTATAGAAAAATTGTTTCTATTTATTAAATATATTTTGACCATTACATAGATACTTTGCACATTAAATATATACATGGAAAAGAAATAAGGTAAAGATAGATCAAATCTGTGTATTCACAAGGCTAAAAATTTTTTAAATTTAGTATTACACAAAATGTTTAATAGCTTAAAATTTGTTCTTATTTCCTGCCTTCTACCACTAGTCCAAGTTAACAGCATGTACACTGACATCTTTTTACACTTCACATATACAGATGCATCCAGTCACATAACAGTGTAAGGCACTAAACCTTTTTCCATTTATCTGTACAATTCCACGTGGGGAGCAACAAAAGATCCACAGGTAGTATATAATGATAATAACTGTACTTATTGAGTGCTTGCTATGAGTAAGTACTATACCAGCATGATTGCAGGTATTATCATTTAATTCTTACAACAATCTAATGAGATATCATTATCCCATTTTGTGAGCCTAAAAACCGAGGCACACAGGGGTTAAGTAACTTACTCAAGATTAGCAGTGAGTCACGGAGCCACTTAAACATTGATAGAAAGAGGAGAATCATGTAATTATGGTGGACATAATTTAAAATATCATTGGCTGATACAACTGCCAAAACAGTAGAATAAAGGTAACATTAAGAATAAATGTCAGTGGTGAAACCCCATCGCTATCAAAAATACAAAAATTAGCCGGGCATGGTGGTACACACTTGTAATTCCAAGGTACTTGGGAGGCTGAGGCAAGAGAATTGCTTGAATCCCGCAGGTGGAGGCTACAGTGAGCCGAGATTGCACCACTGCACTCAGCCTGGATGACAGAGCAAGACTCTGTCTCCAAAAAAAAAAACAGAATAAATGTTAGGCCGGGTGTGATGGCTCACACCTGTAATCCCAGCACTTTGGGAGATCAAGGTGGGAGGACTGCTTCAGGGCCAGGAGTTCAAGACCAGCCTGGGCAACATAGTGAGACTCTTGTCTCAACAAAAAATACAAAAATTAGCTGGGCATGGTGTCACATGCCTGTAGGCCCAGCTACTTGGGAGGATGAAGTGGGAGGATTGCTTGAGCCCAGGAGGTTGAGGCTACAATGATCCATAATCACACCACTGTACTCTAGCCCAGGCAAATACTCTGCCTCAAAAAAAAAAAAAAAAAAAAAAAAAAAAAAAAATGAATGTCAATAAAACCTCAAAGAAAAAATAAAAAACCCCTGGCTACAGGGATTATACAGTCCAATGCATAAAATATGACTGTGTACATAACAACTCCAAACTATACAAATATAAAGAATTGTTATTAGGATAGGGTAGTTACAGCCACTCTTAGTCCAACAAGTGTGATAGATTTCTGCTGATCTTTGCCAATTTCAGTTGCTACCAACAGCATTCACTATTGTGATATTCTGTGACCAAGAGAAATACAGAAAGCTAAACATCAATATAGGCAGTGCTAAAATTAGGGTATAAATTCTGGTCTAAAGAAAGCAATTCACAGAAAGACACATGTAGAATTTAATCCTTAATTGGCTATAAACAAATCACTCACAAAATACTTAATGGGCAAGCATTTTAGTTTATCAGCAAAAACCATTTTTTCCCAAATTTTGTAAATTTTCACTTAACTGTGCTAAATTAGCTCCAATTATGTTTTAAATTCTGCCCAAATTTCATCTATGGTATAGCTACTATTCAAGTTCAGCTTCCAGAATAGGTGATTTAAAAGTAATTTGCCATCCCTGACCCCAAAACAAAGAATCCAAGAGGACAGTTAAAACAATTAATTTCTGGTTCAATCTCAGCACCAAAAAAAAAAAAAAATCCCACAACTGCTAATTTGCACCCCTCTAAGAAGAGGTGATATGTGTCCCTTATTCAATAATGATGTATTAGAGCCTGAAGAATCCAGATAGTGTGGTAAATGAGTAGAAGAAACATAACTATATATTTAAATACCAGGTATTCTGCTTCCAAGGAACTTCTAATCAGAATACGCATGAAAGACAACAAATATTTGATAATTAAGAGAAGTGTGACTATTGTGCTATAAGGGCATGATCACTTCTTGTTAGATAAAAGACTTCGGCCGGGCGAGGTGGCTCACGCCTATAATCCCAGCACTTTGGGAGGCTGAGGCAGGTGGATCACAAGGTCAGGAGATACAGACCATCCTGGCTAACACAGTGAAACCCCGTCTCTACTAAAAAAAATAATAATAATAACACACACACACAAAAAAAAAGACCACACACACACACAAAAAAAGACTTCATAAGGAAAATACGCCTGGGCAAGGTGGCTCATGCCTATAATCCCAGCACTTTGGAAGGCTGAGGTAGGAGGACTGCTTGAGGCCAATAGTTTGAGACCAGCCTGGGCAACATAGGGAGACCCTGCCTCTATAAAATTTTTAAAAATTAGCCCAACTGTGGTGGCACACACCTATCCCAGCTACTCTGGAAGCTGAGGTGGGAACATTGCTTGAGCCTGGGAGGTCAAGGCTGCAGTGAGCTAGGATCACAGCACTGCACTCCCGCCTCAGTGACAGAGAGAAACCTTGTCTCAAAATAAAAAGAAAATATATTTAAGTTAAGCACTATTTTATAGTTTTGAAGATGTTGAGAATTCTCAAAGCATCTGACCTTTACATACTTAAATAAGTACAAAAACCATATTCTAAAACCAAACACAATTTTTTTTTTTTTTTTTGAGACAGGGTCTCAACTCTGCCATCCAGGCTGGAGTGCAGTGGCATGATCATAGCTCACTGCAACCTGGAACTCCTGGGCTCAAGCAGTCCTCCCACCTCAGACTCCTGAGTTGCTGGGACTACCGGTACATGCCACCACATCCAGTTACCAAAGAAAAAATTGATTATTGATATTTCTAAATTATCTATGCCAATGCTACCCACAGGTTATAGGTTACAGGTCCCAATACAGTCTCTTTGCTGAACTGAGTCCTTAAAGATAATTTGTCTTTGTCTATCTCCTCTATCTTTCTTTGATGGTTTGAATATATTAATATAATATATTAATGTAAAACTCTGATGGGTAACTTACTTGACCCTTCAGTTGCTTGATGGACTGCTGAAGTGTGAGTATCTGGTTGAAGAGAGGACTCTTTAGTGTCTCATAAAACATAGATAACTTCTCATTCTGCGACGTGTCACCCTTCTCCTGCAATTTCATTTTCAGGCGATCAAGTACCTGCAGCACCTGCAGTTTATCTTGGGTCAAGATGAATAAGTAGAGTAATAGTTAAGTCCCATTTGAGATTCCATTTTTAAATAATTAATTTAATTATAGAACAATATATCCAGTATACCTGTAGCAGGATTTTCAGGCATTTTGAATTATTCTCTTCAATCACTCTTAAAGACACCTAAAGAAAAAATTTAACAATATAAAAGATGAATTTCAATTGTATATGGCTACAATCCTGTAGAAAAATTAAGGAAAACCTCAAGAACATTCTTTATCAAGGCTCCACTCAGTGAAATTCAAAATTATAACCACAATGAGGTGCCACTACACACCCACTAAGGTAACTAAAATTTAAAAACAGACAACACTAAGTTTCAACGAGGCTGTGAAGTGCCTGGAACTATTATTGTACATTGCTAAGAGAAACGTAAAATATCACAACCACTTCGGAAAATTGGTAGTTTCTTATAAAGTTAAAAATACACTTACTATATGACCCAGCACTTCCACTCACAAATACTTACTCAGTATTCATGAAAATATATGCTCACAAAAACGCCTGCACATGAAAGTTTACAGCATTTTTATTTACAAAAACCCCAAAACTAGAAAAACCCAAGTGTCTAGTAACAGATGAATAAACAAATGGTATATAATATTCAGAAATAAAAAGGAAAAATTACTGATACACACAACAAGGATAAATCTCAAAAATGATATGTGGAAAAAAAGAAACCTGACCCAAAAAAGGCACAAACCATACTGTATGATTACATTCATATGAAGTTCAAGTACTGACAAAACTAATCTACAATTATAGATTAATTTACCTGGGGCAGGGTCATAGGGAACTGACTATGACAGGCTTCAGAACATGCTACTCCCAAAATATGACACCTTGGCATTGTTGAATATTTTAAGTTGAAGGAATCTGAGAAACAGCAGGTGCAAAAAAGACTTCCCCTGAAGCAGATCATAGGATCCTCATGTGAGAGGTGTCCTCTCTATACCCAGAAGATAGCAGCATCTTAATCTCAAAAGACAGAGTGGCCGGGCGCATTGACTCATGCCTATAATCCCAGCACTTTGGGAGGCCGAGGCAGGAGGATCACTTCTGCCCCAGAGTTTGAGGCCAGCCTGGGCAACACAGTGAGATTCCATCTCTACAAAAAAAATTCAAAAATCAGCCACCCATGGTGGCACATACCCATAGTCCCAGCTGCTCAGGAGGCTGAGGCAGGAGGATCACTTGAGCCCAAGAGGTTGAGGCTGCAGTGAGCTATGATCATGCCACTGCACTCCAGCCTGGGGAACAGAGTGAGACCCTGTCTCAAAAATTAAAAAAAAAAAAAATAGAGGAACACCCAGAGGAATATGAACAAACAGGCCTTGTTAAGTTTTTCCCTGTTTACTACTCTTGGCTCATATCCCTTTCTGTCCTATCACATTCCACAACTCTTCCTTCTTCATCAAACCTAATTTAAAAACACTCAGGTTTTACTGTTTCTTCGGGTCTTCCTTTCCTTATGAAGGCTCCCATGTCACATAAAACTTATATTAAACAAGTTTACATGTTTTTCTCTTGTTAATCTACCCTTTATTACAGGGGCCCCAACCGAAAACTTAGAAGGGTAGAGGCTATTTTCCCTCCCCTACACTGGGAAGGGGTTCAAGGAAGCTTTTTTGGAGTGATGGACACATTGTGTCTTGAAGGGGGTATGGTTTACACAGATGTATATACTTATCAAAATTTATTGAACCAGGCCAGGAGCAGTGGCTCACTGTGATCCCAGTACTTTAGGAGGCCAAGGCAGAAGGATCACTTGAATCCAGGAGTTTGAGACCAGCCTGTGCAACAAAGTGAAACCTCATCTCTACAAAAACAAAAAAATTAGCTGGTGTGGTGGCTTGTACCTGTAATCCCAGCTACACTGGAGACTGAGGTGAGAGGATCGCTTGAGCCCAGGAGGTTGAGGTTACAGTGAGCCATGATCATGCCACTGCACTCCAGCCTGGGTGACAAAGGGAGACCCCATCTCAACAAAAAATAAAAGAAAAATTCCCAAGCTGTACAAATGATCTCAGACTCTTACTAGTCATCTACAGCTTGAAAGAAACCACCCAGGCTGGGCGCCACGGCTCACACCTGTAATCCCACACTTGGAGAGATCGAGGTGGGTGGATCACCTGAGGTCAGGAATTCGAGACCAGCCTGGCCAACACAGAGAAACCCCGTCTCTAATAAAAATACAAAAATTAGGCGTGGTGGCACTCACCCATAATTCCAGCTACTCGGGAGGCTGAGGCAGGAGAATTGCTTGAACCTGGGAGGTGGAGGTTGCAGTGAGCTGAGCTCATGCCACTGCACTCCAGCCTAGGCAATAAAGCCAGACTCTGTCTCAAAAAAAAAAAAAAAGAAAAAGAAAAAGAAAAGAAAAAAGAAACCACTCAAAGTGGCATTCTCTATGGATAATGTTTTCTTAATTCCAGTGATTTGATGAAATTAATCTAAAATGTAACGTAATTAAAAACTCAAAAGGCTAGCAAAACCCTTTGCTATGACCAAAATGAGACATTTTCAGTGATCATTTTTACTAGTGATACACACTTGTAATGAACCATCAAAGAAATACAAGTATTATACAATCAAAATTTTCTTACATCAACCTGGATATGGTGGCTGAATGACATCTTTATCTTCTAATTCAAGATCATTAAGCAAAAAAACATATTGAAAACCAATAACGGATGCCATTGACATTGATAAAAGGTCTAAGTATTCCATCCAAATGTTCACTGGATTCAATGGGAATACCAAAAGAAGTGCTGAATAGAGCATCAAAAAAACACTTCTGATGTGCTCAGCATCTCAACTGTACAACTCTTACAACTACCCAGTGACAGGTAACTGTGAATAACAAAAGGGCAGTCATGACAGCACTGTACTCTCATATAGCAGCATACAGCCCAACAGGATTGACAAGAGCGGCCTGCTGGTCATTAACACATCAACCTCTCTAAATCGAAGAATGCAAACTAAAACAATAAGATGACATTTTTTTACTGCCAAATCTCAACTGACATTTATTGATTTATTAGAGATTAATAATAGTTTATACTCCAAATGTCATGAAAAAATAGGTGGAAATAAAAATTTACACAATGTATACTGACACTGCTAAGTTGTCCTAAGAGTGTACAATTTTTACTTCTGAGTGTCACTCTGAAAGAAAAACTGGCAAAGGGGGACAAAGATGTGTGTGCAAGGGTATTTACCACATTTTTAATAGCAAAACTCCTGGAAAAAGTAAATTATCAAAAGCGATCAGCCCGGGCGCTGTGGCTCACGCCAGTAATCCCACCACTTTGGGAGGCCAAGGTAGGCGGATCACTTGAGGTCAGGAGCTCGAGACCAGCCTGAACAACATGGTGAAACCTTGTGTACTAAAAACACAAAAATTTGCTGGGCGTGGTGGCAGACGCCTATAATCCCAGCTACTTGGGAGGCTGAGGCAAGAGAATCACTTGAACGCAGGAGGTGGAGGTTTCAGTGAGCCGGGATCGTGCCACTGCACTCCAGCCTGGGTGACAAAGCAAGACTTTGTCTCAAAAAAAAAAAAAAAAAGCAATTAAAATGATGAAATAGGTCTGAATGTACTGAAAAGGGGATGAGGGGGAAAGGGTTAACAGCAAGCCTGTGGCTCACTCCTTCAGCCACAGGGGTGTCCAATCTTTTGGCTTCCCTGGGCCACATTGGAAGAGGAGGATTGTTTGGGCCACACATAAAATACACTAACACTAATGATAGCTGATGAGCTTTAAAAAAAATTGCAAAAAAATCTCATCATGTTTTAAGAAAGTTTATGAATTTGTGTCAGGCTGCATTCAAAGCCGTCCTGGGTTGGACAAGCTTGGGGGATTCCCTGCATGACAGCTGACTTCCTAGCAAACATGATAAAGGTTTGTAATAGATAAGAAATGGTCTCTTATTTTAAAATATCAGGATATATCTGGTCTCCCTTAATTGCCTTCTGTAAATAATCTGAGAATTTATGGATGTCTGGGGCATGGCTAGCTGGAAAACAGGAGAAAATCACAGGCATTTTCTATTTGTGTAACTAGAGATTCCCCTTGGCAGGTTCAGTGGCTTTGGAGGCTGAGGCCAGAGGGTTGCTTGAGCCCAGGAGTTTGAGGCTATAGTGAGCTATGATTATGCCACTGTACTCCAGCCTGTGAGACACTGACTCTTTAAAAAACAACAACAACAAAAACTAGAGATTCCCACAACAGAAAAGGCTTTCTTTAGGAAAAACATTTGTTAATCCAAAGCAAAAACTTGTGTCCCAAGGTTGAATTTTACTTCTGTAAACAAATTAAGAACTACAGTAGGGCCGGGCGTGGTGGCTCATGTCTGTAATCCCAGCACTTTGGGAGGTCAAGGTGGGCGGATCACTTGAGATCAGAAGTTCCAGACTAGCTGGCCAACTTGGTGAAACCCTGTTCTATTAAAAATACAAAAATTAGCTGGGCGTGGTGGCAGATGCCTGATATCCCAGCTATTCGGGAGGCTGAGTCAGGAGAATCGCTTGAACCCAGGAGGCGGAGGTTGCAGTGAGCCAAGATCATGCCACTGCACTCCAGCCTGGGTGACAAGAGCAAAACTTCATCTCAAGAAAAAACAAACAAAAAAAACTACAGTAAGTTTATCATAAATACATGTAGAAGTGACTTCATATCAGTCATATGTAACTATTTTCAGTATGTTGATAATATGTCCCAATGTAGAAGAAAGTGAAATTCTTTGGAAGCTGTGCCTGCTGGCTGGGGGCTCCTCCAAGAAGGAATGCTCATCTGTGTCTGCGGCTTCTGCCTGTAACCTCTGAATCATGAGTAAGGTTTGGAGTTGGGTAAGATTTCACATTCAGATGAAGATGCTTTGACAATCCAACCCTTTGCATTAACACAGAGAAGTTAATCCAATATGCACAACTGAATGAGGAAAACAGAGTTTCAGAATGAGTGCATTATTTTCACGTTTGTAAGAAAAAAAAATGTGTGTGTGTAGGTTTCTAGAAGAAGAGTTAAGCCAAGCATGCTGGCATGTGCCTGTAATCCCAGCTACTCAGGAGGCTGAGGTGGGAGGATCACTTGAGCCCAGGAGTTCAACATCAGCATGGTCAACATAGCTAGACATACATATCAAAAAAAAGAGATTTAGAAAGATAGTCAATGTAGTAACAGAGACTACTACTAGAAAGTAGACATGAGGATGGAGAGATTTAAAAATTAAACTTTTCATTTTACAACTTTAAATGCTGCAGGTATTAATTTTATAATTTAAAAACTAGGGAGCCAGGCATAGTGGCTCATGCCTCTAAACCTAGCACTTTAGGAGACCAAGGCAGGTGGGTTGCTTGAGCCCAGGAGTCTGAAACCAGCCTGGATAACATGGCAAAGCCCTGTATCTACATAAAACACAAAAATTAGCTGGGTGTGATGGTGCACGCCTGTAGTCCCAGCTACTCAGAGGGCTAAAGTGGTAGGCTCACCTGGGCTCAGGAAGGTTGAGGCTGCAGTGAGCCGAGATAGCACCACTGCACTCCAGCCTGGGTGACAGCATGAGACCCTGTCTCAAAAAACAAAAATAAAAATAATGAAAAATAGGGCCCAATGCAGTGGCTCACACCTGTAATCTCAGCATTTTAGGAAGCCAAGGTTCAAGAATTGCTTGAGCCCAGGATTTCAAGACCAGCCTGGACAACATAGTGAGACCCAGTCTCTACAAAAAATTTTAAAAATTAGCCAGGCCTGTTAACACACGCCTGTGTCCCATCTACTCAGGAGGCTAAGGTGGGAGAATCGCTTGAGCCCAGAAGATCGAGGTTGCAGTGAACCATGATTGCACTACTGCACCCCAGTCTGGCAACAGAGCAAGATCAAAAAAAAAAAAAAAAAGTAAAAGTGACACAAAAACGATGGCCATGACAGTCTGCAAGCTACACAGTGGGATAATTATACTATAAGGCATATACACACAATAGCAGAGCAGAGGTATGTACCACGTGCTAAGAGAAATCATAAAGAGTGACTAATCCTACCTACAAAGTTTAGGAATACTGGAATGAGAACACAACAGAAAACTCTCATTGTAAATTTAAAAAACAGGCCAGGCATGGTGGTTCATGCCTATAATCCCAGCATTTTGGGAGGCAGGTGGATCACAAGGTCAGGAGTTCAAGACCAGCCTGGCCAATATGATGAAACCTCATCTCTACTAAAAATATAAAAAATTATCCGGGCGTGGTGGCGCACGCCTGTTGTCCCAGTTACTTGGAAGGCTAAGGAGAGAGAATCACTTGAACCCGGGAGGCAGAGGTTGCAGTGAGCCGAGATCATGCCACTGCACTCCAGCCTGGGCAACAGAAACAGATTCTGTCTCCCAGAACCAAAAAAAAAAAAAAAAAAAAAAAAAGTGTCCTGGTTTTAGCAATATATAAGGCTACCCTAGGTTAGTGGTTCTCAAACTTTAGCATGCATCAGAATCACCTGTAGGGCTTGTTAAAACACAAATTGCAGAGTCCCGCTCTCAGAGTTACTGATTCAGTAGGTCTGAGGTGGGCCCTGAAAATCTGCATTTCTAGCAAGTTCTCTCCTGTGACCCTGTGATGCTCCTAGACCAGACACCACAACTGAAGAACCACTGCATACAGGTGCAAAAGTGCGTGACTTTCTGTGAAAACAATAACTAGCTTTTAATAACCTAATATAAGATCTCCAGAAGTAGCAGAAAGGGGAAAAAAGACCACAGTTACTCCAAGTATAGACTGCAAACTGATGCTTGGCCCATAAAGGCACAAGTATCGAAATTGGGAATGAACATTTAGAAACTTTCCTGCAATATGGCAGAGTAAAATGTCTTACATTTAGTAATAAAAAACTTGGTGGCCAGGTGCGGTGGCTCACGCCTGCAATCCCAGCAGTTTGGAAGGCCAAGGTGGGTGGATCACCTGAGGTCAGGAGTTCGAGACCAACATGGAGAAACCCCGTCTCTACTAAAAATACAAAAATTAGCTTGGTGTGGTGGCAGGTGCCTGTAATCCCAGCTACTTGGGAGGCTGAGGCAGGAGAATCGCTTGAACCCAGGAGGCAGAGATTGCGGTGAGCCGAGATCATGCCACTGCGCTCCAGCCTGGGCAACAGAAACTCCGTCTAAAAAAAAATAATAAAAAGACACGTGGCCTTATTTTGTATGTCTTTTGAAAATTTCATTTTTTCTAATAACGTATTTTACAAAAATATCAGTTCTTGAAAGATTATAGAGTGGGGAGCCTGATCTTTCACCACTGATAGTTTGAGAAGCTCTGATTTAGATAGACTAATTTGAAAGGGTCCTTGTAAACAATGCTAAGCAGACTGGTCTTTATCCTGTTAGCAACAGGAAATAATTAAAGGCTTTTAAGTAGGGAAGTACTGAGTCCAGATTTCTATTTTTAAAATGTAATTCTGATAATAGTATAGATTAGTGGTCTTCAAACTTTTTAAAACACACATTCCCATCAGTAAAAATGTGTTGGCCATGTATCTCAATTTATTTTTAAATAATTATAAACATATACTACTATACTAACATATGTTTTAAAACATACATAAAATAGAAACTTTATGAGGGTAAGGTAAAAATGGTAAAGTTTTATTGTCATTTTCCTAAACTCTTTTTTTTTTTTTTTGAGACAGAGTCTTGCTCTGTCGCCCAGGCTGGAGTGCAGTGGCGCCATCTCGGTTCACTGTAAGCTCCACCTCCTGGGTTCACACCATTCTCCTGCCTCAGCCTCCCGAGTAGCTGGGACTACAGGCACCCGCCACTACGCCCGGCTAATTTTTTTTGTATTTTTAGTAGAGACGGGGTTTCACCATCTCAGCCAGGCTGGTCTTGAACTCCTGACCTCGTGACCAACCCGCCTCGGCCTCCCAAAGTGTAATCCCCCAGGGATTACAGGCGTGAGCCACTGCACCCTGCCCATCTTCCTAACCTCTTAATGGATCATCTTGCACATTTTGGAGACCATTCTGGAGTATCCCTTGGTAAGGATTAAGGGTAGAAATTGGTTGGCCGTCTACCTCTTATTTTATTCTATTTTTTCAGAAACAGGGTCTCATTATGTTGCCCAGGCTGTATTTGAACTCCTGGGCTCAAGAGATCTTCCTGCTTCAGCCTCTTGAGTCGCTGGGACTACAGGTGCTCATCATGAAACTCAGGTCTCTGACTCATAATTAGTAAGGTTAAACTATGTCCACAAAGCAGGCCTGGAAAATTACAATTCCATGGTGAAAAGAAATGTCTAGGGAAGAAGATTAAAGCTTTACGAGTATATAAGGCCAGGCACGTTGGCTCATGCCTGTAATTCCAGGACTTTGAAAGGCCCAAGTGGGAGGATTGCTTGAGCCCAGGAGTTTGAGACCAGCCTGGGCAACATAGCAGAACCCTGTATCTACAAAAAAAAAAAAAAAAAAAAAACATGCAAAAAATTAGCCAGGCATGGTGGCAAAGCTGTAGTTCCAGTTGCTTGGGAGGCTGAGGTGGGAGAATTACCCAAGCCCAGGAAATTGAGGGTGCAGTTAGCTATGACAAAAAAGAGTATATGACAAGAAAAGGAAGAAACACAAGTAACTCTACAACTCACTATCCATCAAACAGCACTCAGGCTAAATGGAACCTATGTCTCACTCAGGGTATGGTCATAGGAAATCTTTGGTCATTCAAATTGACCTGTTTAGTTAAGAAACCAACAGGGCTTATGGAGGGGGATTTCAACTTTGTTGAAACACGGTGAAACTGAGTCTAACTTGTCATAGATAGGCTACCTACAATTGGTCACAGCTAGAAATTAAGATGCCACATTGTACTACTGTCCTCATAGTTGGACAGCCTCCAGAGAATGAGAACTTTATTATGCTTGGGAGCTTCCACTCCATCATTGATCAAGAGAGTTTGTGCCATGAATTTTTCATATCTGGTTCACTGTAGAATGTGATTGAAGGAAATTATTATAATATTGTGGCTTTTTAAAACCCAAGGCCTAGGCCAACGCCAATTAACGGAGTATTTGAAGAGAGATAGAAATTTAATTTTAAATTAAATTATATTTTATATTTATTTTATTTATTATATATTTTTTATTAAACTCTTGATCTGATTAAGATAAAAACTTAATAAATAAAATATATAGGCTGGGCACAGTGGCTCATGCCTGTAATCTCAGCACTTTGGGAGGCCAAGGCAGGTGGATCACCTGAGGTCAGGAGTTCGAGACCAGCCTGGCCAATATGGTGAAACCCCATCTCTACTAAAAATACAAAAATCAGCTTGACGTGGTGATGCACACCTGTAATCCCAGCTACTCGGGAGGCTGAGGCAGGAGAATCGCTTGAACCCGGGAGGCGGAGGTTGCAGTGAGCCAAGATCGTGCCACTGCACTCCAGCCGTGACAGAGTGAGACTCTGTCTCAAAAAAAAAAAAAATATGTAATAGAATCAAGAATTTAGGCAAAGTAAGGATTCTGAGAAACACTTTTTGAGCTCCCAGTACTTCACAAGAATGTAATTCCCCACTGATTTACTAAGACATATGATATATCTAACCTGAAATTTGGGGAGAAAATGATCACTTGCAATATCTTTGGGAAAGAACAGGTGTTCAGCCTCTAACTGCACATGTGAATTGGGAAGGTCACAATTAGACCACACATAACTACCCAGTGGGAATTTTCCAGAGCTCATTGAACCAGGGAGTTTGAAAAATCAATGAGCAAGTGTAAATATAATTATATTTATGCTTATCAATATCAAGTGCAAAGATCAATGTCAAGTGTAAATATAGTCATGATTTCTGAAGTTTTTCAAAAATTGAAGGTTTAAGTTTCTATTGTTTCCTTTGGAGTACAAAGCTCAGGATGTGTCTAATTATCATTCCTTTGTCCTCAAAGCTCAGCATTTATGAGGTACTGATTAAACGAAAAACAAACTTTCCTAGCCAAAGAATAATGGTTGCTCTCCACCAGTACTTCAAATAAATACATCTGCTGCCATACAAATGCAGATTCAAGTCAGGTGTCCTAGCATTGTGTTCCTACCAAATAACAAGACTTTTCTAAATACCTTAAATATAAAAATACTATATTTTGGACCACTATATCCCTGGAATTTGGGAAACATATATAAATTCCAGAACAATCCTGACAGTTTGCAGATATATGCTTAAGCCTAAGCAATGTTTAAATCCTCCTGACAGTGAACATTCAGGAAATGTTGAAATTGAAGTTGAAAGACACCACTTTAAATTCAGAATCTGAAATTAAAACTTGTGAATAGTGCTTCAATGAACATAAATAAATTTTTTAAAAAAGAAATGAAGGCCAGGCGCGGTGGCTCACCCCTGTAATCCCAGCACTTCGGGAGGCCGAGGCGGGCACAAGGGAGGCCTTGGACCACAAGGGCAGGAGTTTGAGACCAGCCTGGCCAACGTGGTGAAAACCCGCCTCTACTGAAAATACAAGAATTAGCCAGGTGTGGTGACAGATGCCTGTAATCCCAGCTACTCAGGAGTCTGAGGCAGAAGAATCGCTTGAACCTGGGAGGCAGAGGTTGCAGTGAGCCAAGATTGTGCCATTGCACTCCAGCCTGGGTGACAGAGCAAGACTCCGTCTTAAAAAAAAAAAAAAAAAAAAGAAAGAAATGAAAAGAGTCAGTTTTTCAGAATAATTCAGTTAACTCATGCTAATTTTCTCATTAAACTATTCAAAGTTAACCAATGCATATCAATACTCTTCCTATAACTTGGCCACTTTTGTAGGAACAAAGTTAAACTGCTATATGGTAGGCTTCTTTTTTTTTTTTTTTTGAGATGATGTTTTGCTCCTGTTGCGCAGGCTGGAGTACAATGGAGAGATCTTGGCTCACCACAACCTCTGCCTCCCGGGTTCAGGCGATTCTCCTGCCTCAACTTCCTGAGTAGCTGGGATTACAGGTATGACCCACCACGCTGGGCTAATTTTGTATTTTTAGTAGAGATAAGATTTTTCCATGTTAATCAGACTGGTCTGAAACTCCCAACTTCAGGTGATCCACCCGCCTCGGCCTCCCAAAGTGCTGGGATTACAGGCATGAGCCACCACGCCCGGCCTTTTTTATTTTATTATTATTATTATTTTTTTGAGACAGGGTCTCACTCTGTTGCCCATGCTGGAGTGCAGTGGTGCGGTCTTGGCTCACTGCAACCTCCACCTCCAGGGTTCAAGCAATCCTCCTGCCTCAGCCTCCCTAGTAGCTGAGACTACAGGTATGCACCACCATACCTGGCTAATTTTTGTATTTTTAGTAAAGGCAGGGTTTTACCATGTTGGTCAGGCTGGTCTTACACTCCTGTCCTCAGATGATCTGCCTGCCTTGGCCTCCCAAAGTGCTGGGATTACAGGCTAGAGACAATGCACCCAGTCTATGGTAGGCTTCTGTATTCTGGTTGGTAGCAGTTTTCTCCAACGAGCAACAATGACAAAAAAAATCTGGGCAATTTTCACACTTAGAGGTCTCTGATCATGTAGCCAGTCCCCACTAAAAAGACCTGGGCATTCATACTATTCACTAATGATTAGTTTCCACCTCAAAAATGCTATTCAATTTTACCCGCACTGCCGACTGTACACTCCCAGCTTCTCCCCAGAAATTATGGTCATATCAGGAATCAGGCGTGGTGGCTCACGCCTGTACTCCCAGCACTTTGGGAGGCCAAGGAGACGGATCACTTGAGGCCAGGAGTTTGAGACCAGCCTGGCCAACATTGTGAAACCCCGTCTCCACTAAAAATACAAAAATTAGCCAGGTGTCATTGTGCACACCTGTAATCCCAGCTATTCGGGAGGCTGAGGCAGGAGAATCACTTGAATCCATGAGGCAGACATTGCAGTGAGTGGAGATCGCACCACTGCACTCCAGCCTGGGCAACAGAGTGTGAGACTCCATCTCAAAAAAAAAAAAAAAAGTAAAATAAAATAGAAAAGGGAAAGGGATACTATGAAAAAAGGTAAAAACAAAGCAAGGAAACATAGATGCCATTGGAGAGAGTTAATTCCATGGGGAAGGGGTTCAACTGTTAGTGACCTTTCAGTAGATAACTACTTTAAAAATGAGAATACTTCAAATTTTAAATGGTGGGAAGATTTACAACCTGACCCTCAACATTCACTTATCTCCCTCTTCTACCACACTACGTCCTGGAACTTCATTACAAGCGCCGAAAAATGGGTCGGGCGTGGTGGCTCATGCTTGTATCCCAGCACTTTGGGAGGCCGAGGCAGGCAGAACACCTGAGGTTGGGAGTTCAAGACCAGCCTGACAAACATGGAGAAACCCCCGTCTCTACTCAAAATACAAAAATATTAGCCAGGCATGGTCGCGGGCACCTGTAATCCCAGCTACTCAGTAGTAATAGTACCAGGAGAATCACCCGAACCCGGGAGGCAGAGGTTGTGGTGAGCCGAGACCACACCATTGCACTCCAGCCTGGGCAAAAATAGAGAAACTCCATCTCAAAAAAAAAAAAAAAAAGCTCCAGAAAATAACCCCAAGGGATACCAGGCAGAAGCCCTGCCCACCAGCCCCTATTGTCAAAGCAACATCCACTAATTATTATTAATGGAAGCTAAAGTGAAATGAAACTGACCTGTCCCTGAAAGCCCACAGACCCAGGCCTAAAAGCCATCTACCAAACCAAGCAAGGTGTGCAAAGGGTCAAAGCAAGGGCAGGACCTTGGTCTGCTTTGGTTCTAAGAGTACAACCTACATTAGAGAATGTTCATCTCACAGTGGTTCCACTAACTTCTTTGAACTATGAGGCAGCTTCCCAAGTGCAAGCAATCAATACAGACAAAATTCAAATGTGAAATTCTTAAAACACACATTGTCCTGGTTTACAATATTACTGTTCAGCAGGTTTTTAAACTTTATATAAATTACATCATACTGTATACTTATTCTTCAGCAACTTGCTATTTTAAGCTCAACTTTACATTTTTAAGATTTATTCATCTGTTATCCCAGCACTTTGGGAGGCCAAGGCAGGCAGATCACTTGAGCCCCAGTTTGAGACCAGCCTGGGCAACATGGCAAGACCCCATCTTGACAAAAAAATTTAAAAATTAGCCAGCTGTGGTGGCACACACCTGTACTCCCAGCTACTCAGGAGACTGAGGTGGGAGGATCAGTTGAGCCCAGGATGTCTAGGCTGCAGTGAGCCATGATCACACCACTGCACTCCATAGCCTGGGCAACAGAGTGAGACCCTGTCTCCAAAAAAAAAAACACCAGGCTGCGGTGAGGGGTGTTATTCATGATGATATAGGCAGTTCCTGCTCAGCCACTGTAACAACTAAGTAACATTCGATGGTAGGAATACATACTTTCTTCACCCAATCTCCTGTTGACGAGAATTTAGATCATTTCCTATTGGTCACTAATACAAAAACAGGATTAGAACTAAATGTGTACTTCAATAATCAACTTTTTGCCAGTTGATTCAATAGCCAATTATTGAAATATGGGAAATTCTATAGCCTATGAGCTTTGAAATCAGAGACTCAGGGTTTATCCCTAGGACCCGCTCTGTAGGCCAATTGTTTAAATCTCCCTACACCTCAGTCCCCTTGTTTGTAAAAAAGAGTTAATAAAAATTACTTCATGGCTGGGTGTGGTGGCTCACGCCTGCAATCCCAGCACTTTCAGAGGCTGAGGCGGGTGGATCACGAGGTCAGGAGTTCGAGACCAGCCTGGCCAACATGGTGAAACCCCTGTCTCTAATAAAAATGCAACAAGAGCAAAACTCTGTTTAAAAAAAAAAAAAAAATAGCTGGGCGTGGTGGCGGGCACCTGAATCCCAGCTACTTGGGAGGCTGAGGCAGAAGAATTGCTTGAACCCAGGAGATGGAGGTTGCAGTGAGCCAAGATGGTGCCACAGCACTGCAGCCTGGGCAACTCCATCTCAGGAGAAAAAAAAGAAAAAAAAAATTACTTCATATGTATACTGCAAACACTAAAGAGGATAATTTAGAGCATTTGGCCTAGCACATGGTACACATTCAACAAATGATAACTACTATTAGCATCTCTTTTCAATCAAAATGATTTAAAACATGGCAAAACCCCATCTCTACAAAAACAAAAACTAGCTGAGCGTGGTGGTGCGTGCCGGTGCGTGCCTGTAGTCCAGGCTGAGGTGGGAGGAACCCTTGTGCCCAGGGGGTCAGGGCTAGTGAACCATGATCATGGCACTGCAAAAGCTAATAATTAAATTATTGTAGCAGAGATTTTAGTGTGTAATCAGTAAGTTAGTTCTGAGAAGACTGAAAAATAAAATGTTTCACCACTGTAGTGAGTATAAGGGAGGAGGTTATAGAGAGGACCTATAATTTGGAGTATTAATCCATTTACATGGCCAGGCGCAGTGGCTCACGCCTGTAATCACAGCACTTTGGGAGGCTGAGGCGGGCGTATCACTTGAGGTCAGGAGTTCGAGACCAGCCTGGCCAACATGGTGAAACCCCGTCTGTACTAAAAATACAAAAAATTAGCCAGACGTGGTGGTGCATGCCTGCAGTCCTAGCAACTCAGGAGGCTGAGGCAGGAGAATGGCTTGAACCTGGGAGGCAGAGGTTGGAGTGAGCGGAGATCAAGCCACTGCACTCCAGCATGGGCAAAAGAGCAAGACTCGTCTCAAAAAAAAAAAAAAAAAAAAAAAAAAAGGCATTAAGGCAGTATACACATAGCAGTGTAAGTGCTTTGGTAAACTAAACCCTCTTAAGAATAAACATATTCAGATCAGTGGCTCACACTTGTAATTCCAGCACTTTGGGAGGCCGAGGCGGGTGGATCACGAGGTCAGAAGTTAGAGACCAGCCTGAGCAACATGGTGAAACCCCGTCTCTACTAAAAATGCAAAAATTAGCAGGGTGTGGTGGCGCACGCCTGTAATCCCAGCTACTTGGGAGACTGAGGCACGAGAATCACTTGAACCCAGGAGGCGGCTCCAGCCTTCGCAACAGAGTGAAACTGTGTCTCAAAAAATAAAAATTAATAAGATATTTTAGATTCCTTTTTACATGAAATCTGTTCAAAATCTTGTGTGTATTGTGCATTTACAGCACATTTCAATCCTAACTAACCCAATATAAAGTGGCCCATGCCCACGTGTGAGAGTGGCTTACTGTAGTAAAGTTTTAATCTATGCCTTTCCAGAAAGATCCCTGTTTGGTTTTGTTTTTTCTTCCTCCACCGTGTTTTTAGGAAAGACTTCATCAGTTCAGCTCATATGGTCTCTATGCCTTTTCTTAAAGTAACTATCTGAGTAAGAGCACTCACAAACTTGAGTTCTTCCCAATAAAAAGATCACAACTCCATAATTTTACCGGAATTAAACATAAGGGAGGAACAAAAAGCAGGAGAATAACAGCTTACAGATTACAAGACACATTCTTGAACATTCTTTTCTTTCAACCTCGCCAAATCTCTGTAAGGCAGACCATTTGCAAATGGGACCAGATTCTGGAGGACCAGAATTAAATGACTTGTCAAGCGTTATATGGTAGGTGGACCCAATTCCTTGTCTCCAAACTTTACTGGCTGGACAGCTGTACGAACACAAAAAATAAGTGAGCTCTACATCTTCAGCATCGATCTATCCCACTGACTTAAAAGGAAGGGTATTGACAGGCACTAAATTTCTCCCCATTTGCACCGGAACCTAAAATAAGGGCTTTAAAAAAGGCATCCAAATCTACACAAAACCCTAAGGAAGAAAACATAGCAATGGTCATGCAAATACCAAGGTAGATTGGTCCCGTTTCTCAAAAAACTTACCAAGTTGGCTCACCAAGGGGAGCAAAGTCTTAAGTGAACAAATTAAATCCCACTTTGGCTTCCCCAACCTAATATATTCTTGTTAAACTTTAACAAAGCAAGTAAATTCAGCCTGCTGGCTCCTCAGTGTAAGGATAATTATTAAATGCTGTTAAGTAAAAATGCAATTGTAAGAACTAGAAAATGCTGAGTCATTGTCTCAGAATCACAAGGTTCTAAATGTGAATTCACTATGAGAACATATATACAGATTTTTCTCTTTAACTTTAAAAATGCAATCTGAAAGAAAATACATCCTAATGTTATTAGTGGTTATCTCTCAATAGTAGTCTGTGTACTTTTAGTTTCTTTTTTGAAAATTTTCTCCAATTTTTCTACAATGAATATGTTAGCTTTATAGTTACAGAAATATTAATGTATGGCTTAAACTTATTACGGTTTCATTAAATGCAGAATAGAGCTTAATTTTCTATTCAGCTTCAAACACAACTATTTTTCTGATGGGAAACCCATTTTATGTGACCTTGTGATATTGCATATTGGTTTTCATCCATGATTCCTGGTTTATAACTCCCATAACTCTTGTTACAGTCTTTTATTATACTGTTGGGGTGCTTTAAGTCTCAGAAGCAGTCCCCAGAAATATCTCTGACACTCTCCTGCCCCTCCTTTCATTCGCTCCTTTTTCTCCCCAAGGCAGGACTCTAATCTTCCCCTGCTTTTCCATCTTGAAGGTGGCTGTAAAGAAATTCTCTGGGCCAGAAGGGTGGCTCACGCCTGTAAGCCCAACACTTTCACAGGCCAAATCGGGAGGACGGCTTGGACCAGGAGTTCGAGACCAGCCTGAGCAATATAACGAGACACAGTCTCTACTAAAAATTTTTTAAAAGAGGCCAGGCGTGATGGCTCACATCCGTAATCCTGGCACTTTGGGAGGCCAAGTCGGGCAGATCTCTTGAGGTCAGGAGTCCGAGACCAGCCTGGCCAACATGGCAAAACCCTGTCTCTACTAAAAATACAAAATATATATATATATATTACCCAGTGGTGGTGGCGCACACCTGAGGTTGTGACGCTGAGCCAGGACAATCGCTTGAACCCAGGGAGGTGAAGTTTGCAGTGGGTGGAGATCGCGGCACTGCACTTCAGCCTGGGCAACAGAGTAAGGCTCTGTCTCAAAAATAAATAAATAAAATAAATGAATAAAAATTTTTAAAAAAAAAAATAATTGCCAGGCCCGGTGGTTCACGCCTGTAATCCCAGCACTTTGGGAGTCCAAGGCGGGTGGATCGCCTGAGGTCAGGAGTTCGAGACCAGCCTGGCCAGCATGGTGAAACCCCATCTCTACTAAAAATATAAAAATTAGACAGGTGTGGTGGCAGGCGCCTGTAATCCCAGCTACTTGGGAAGCTGAGGCAAGAGAAGCGCTTGACCCTGGGAGGCAGAGGTTGTAGTGAGCCAAGACAGCGCCATTGCACTCCAGCCTGGGCAACAGAGCAAGACTCCGTCTCCAAATAAATAAATTAATTAATTAAAATAAAATAAAGTAAAATAATTTTGGCTAGGTGCAGTGACTCACGCCTGTAATCCCAGCACTTTGGGAGGCCAAGACAGGTGGATCACTTGAGGTCAGGAGTTCGAGACCAGCCTGGCCAATATGGTAAAACCCTGTCTCTACTAAAAATACAAAAATTAGCCAGGTATGGTGGCACATGTCTGTAATCCCAGCTACTCAGGAGTCTGAGGCAGGACAATCACTTGAACCCGGGAAGTGGAGGTTGCAGTGAGCTGAGATCACCCACTGCACTCCAGCCTGGGCAGCGGAGCAAGACTCTGTCTCAAAATAAATAAATAAATAAATATTTAAAAAAATTATCTGATCTCCCTTGTCTGATTGTAGGTCATAAGACCCCCATAAGAAGGGGTCCTGCCCATACCCTGGAGGAAGGAATGCTACAGAGAGAGGCCAAGAAAAATCTGAACAGATAGGCATTGCTGGGTTTCCCTACCCCATGCTTCAATTATGTCTACTCAATGAAGTCTCCATAAAAAGCCCAAGAAGATGGGGTAGGGAGAGCTTCTCAATATCTGAACACATGGAGGTTCCTGGAGGGTGGCATGCCCCTTCTCATACCTCACCCTGTGCATCTCTTCCTCTTGTATCCTCTGTAATATTCTTAATAATAAACTAGTAATAAACCTAAATAAGTGTTTTCTTGAGTTCCGTGAGCTGCTCTAGCAAGTTAACCAACCCAGAGGAGGGAGTTATGGGATTCCCAATTTATAGGTGGTTAGTCAGAAGCCGGGGTAAAACAATCTAGGACTTGTGATTGGCATCAGAAGTGAGGGCAGTCTTATGGGATCTGACACTATCCCCAGGTAAATAGTTTCAGAATCGAACTGTTAGATGCTCAGCTATTGCTTGATGCAGAACTGATGGGCCCACACATTTATTTGGTCACAGAAGTCCTCAGTGTTGACTGTAGTGGTGTGAGAGCAGAGGAAAAAGTTTGTGTTTTTTCTCTTACTCCTAATAGGATCTGGACTAGTAAGGGCAAATCTCTTCAGAACTCATTTTATAAGTTCTATCCATAAGTATTTCCATATTTATTAACTTTGTTATTATCTTTGTGAAAGTTGCAGATACCAGGTCAAAATCACTTTTTGTCAAACCCAAACAAACTAGAGAGCCTGAGGGAGAAAGCTCATGCTTGCAAGTCTGAGATAAAGATCGGTCTCAAGAAGGAACTAAAATAACCACCCAAGAAATTCTTTCTTTAGGAATGCAGTAATTCAGATAAGATAAGATAAGATAATCTTTTTTCCTTTTTTTTTTTTTTTTTTTTTTGAGACAGGGTTCTTGCTCTGTCACCCAGGCTGGAGTGTAGTGGTGCAAACACCACTCACCACAGCCTCCATCTCCTGGGCTCAAGCAATTCCCCTGCCTCAACCTCCCGACACACCTGACTATTTAAAAAGCTTTTTCTGTAAAGACAGCCATGTTGCTCAGGCTGGTCTCCAACTCTTGGCCTCAAGCGATCCTCCTGCCTAAGCCTCCTAAGTAGCTGAGATAACAGGCATGAGGCAGGTTGCCAGGCCTGATAAGATGCTCTCCATAACACCTGCCCAGTAATGGCATCTTCAACAATGGCCAACTCTGGCTTTCAGTCTGCAAAACCAATAAACTCTGTTTTCACGCAGCTTATCTGCACTTACTTTGCCAATAAAAGTTTCCTTTTACCCTCCCCTCTTCCATGCATATATGGCTTGCCAGGCCTGTGCACCTCGGGCTATAACGCTCATTTCTCATTCCCAAATAAATTCAACACATTTGGAGTGTTTTGTTGTTGTTGTTATTGTTAACATCTTAAAGGCCATTAGGGGCCCTAAAAACATCAAAGCTCACTTTAGCTAAAAGGCTCAATCTCACCTAACATTTTCTAATGCTGCAAACAGATTTAAGTTTTTAACCGCTGCCCCTGCCTCCACTCCTTTCAAATAGATGTGTGCAAATTAATTTGCAGCCAATAGGAATTTAGCCCAGAATGTGGTAGTATCATCCTCAGTGGAACCGACATTGTCCTTCTGGGTTTCCAAAGGCTTCTGCCTTCCTTTAAGAAACACTTGTCGCGCACCTACCAATAGCCAGACCCTAAATGCAGTCGAAAAATAAGGCCCTGAAAGGGGCACCCTCTAAATGGCAGAGGCAAGCCAGTAAACAACCAACTGGAATTCAAAGTGACAAGAGCCACTTGGAAATATGACAAAGTGCCAAGTGAAGGGGTGTTCACTTAATTCGGCCTGCGTGCGGGACGGCTGGGGCGCTTTGGAGAGTGGGAGTGATCTGAAAATGCTTTCCTGAGCTTGATTTAAAAGCAGGAGTCCAGGAATTTCCCCTAAGGCTGGAAGCACTTTCCGACAGAACCTCCCCATCTACGCAGCAAGGCTGGCAGAGCCCAGGGCCTGACCGCTGGCTTGGGAACCTCCGCTACGGGATGACCAGGCGCCGCGACGCGGCCGGGCCCAAGTCGCCCCCTCAGCCCGGCTCTGAGCACCCCCTCCTCTTTGTCCCCTCACCCCGTTCCCTCCTTCCACGGCCACCGATGGAGGGAAAGACTCCGCCCAGCTCTGGGAGCGAAACAGGGGCACCGATCTGGGCGCAAAATAGGATCCGTGCCACCCCCGAATACCAGTGGGCCGAGATTCGAGGCCCGAAAGGCCTGGGGAGGCGGGGCGGCGCCCCTCCCTGCCCGCGGCCTCGGCGAGCCCTGCGCGGCGGGGCGGGGACCACCGTGGGGTCACCCGGGCCCGACGCAGGAGGACGGCGCCCCCGCCCCGCCTCCCGGGTCAGCGCGGACGCACGCCGCGGGCGCCCCATCCTCGCCGCGGCCCCTCTGAGCGCCCGGCGGCGCCCTCCACCTCCGGCTCCCACCCACTCCAGGCGGGCGGGCGGGGAGAGCGCGGGGGCAGGGCAGGCAGGCCCGGGAAGCCCCGAGGGAGCTGCCCCCGGCCGGCCTCCAGGCGCGGGGACACCCAGGGGCGAGCGCGCACTGCACAGCCGGGACCTCACGCTTTACCTGGTGCGCTGGAGGAGCAGGTGGGAGCCCGGGTCGGGCGGGCTCGGTGTCGGCCCTGCCTCACCTGGGCGGAAGTGAGAGGCCCAGGGTGACCGCGCCTCACCTGGCAGGCCCTCCCCTCGCCCCGACTCTCCCCGCCCGGGGCGGGGCACCGGGGTGGCGCAGGGGGCGGGGGAGGGAGCCCGGGGCCGCGGGAGGCGGGCTCCAAGGAGGGAGGACGGTTGCCCTGGCTGTTTACGTGCAGGTGAATTCCTACCGGGCGCGGGATGGCCAAGGGCCTGGGAAAAGTGGGCTGTGGGGGCGGGGTGGCGGATCAGACCGCGCGTGGTGGGGACAGCCGCCACTGACGGGGAGGGAGATCCGGACAGACCGGTGTGGTTGGAGGCCTGCGTGTAGAGCGAGACCCAAGATCAAGGAAATTGAGGAGGATATCGATGAAAGCGTTGGGTCAATCCGCTTAACACTTTGTCTTTTTGCCCCTTTCCTTTCCTGTTCTCTCATCCCTCCTTTGTTTTCTCTATTCGCTGACGCAAAATAAAATATTCTAAAACGTGTAAATGTGGGAGTCATTATTTTCTTCTCATTTAGTGGAAGAAAGAAATCCAGCAGTATTTGCCTGCTGTATGCTAGGTGCTAGCTTATGCAATGTCTCATTTACTCTCTGAAGAAACTAATGAGGAAACCGTGCACCCTGTAGGTTGACTGGCCCAAAGTTTGGAACACAGGCAAGGCATTTTGACTCTAACTACAGTGATGATTTCACTATACGTTAATTTTCTTTTATTTGTGATGTCACACCTTCGAGAAAAATATGTCCCGATAGCCTTCTTCCACTCCCTTTAATAACTTTAGGCTTTTGATGAT
Source organism: Homo sapiens (assembly GCF_000001405.40). NCBI lineage: Eukaryota > Metazoa > Chordata > Mammalia > Primates > Hominidae > Homo > Homo sapiens. The sequence goes on along the minus strand of NC_000001.11, from coordinate 61,741,691 downwards.
AGGGGTTTTACTTTGCCTGATACAGTCCACACATTAACGATAAAGAGAATCAATCTTCAGGTATCTTATTCATAGAGTACATACAGTAATTGTTAAACACTGTGATTGATTGTGGGAAGATGTGTAAAATGGTATCCCTGTCCCCAGGAAGATGAGGAATAGATACAAAACAACTACAACATAAAGACTTTCAGGCGGGGCGCGGTGGCTCACGCTTGTAATCCCAGTACTTTGGAAGGCCGAGGCGGGTGGATCACCCGAGGTCAGGAGTTCGAGACCAGCCTGACCAATATGATGAAACCCCGTCTCTACTACAAATACAAAAATTAGCCGGGTGTGGTGGATGCGTAGTCCCCTCTACGCAGGAGGCTGAGGCAGGAGAATCACTTGAACCCAGGAGGCAGAGGTTGCAGTGAGCCAAGATCCTGCCACTGCACTCCAGCCTGGGTGACAGAGAGAGACCCCGCCTCAAAAACAACAACAACAACAACAACAACAATTAGCCCGGAGTGGTGCCGTGAGCTTGTAGTCCCAGCTACTCTGTGGGGCTGAAGTCGGAGGATCACTTGAGCCCAGGGGTTCAAGACCAGCCTGGGCGACAGAGCAAGACTCCATCTCAAATAAATAAATAAATAAATAAAATTAAGATCATGCACTTGGTGCTTTGTAGTTTGCTTCCTTGTTTTAAAAGAAATGTAACACTTGTTAGTCATGGTAAGAAGACACACAATATCAGCATGGTTTCTGCTTTTTAGGAACTAACAAACTACTGAGGGAAATAACAGGCAAATTGCCAGATGGAAGCCAGACCTCAGAAAATGAAGAGATCTATTATGTTTTTTGAAAGCATGGGTTAGAACTTAAACAGGTCTTAACCAGAGTCTGAGATTAATTTAGGTAAAATGGAGAAGGAAAGGCTTTCCAAGTCGGGGGCAAAATAAAGTTGGAGATTGAGTGGGAAAAGGGAGAGGATTGAAAAACTACCTATCAGGTACTATACTTATTGCCTGGGTGATGAAATAATCTGTATATCAAACCCCATGGCCTACAATTTGTCTATGTAACAAACCTGGTTTTTTTGTTGTTGTTGTTGTTTTGAGACAGAGTCTCGCTCTGTTGCCCAGGCTGGAGTGCAGTGGCACAGTCAGCTCACTGCAACCTCTGCCTCCCTGTTCAAGCCATTCTCCTGCCTCAGCCTCCTGAGTAGCTGGGATTACAGGTGCCAGCCACCACACCCGGCTAATTTTTTGTATTTTTAGTAGACATGGGGTTTCACCACGTTGGCCAGGCTGGTCTCAAACTCCTGACCTCGTGATCCACCCGCCTCAGCCTCCAAAAGTGCTGGGATTACAGGCGTGAGCCACTGCACCTGGCCTACAAACCTGTGCATGTAGCTCTGAACCTATAATAAAAATTAAATAGGAAAAAAAAGAAAGGTGGAGACCAATTATCTCAAAGAATCACCTTGCAAACATTGGTCTCTTCTTTTTAAATTTATTTTTATTTATTTATTTTTTAAATTGAAATTGAATCTCACTATGTTACCTAGGCTGGCCTCAAACTCCTGGACTCAAGCAATCCTTCCACCTTAATATCCTTCTTGAAAAGCTGAGATTATAGGCACCACCACTACACCTGGCTATTGCACCTCTTCTTTATTTATTTATTGTAGAGAGATGGTCTCACTATGTTGCCCAAGCTACTCTCAAACTCCTGGCCTCAAGCCATCCTCCTGCCTCAGCCTCCCAAAGTGCTGGGATTACAGGCATGAGCCACCATGCCTGGCCTCCTCTTATTTTATTTTGTATTTATTTAATTAATTAATTTTTTTTGAGACAAGGTCTCACTCTGTCACCCAGGCTGGTGCACAGTGGTGCAATCATGGCAGCCTCAAATTCCTAGGCTCAAGCGATCCTCCCACTGCAGCCTCCCGAGTAGCTGGGACTATAGGCATGCACCATCATGACTGGCTTATTTATTTATTTAGACAGAGTCTCGCTGTTGTTGGCCCTACCCTGGAGTGCAACTGGAACCTCCGCCTCCCAGGTTCCAGCAATTCTCCTGCCTCAGCCTCCTGAGTAGCTGAGATTACAGGCGCCCGCCACCACACCTGGCTAATTTTTGTATTTTTAGTAGAAATGGGTTTCACCATGTTGGCCAGGCTAGTCTCAAACTCCTAACCTCAGGTGATCCACCCACCTCGGCCACCCAAAGTGCTGGGATAACAGGCATGAGCCACCACACCCAGCCTGCCTCTTCTTACTTTAATATTAAATGATGTTGTGAACATATTCCCCTATTTTCAAAAAGCTATGTAACTTTAAGTTGACCATGAAACCAAGTCCAAACTCCTTTTCTTGCTATTCAAGGCCCTTCAAACTCTCCCCTGCTTGCTGACTCTTTTCTTTTCTTTTTTTTTTTTTTTGAGACAAAGTCTCGCATTCCAGGCTGGAGTGCTATGGCGTGATCTCAGCTCACTGCAACCTCCACCTCCCGGGGTCAAGCGATTCTCCTGCCTCAGCCTCCTGAGTAGCTGGGATTACAGGCGCCTGCCACCACACCTGGCTAATTTTTGTATTTTTAGTAGAGACGGGGTTTCACCATGTTGGCCAGGCTGGTCTCAGACTCCTGACCTCAGGTAATCTGCCTGCCTTGGCCTCCCCAAAGTGCTGGGATTACAGGCGTGAGCCACTGTGCCCGGCCCCTTCTTGCTGACTCTTCAACCTAATCTCCACTTCACCTCTGGAGGATCTTACTCTGAGCAAATTTATCTATTCCATATCCATGGAACACCAATGGCTTTTCTGTTCGTTACCTACCCACTTTCCCCTGCCTGGAATGTTCTGTAAGCCCTACCCTCCTTCTAGGGCTAGACTCAAGTCTAACCCCTTCTGAAAAGCTGCCTCCCTGGCCACCCCAGGAAACATCATCTCTATCAGTTTTAACCTGATTTTCTCTACATTTCTGTGCTGTTAATTAATTTTACCTCACCAACCACCCTTCTTCCTTTGTGTTGTTAATTAACTAATTAATTTTTTCAGGCCAGGTGTAGTGACTCATGAATGTAATCCCAGCACTTTGGGAGGCCGAGGCGGGTATATCACCGGAGGTCAGGAGTTCAAGACCAGCCTGATCAACGTGGGGAAAACCCACTAAAAATACAATAATAACCCAGGCGTGGTGGCACACACCTGTAGTCCCAGCTACTCAGGAGGCTGAGGCAGGAGAATTGCTTGAACCCAAGAGGCGGAGGTTGCAGTGAGCCGAGATCATGCCACTGCACTCCTGCCTGGGCAACAGAGCAAGACTCCATCTCAAAAAAAAAAAAGAAAAATAAATAAATAATTGAGACAGGGTCCCACTCTGTTGTCCAGGCTGGAGAGCAGTGGTGAGATCATAACTCACTGCAGCCTTGAACTCCTGGGCCCAAGCCATTCCCCCATGTTAGCCTCCTGAGAAGCTGGGACTACAAACATGCACCACCATGCCCAGCTAATTTTTTAAATTTTTTATATTTAGAGACAAGGCCTCTCTATGTTGTCCAGACTGGTCTCAAACTCCTGGGCTCAAGGGCTCCCAAAGTGCTCCCAAAGTGCCTCGGCCTCCCAAAATGCTGCGATTACAGGCGTGAGCCACTATACTCGGTCTGTGTTAATTTAATGTAAACTTTTTTTTTGGCTCTCATTTGGAATTTAAAATTTTAAAAATTTATCCAATAAATTTTTAAACAAGGTTTAGCTGTACCTGAAAACGTTTATATCTGAGAATCCTCAAGAGTGTCTTTTTTTGGCCAGGCACGGTGGCTCATGCCTGTAATCCCAACACTTTAGGAGGCCAAGGCGGGCAGATCACGAGGTCAGGAGTTCGAGGCTAGCCTGACCAACATGGCTAAACTCTGTCTCTACGAAAAATACAAAAATTAGCAGGGCGTAGTGGCGCACATCGGTAATCTCAGCTACTCAGGAGGCTGAGACAGGAGAATCGCTTGAACCCGGGAGTCGGAGATTGCAGTGACCCGAGATCATACCACTGCACTCTAGCCTGGGTGACACAGCGAGACTGCGTCTCAAAAAAACAAAACAAAACAAAACAAACAACAATAACAACAAAAAACAAAGAATGTCTTTAAAAAAAAAATAGAGATGAGGTCTCACTATGTTATCCAGGCTGGACTTGAACTGCTGGGCTCAAGTGATCCTCCAACCTCAGCCTCCCAAAGTGCTGAGATTATAGGCATGAGCCACCATGCCCAGCCCAAGATTGTCTTGTTCACAGAATGATGAAGAAAGATGAATTTTTAAAAGTATAAGCTCTTGTCAACCTAAAACTACAACAGAGAGAGATAATCCAAAGACAAAGAATTTGTCAACTAAAAAAAAAAAATCAAGCTTTTAAAGAATTAAAGTTCGTTTTATTCAGAAGTCTTGGGGAGTGGGACACACTGGCTCATGCCTGAAATCCGAGCCCTTTGGGAGGTCAAGGCAGGAGGACTGCTTGAGGCCAGGAGTTTGAGATCAGCCTGGGCAACATATCGAGACCCTGTCTCTACAAAAAATGGAAAAAAAAAAGAAAAGCCCAGTTTGGTGGTTTATGCTTATAGTTCCAGCTACTCAGGAGGATCCCTTGAGCCTAGGATTTGCAGGCTGCAGCAAGCTATGGTTGCCACTACACACCACAGCCTGGGGGACAGAGTGAGACCCTATCTCTACTTGTCTTTTAAAAACTAAAAAGTTATAAAGTTATGGCCAGGCGCGGTGGCTCACACCTGTAATCCTAGCACTTTGGGAGGCTGAGGCAGGTGGATCAACTGAGGTCAGGTGTTCAAAATCAGCCTGGCCAACATGGCGAAACCCTGTCCCTACTAAAAAAAAAAAAAAAAAAAAAATACAAAAATTAGTCAGAAGTGTTGGCAGGTGCCTATAATCCCAGCTACTCAGGAAGCTGAGGCAAGAGAATTGCTTGAACCTGGGAGGAGGGTTGCAGTGAGCTGAGATCATGCCACTGTACTCCAGCCTGGGTGATACAGACTCTGTCTCAAAAAAAAAAAAAAAAAAAAAAAAAAAAAAAAAACAACAACAACAAAGAAAAACAGTTATATTGAGGACTGTAGACAGAGGCCTACAGAAGACCAGGAACAGTTCCTCTGAAAGGTGCTGTCAGACTGGTCTGACACAGTATTATAGCCCACTGCTTATATACAGGTGTAGGAGGTTCAGTACATGCAAAACCACATCAAAGTTGCTCAGAAGTTACATTAAAGCAGAATCACACCAAGGTTTGAATATAAAAGTACATCTAGTTATAGATTACAGAGGCATAATCGCTAACCCCATCAGATGTGGTCTTATGTGTAAGAAAGACAAGGGTCATTTATCTTTTTTTTTTTTTTGAGATGGAATCTTGCTCTGTCACCCCGGCTGGAGTGCAGTGATGCGATCTTGGCTCACTGTAACCTCTGCCTCCCGGGTTCAAGCAATTCTCCTGCCTCAGCCTCCTGAGTAGCTGGGATTACAGGCACATGCCAAAATGCCCAGCTAATTTTTTTTGTATTTTCAGTAGAGACGGGGTTTCACCATGTTGGCCAGGCTGGTCTTGAACTCCTGACCTCAAATGATCCACCCGCCTCAGCATCCCAAATTGGTGGGATTACAGGCACGAGCCACCATGCCCTGTGGGTCATTTATCTTTTAAGGAATATAGTGACTCAGGCAAGAGATGTGGCGGGCCGTGTGCTCTATCCTGTTTTGTCTTCAAAGCACTTTTCCAAAGAGCTGTAGTCATCACAGAATCAGAAATTATGAAATTTTGCTTTGTGAAATTATGCTGGCAAGCAGAAATAAGCAACAATGACTTCTTACATTTGCTACTTGGTCTCACAAAGTTATTTGGGAATAAGTAGAAACATTGCAATGGGAAATGTGTGTGCCATGGCAACAATGGGCACATTTGGGGAGGTTGAGGTAGGGGGAAGCTTTTAAAGGCAAAAGAAGTACAGAAGTACAAGTAAGTTGTTTTGAAACAAAGGCAACATTGGTTACACAGGCTTATTTCAAATCACTTCTTTTGTTTGTTTGTTTGTTTGTTTGAGACAGAGTCTCTCTCTGTCACCCAGGCTGGGGTGCAGTGGAGTGATCTCGGCTCACTGCAACCTCTGCCCCCCGGGTTCCAGCGATTCTCCTGCCTCAGCCTCCCGAGTAGCTGGGTTACAGGCACCCAAAAGCAAGCCCAGCTAATTTTTGTATTTTTAGTAGAGACAGGGTTTCGCCATGTCGGCCAGGCTGGTCTCAAACTCCTGACCTCAGGTGATCCACCCACCTTGGCCTCCCAGAGTGCTAGGATTATAGACAAGAGCCACTGTGCCGGCCTTAAGCCACTTCTTTAGGAGAAACAGTGTATGGGGCAAGTGTTATATTTCTGGCTAACTGTCCTTATGCCTCATGTAGCCCTTGGCAGAAGTTCTTGTTACAGGCATATAAAAGGGCCACAGAGAGAGTCTTTCTTTGTAATATATATATATTTTTTGACAGGGTTTTACTCCCATAGCTCAGGCTGGAGTGCAATGGCGTGATGTTGGCTCACTGCAACCTCTGCTTCCTGGGCTCAAGTGATTCTCCAGGCATGTGCCACCGCACCCGGCTGATAACCTCATCTTGATACTGATATTTTTTATTCTCTGAAACCAGAAGATATGAGCTTGACTCTTGACTCCTCCATTTCCTAAAATAAAACCTTGCCAAGTTACTTAACCTTTCTAATTCTCATTAGTGAAACTGCAGTGCTCACTTAATGTGGTAGTTTTGAAGGTTAAATGAAGGAATACATGTATTACACATACCAGGCACATAGAAAGTACTCAATAAGGCCGGGTGCAGTGGCTTACGCCTGTAATCCCAGAACTTTGGGAGGCCAAGATGGGTGGATCACCTGAGGTCAGGAGTTTGAGACCAGCCTGGCCAACATGGTGTAACCCTGTCCCTACTAAAAATACAAAAATTAGCTGGGTGTGGTGGAGGGCGCCTGTAATCCCAGCTATTTAGGAGGCTGGGGCAGGAGAATCGCTTCAACCTGGGAGACGGAGGTGATCACACCATTGCACTCCAGCCAGGGTGATGAGAGCAAAACTCCGACTCAAAAAAAAAAAAGAAAGAAAGAAAGAAAAGAAAGTACTCAATAAATGAAGCAGCACATACATGGGAACAAGTATGACAGATACTGGTGACCTCAAGGAGAAAGCCAAAACTAGTAGTAAATAAAGTGAGGCCACAGCAGACGGAGGACTTGAAAACACCACAAAGAACCTTAGGTTATAAGAGTTTATCTTTCATCTCTAAGAAATTAAAGAACCACCAAAATTTTTTGAATAGGATTTTGAATACAATTTTGAAGATGGTATAGGAGTTTCAGCTACTCAGAAGGCTGAGGCAGGAGGATTACTTGAGCCCAGGAGGACAAGGCTACAGTGAGCTGCATTGGCATCACTGTACTTCAGCCTGGGTGAGAGAGCAACACACTGTCTCAAGAAAAATTTTAAAATATTAAAAAGGTACAGGTTATTTTAAAAAATAAAATATTCATCTGGAAGAAGTGTGCAAAATGGATTGACAAAGTTGGGGAAAGGGCCTAGAATAAAATAGAGGAACTAAGAGGTCACTATAGCAAGGTATACAGGAAATGATGAATGCCTGAAATAGAGTGAAAAACGTGTGATTAAATAAAAGAAGGAACACTTACAGATATCAGTTGTTTACTGATTAAAGGTATTAAAGGAGAACAAGGGGAAAACTGAAGGGTAAATATGATTCCAAGTTTTGAATCTGATAAAAGGGACATTGGTTGTGAAATTGAGAAAAGCCAATTTATTTTGTTTTGTCCTTTTTTTTTTTTTTTTTTTGAGAAGCAGGACTTTGATAAGTCAGTTTTAGGTCCTCCATTTGACATTCAAGATAAAATGTACTTGGCATATAAAGGCCTTATTAAGTGATGAATCAAAGTTAATTTAATTTTTGATGGTAGGCAGTTAAGTTAGATTAGCGCACCGGAGGGAGGACACAATCACAAATACTGGGGAGTCAAATTTCAAATGTTGTGCAGAAGGGTATAATAAAGATCTAGCAGAGCCCTAAACTTACAAATTTATCACCAGAGAAAAAGATCACAGCCACAGCACATCAAGCACATCACAGTCAAATAAAAAAGAAAGGTTTGGCCAGGCATGGTGGCTCACACCTGTAATCCCAGCACTTTGGGAGGCCAAGGCGGGTGGATCACGAGGTCAGGAGTTCAAGACCAGCCTGGCCAAGATGGTAAAAAAAAAAAAAAAAAAAAAAAATTAGCCAGGCGCGGTGGCAGGCACCTGTAATCCCAGCTACTCAGGAGGCTGAGGCAGGAGAATCACTTAAACTCGGAGGGCGGAGGTTGCAGTGAGCCGAGACCATGACACTGCACTCCAGCCTGGGCGACAGAGTGAGACTCTGTCTCAAAAAAACAAACAAACAAACAAAAAAAAAAAATTAGCTGGGTGCGGTGGCAGGTGCCTGTAATCCTAGCTACTTGGGAGGCTGAGGCAGGGAGAATTGCTTGAACCTGGCAGGTGGAGGTTGCAGTGAGCCCATATCGCACCACTGCACTCCAGCCTGGGTGACAGAGTAAGACTCTGTCTCAAAAAAAAAAAAAAAAAAATTTGAGAGGAAGAATCTTTTACTTAACGTTTCTGTCCTAACTGTGAAAACAGAAGTTAGGTTGGTTCCCTCAGAAAGTTTTGCTACAGTGCAGAACTATCTGTTAATGTAATCAGTTGCATGTGAAAACCTTAAGAATGAGAAGATCCAATGTATAAAGATCCAAGGTAAGAGGCCTTGAATCCCACAGGAAGCTACGTTTCAGGCTTCACTTGTAATCCTTTTTCCTTATGTTTCTGCACAACAATTTCCACCTTGGTTTGTACTATTTATGTCCTTTGCTTTCTATACAATTCTATAGAATTTTTATGTGACAAAGAAATTAGGCATTGTAAAGATTGAGATTTAAGTTCTTACTAAATTTAGAAGATGCATTGATCATGTGATCAGAGACTGTGTTTGCAAAGAAATAAAGTAATATATTTTACTGAGCCATGAGAAAATAGATTAAGGGGCAGTAAGAAGCGACAGTTTTTTTGTGTTTTTTTGTTTTTTTTCAACATATCATCAGTTCAAGAGTCAAAAATTTTGTGTCGTTTCTTTACTTTCATGGGGAAACATTCTTGTTCTTTTTAGTTTTACATACTGTAGAAGAGTATAAATATAATCATATATAATGGGATTAATCAGTAAAGAGGGCTGGGCACAGTGCCAGCACTTTGGGAGGCCAAGGCGAGTGGATCGCCTGAGGTCAGGAGTTGGAGAGCAGCCTGGCCAACATGGAGAACCCAAAACACAAAAATTAGCTGGGAGTGGTGGTGGGTGCCTGTAATCCCAGCTACTCGAGAGGCTGAGGCAGGAGAATCACTTGAACCCGGGAGGCGGAGGTTGCAGTGAGCCGAGATCACACCATTGCACTCCAGCCTGGGTGACAAGAGTGAAACTCCGTCAAAACAACAACAACAACAACAAACCAGCAGAGTAAGCATTTTCAAAGAGTTAAATCAAAATCTATGTGGAAAATGACAAATACAAAGATCAGCAATATTCTTGCAGTCAGCAGAAAAACATCTAATTTTGTCATAATATCAATAAACTCAAACTAGAAAGTTGTATCCTTTAACCCCAACTTTCTTTATTAGATTGTACTTTTAAAATCACTGCTGGGCATGGTGGCTCATGCCTGTAATCCTAGTACTTTGAGACGCTGAGGCAGGAGGATTGCTTGAGCCCAGGAAGTTGAGACCAACCTGGACAACATAGAGAGACCTCATCTCTACAAAAAGTGAAAAATTAGCCAAGCGTGGTGACACAGGCCTCTAGTCCCAGCTACTCAGGAGGCTTAGGCGGAGGGTGGCTTGAGCCTGGGATATCAAGGCTGCAGTGAGCTATGATGGTACCACCACACTCCAGCCTGGATGATAGAGTGAGACCTTGCCTCAAATTAAAAAAAAAAAATCAAACCAGAATATTTTAATTTTTAAAAACTTTAAATAATTTAATTTTTTTCTCCAGAATTCTAGGCTCTACAAACCAGAACATTCTTTTTTTTTTCATCTTACAATTTCATTGCATGCGTTTATTTTTATTATCATTTACTAACTGGTAAATGAATTCATCTCTTCATTTTTATACTTTGTGTCATTTTTTACTGGATATGCCTTTTGTAAGTATCACATAGCAAATTTTATGTAGTCAACAAATATTTAAAGAGCACTCACTATGTTATCAATCACATTTTTGTTTGTTCATTTGTTTGTTTTTGAGACGGAGGCTCGCTCTGTCACCCAGGCCAGAGTGCAGTGGCACAATCTCTGCTCACTGCAACCTCCACCTCCCGGGTTCAAGCGCCAATCACATTTTTAAAAATTATTGTACTTTAAGTTCTGGGATATATGTGCAGAACGTGCAGGTTTGTTACATAGGTATACACGTGCCATGGTGGTTTGCTGCACCCATCAACCTGTCATCTACATTAAGTATTTCTCCTAATGCGCTCCCTCCCCTAGCCCCCCACCCCCTGACAGCCCCAGTGTGTAATGTTCCCCTCCCTGTGTCCATGTGTTCTCATTGTTCAACTCCCACTTGTGAGTGAGAACATGCAGTGTTTGGTTTTCTGTTCCAGTGTTAGTTTGCTGAGAATGATGGTTTCCAGCTTCACCTATGTCCCTGCAAATGACATGAACTCATCCTTTTTTAAGGCTGCATAGTATTCCATGGTGTATATGTGTCACATTTTCTTCATCTAGTCTATCATTGATGGGCATTTGGGTTGGTTCCAAGTCTTTGCTATTGTGAAAAGTGCCACAATAAACATATGTGTGCATGTGTCTTTACAGTAGAATGATTTATAATGCTTTGGGTATATACCCAGTAACGGGATTGCTGGGTCAAATAGTATTTCTGTTTCTAGATCTTTGAGGAATCGCCACTCTGTCTTCCACAATGGTTGAACTAATTTACACTCCCACCAACAGTGTAAAAGCACTCCTATTTCTCCACATCCTCTCCAGCATCTTTTGTTTCCGGACTTTTTAATGATCGCCATTCTAACTGGCGTGAGATGGTATTTCACTGTGGTTTTGATTTGCATTTCTCTAATGACCGGTGATGATGAGCTTTTTTTCATATGTTTGTTGGCCACATAAATATCTTCTTTTAAGAAATGTCTGTTCATACTCTTGGCCCACTTTTTGATGGAGTTGTTTTTTTTCTTGTAAATTTGTTTAAGTTCTTTATAGATTCCAAACCAGAACATTCTAAAAGCATCAAAATGGTAGTCAAAATGCAAAGTTACTGTCTTTTATTACCAGGTAATATGTGTAACAGATATTCTGATCCTTAGTCTTGGATTTCTTAAACAAAAATTATGGGAGGCCATTGTTTCAAACTGAGCTCCTGCACTAGGCCCCCAAATACCAGATCAAACCAAAATGGATTCACTCATGCTAAAAGCCACATGCTCAACTGAAGGTTTAAGGAAGCAGATAGATCCCCAAACAGACCAATTTTTCCTGAAAGCAGGAGATTCCAGTCTACTTGAGTCTCCATAACAAGGAAGTCCCCTCTGCTTTAACCCTTACAAAAAACCCTACAAACCCCTTCTTTTTCTTTTTTCTCCTCCTCCTCTCCCTCCTCCTCCCCACTTTTTTTTTGGAGACAGGGACTTGTGCTATTGCCCAGCCTGGAGTGCAGTGGCACAATCATGGCTCACTGCAGCCTTGAACTCCTGGGCTCACCTGATTCTCCAGGCTCAGCCTCTTTAGTAGCTAGGACTAGAGGCATGCCCAGGCAATTTTTTGCTTTTTGTAGAGATGGAGTCTATGCTGTCCAGGCTGGTCTTAGAACTCAAACTCCTGGACTCAAGTGATCCTTCCACATTGGGCTCCCGAAGTGTTGGGGAGCCACCATGCCCAGCCTCCAACCGCGAATTTTTCTGTTGCTGTTTCTTTGTTCCCACCTTACAAAACCCAGTGTTTTATTATTGCCCAGCGGGAGTTTTCTTTCTAGTGTATAGAATGAAGGCTGCCCCACTCCTTGAATTGTGACTAAAAGTTAATTAGATATATAACTGAATTTGTTGTAATTTTGCCTTTGACAGATTTTTTTTTTTTTTTTTGAGAAGAGTTTTGCTCTTGTTGCCCAGGCTGGAGTGCAATGGTGTGATCTTGGCTCACCGCAACCTCCACCTACCGGGTTCAACAATTCTCCTGCCGCAGCCTCCTGAGTAGCCGGGGCTACAGGCACGCTCCATCATGCCTGGCTAATTTTTGAATTTTTAGTAGAGACGGGGTTTCTCCATGTTGCTCAGGCTGGTCTCTATCTCCTGGCCTCAGGTGATCCGCCTGCCTCAGCCTCCCAAAGTGCTGGGATTACAGGCGTGAGATACCGTGCCTGGCCAGATTTTACCTAATCCTTGCCTCGTAACCATGTCATAAATTTCATCTCAGAATAGGGCTGAGGGATGGTGTTGAGCTGTATATTGTACATTTGATTAGCTTTTCTGTTTGGTTTTTGTGTTTTTTTTTTTTTGTCTTTGTTGTTGTTTGCTTGTTTTTGAGACGGAGTCTCGCTCCGTCGCCCAGGCTGGAGTGCAGTGGCATGATCTCGGCTCACTGCAACCTCTGCCTCCTGGGTTCAAGCGATTCTCCTGCCTCAGCGTCCCGAGTAGCTGGGACTACAGGCGCCCACCACCATGCCCAGCTAATTTTTGCACTTTTTTTTTTTTTTACTCCAGACGGGGTTTCACCATATTGGCCAGGCTGGTCTCGAACTCCTGACGTTGTGATCCACTCACCTCGGCCTCCCAAAGTGCTAGGATTACAGACATGAGCCACTGCACCCGGCCGGTTTTTGTTTTTTAAATTCAAGGTTTTTTTGTTTTTTTATCTGTTTTTTTGAGACGGAATTTAGCTCGTTACCCAGGCTGGAGTGCAATGGCAGACCTGGGTTCACAGCAACCTCTGCCTCCCGGGTTCAAGCGATTCTCCTGCCTCAGCCTCCAGAGTAGCTGGGACTACAGGCGCCCTCTCCACGCAGGGCTAATTTTTGTTTTAGTAGAGACAGAGTTTCACCACGTTAGCCAGGATGGTCTTGATCTCCTGACCTCAGGTTATCTGCCTGCCTCGGCCTCCCAAAGTGCTGGGATTACAGGCTGAGTGACCACGCCTGGCCTAAGTAAAAGTTTAAAGGTTCGTTTTCTAGGCTATACACTGCAACCTCCGCCTCCCGGGTTCAAGTGATTCTCCTACCTCAGCCTCTGGAGTAGCTGGGACTATAGGCGCGTCCCACCACGCCGGGCTAATTGTTTGTATTTTTAGCAGAGTCAGGGTTTCACCGTGTTAGCCAGGATGGTCTTGATCTCCTGACATCACGATCCGCCCACCTTGGTTTCCCAAAGTGCTGGGAATACAAGTGTGAGCCACTGCGCCCAGCCCTAGGCTATACCTTTTTAAGCAGTCATGTATCCTACAAAAATATAGCGTTTCAACTACTATTTTGGGAGAATCTTTTTTAAATGTTTCTTTTTCTTTTCTTTTTTTTGTTCAAGCCATCTGCCTTCCTTGGCCTTCCAAAGTGCTAGGATTACAGGCTTGAGCCACCACGCCAGGCACAGGAGGAATATCTTAAGCAAACCCATTGTCCTACTACAGTAGCTAGTATGTGCTTCTAATGTAACAATTATCAAACACTTATCAAATAGTATTTAACTGTTTGTATTTTCCCTTACCAAACAGGAAGTGCTTACCTGCAGGGTTTTTGTCTAAATTTTTGAGTCTAGGGTCTAGCTTCATGCTGAGTACATAGTAAATGCTCAATTAAAAACAATTTTTTTTTCCTTTTTGGAGGGAGAGGGAGGACGGAAAAAAAGGAAAGAAAGGAAAAACGAAGGAAGAAAAAAGAGAGAAGGAAGAAGTCCATTTAGAATAGGAAGTTTATAACTGAACTACTAAATTTTTCACTTAAATCATTTAAACCTGATTTAAAGCATAAATATTATGTATAAATGTCTTAAATTAAAAATAGCGGCGGGGCGCGGTGGCTCACGCCTGTATTCCAGCACTTTGGGAAGCCAAGGCGGGCGGATCACGAGGTCAGGAGTTCGAGACTAGCCTGACCAACATGGTGAAATCCTGTCTCTACTAAAAAATACAAAAATTAGCTGCGCGTGGTGGCGTGCGCCTGTAATCCCAGCTACTCAGGAGGCTGAGGCAGGAGAATTGCTTGACCCCGGGAGGCAGAGGTTGCAGTGAGCCAAGATCGTGCCACTGCACTCCAGCCTGGATGACAGAGCGAGACTCCATCTCAAAAAATAGCAGCGGGGCGTGGTGGTTCATGCCTGTAATCCCAGACCTTTGGGAGGCTCAGACGGGTGGATCACCTGAGGTCGGAAGTTGGAGACTAGCCTGATCAACATGGAGAAACCCCGTCTCTACTAAAAATACAAAATTAGCCAGGCGTGGTGACTCATGGCTGTAATTCCAGCTACTCAGGAGGCTGAGGTAGGAGAATAGCTTGAACCTGGGAAGTGGAGTTTGCAGTAAGCGAGAATCGTGCCATTGCACTCCAGCCTGGGCAACAAGAGCAAAACTCCCGTCTCAACTCCATTTCTGTCTCTAAATGAATGAATGAATAAAGCATAGTAATGCTACAAAGTTGTTTTATTATGAAAATTTTAGGGCCAGGCGCCGTGGCTCGCGCCTGTAATCCCAGCACTTTGGGAGGCAGAGGCGGGTGGATCACCTTAAGTCATGAGTTCGAGACCAGCCTGCTCAACATGGTGAAACCTCGTCTCTACTAAAAATACAAAAATTAGCTGGGCTGGTAGTGGGCGCCGTAATCCCAGCCTTTCCGGATGCTGAGACAGGAGAATAGCTTGAACCTGGGAGGCGGAGGTTGCAGTGAGCCGAGATCATGCCATTGCAGTCCAGCCTGGGCAACAACAGTGAAACTCCACCTCAAAAAAAGAAAATTTAAAAACGTAGTTTATGTTTAAATATTACTTCAAATAGTTGTATGTCTTCCAGAATATATATTCCAAAATGAGGCCAGGCACAGTGTGGCCTCACACCTGAAATCCCAGCACTTTAGGAGGCAGAGGCGGGCAGATCACTTAGGCCAGGAGTTCGAGACCAGCCTGGCCAAAATGGTGAAACCCTGTCTTTACTAAAAATACAAAAATTAGCTGAGCGTGGTGGCGCACGCGTGCAGTCCCAGCTACTCAGGAGGTTGAGGCAGGCGAATCACTTGAACCAGAAGGCAGAGGTTGCAGTGAGCTGAGATTCTGCCACTGTACTCCAGCCTGGGTGGCAGAGAGAGATTCCATCTTAAAAAAAAAAATTTACTTCTCGTAAAACATTATACCAGTGTTCTCAAAGTGGGGGTCCCTGGACTAGCAACACCCACATCCCTTGGGATCTCCTAGAAATGGAAATTATCCAGTCCCTCCCTACATCTTTTGTATCAGAAACTCTGAGTGCCGGTTCTATCATTCTGTTTTAATAACTACTACAGGTGATTCAGATGCTATTCA
This sequence comes from Homo sapiens, assembly GCF_000001405.40. NCBI lineage: Eukaryota > Metazoa > Chordata > Mammalia > Primates > Hominidae > Homo > Homo sapiens. The sequence continues at coordinate 61,726,040 of NC_000001.11, read as the reverse complement.
AAGTTTGAGAACCACCAAAGTTAGTGCTAAAGTATGGATGAAGAAGCACCACTCAAGTTCAAATTTTTATATTGTTAGACAAAAAAAAGATTAAACTTAACTTTACGAAAACATTTTTTCCTCACTGTTAAAGTTCCCCACCACAGAACTTTTAGAACATATAGAAATTTAAAAACAACAGATGGAGGAAAAAAAATCTTCAACTTTTCACTTAATCATAAACTATTTGGTTTCCTCTTGTTACAGTTTCCACCCCCCAAATTATCCCCCACCTAAATTGTCACTTTTTTTTTTTAAAAGGCGTAATGTCTCTCACAGTTTTTAAGTTCTGTTCGTGGCAGCCTTCCAAAATCCTTCTCTAAAGTTACAGGAGGACATTATGTCAATTAGTAAGAGCATAGATCTGAAATCTGGCAAACATCAATTTCATTCCGACTGAGTCACTTAGTGATTAAGGTCAGTGTGTTTCAGCGTCTTTGAGCCTTGTTCCTTATCTGTAAACCCAAAACCTATCAGGGCTAACTGCGATGATGTCAGGAAAGCATTGATTCCAACCTCTGACGCCGCTGGCACTTTCAGAGGACCGAGAAGCCTCAGCTAAGGGCGCGGGAATGAGAAGCGGGTGAAGCACCTGATTGCCTAAACCACTCGTTTCCTTCCTCCAGCACTCAAAGATTAACCTTAGCTCCTTCCAAGGGTTCGTGGGGGAAAATTCGCCTCGAGGGACTGGGTACATGCATATTTTAAAAGGGTCTCCCAATGTGATTCCACGGGCTCACGGGCAGAAGAACACGCGAAGAGACGGAACTGGCCTCTATCCTATGCGAGGTCCCTTTAAGAACCTCGCCCTGTTGCCCTTCTCCCTCCCGCTCCTGGGCGGAGGCGGAAGCGGAAGTGGCGAGAAAGTGTCGGTCTCCAAGATGGCGGCCGCCTGGCCGTCTGGTCCGTCTGCTCCGGAGGCCGTGACGGCCAGACTCGTTGGTGTCCTGTGGTTCGTCTCAGTCACTACAGGACCCTGGGGGGCTGTTGCCACCTCCGCCGGGGGCGAGGAGTCGCTTAAGTGCGAGGACCTCAAAGTGGGACAATATCCTCTGTGGAGAACACCCCCCCATGGAGGCGAGGTAGAGTTGGGGTCGCAGGTGGGTCGCTGCCGTCAGGACTGGCTAGGGCTGTACTGAGTGAAAACGATAATCTGATCTGTGGCTTCTAATGACTGAAGGATCCCTGAAGGTGAACAGAGTTGTGGAGATGGGAGGGCCAGAGGCCACCCTTTGTGATTTCCTTATGATTTTACTAGTCATTGGCGCTTCCTCTTCTGATCCACTTTTTTTTTCTTTTTTATCAGTGTGCTTACTTGTTCAGTAAAACATGTAGATCCTGAAGTATGCCAGGCCCCGTTCTAGACACTAGTAATACAAAGATGGATAGTCTCTTACCCTGGAAATGTTTGCCAACTCTTCCTAGGGGGAAGACAAGTAATAACGATCTAGCCAATGTGTTGCCCATTTATCATTAACTTTATGTATATTATGCATATTACCTCATGTCATCTTCAAACTTCATGAGATGGTAGACTGCCAGACAAATTTCTTTCTGTTTTCTTTTTTTGAGACAGGGTCTTACTCTGTCGCCCTGGCTGGAGTACAGTGGCACGATCTCAGCTCACTGCAGCCTCCGCCTCCCGGGTTCAGTCAATTCTCCTGCCTCAGCCTCCTGAGTAGCTGGGACTACAGGCATGCGCCACCACACCCGGGTAATTTTTGTATTTTTAGTAGAGACGGGGTTTACGCCATGTTGGCCAGGCTGGTCTTGAACTCCTGGTCTCAAGCGATCCGCATCCCCCTCACCATGAACCACCGCGTGGGGACTCAGTGGATAAATTTCTGTTGCACTTTGCAACCTTGGGTGACCTATTTGAACTCTGTTTTCTCATGAGTAAAAACGTGGATAATTATGGGGCAAATTTAAAGGTTTATTGTAATGTTTATGTATTATTATATTATTTGTAGAGACAGACTTCTCGTTATGTTGCCCAGGCTGTTCTTCCCAAACTCCTGGGCTCCAGTGATCCTCCTGCCTCAAGTATTACTTAGCAATACTAAAAGTATATTTGTACATATGCTTATTGACTTGGACAAACTAGCAGCCTCTATTTACATGTGAATATCAACATGAGTATATAATATGAATAGTAAAGGCATGATAATGTGTTGTGTTGGAATGTAGTCCGTATTTCCTTAACTTTTTTTTTTACATATATTTGTAAAGATCCAAAAATAAATGACGCTACGCAAGAACCAGTTAACTGTACAAACTACACAGCTCATGGTAAGACTTCAAGAAACATGTCTTTAAAAATAATTTTAAAAACATTATTTCATAGGTCAATGTATGATCACTAAAGGCAATTAATAAATGCATTTTTTCTAAATGATAACATTATTATTCAGTTTCCAGAGTAACTTAAAACTGGAGAACTACCTAGAGGTTGTCAGTATTTAATTTAAAAAAGAATCTTACTTGTTCTGAAATGGTGAAATTTCACCATATAAACAATAATAGGGCTGGACGTGGATGTTCCCAGATTCAGTTAGGCAAGTGTACTTATATTTTATATACTTTATTTTCCCCAAATTAATAAGCATATCATTCCCTCACATGGAAAGTCTTCCTTTTATTTTCCTTTAGCTCTCCACTTATATCATCTATGAATACTTACCTGATAGTTCTTGGCTAGTGCCATAATACCTACAAGTCCTTTCTGCTTCCCAGCAACTTCATCACTATCGTTTATGTCACTTTGATAAATGTCATTTCTATTACTTTGATTATATTACTTTGGTTTATATTTGATTATATTTATTTGATTTGGGGTATGTGTTTATGTGTGTGTATTTAACATTCAGTTGGCACCAAAATGATTTTTTACATGTTTATGAATTTATTTATCAATAATTCTTAAGTGGATTCAACATTTTATTCCAGAGGACACCTAACTGGAGGGCAGGAGGGCAGACTTCTTTTGGGATAGAAATTCTTTTTAGTTGTGTCATTTCCTTTGAAATCTCCATATATACAAAACAACCCTCTAGGCGAGAAAAATACTTTTTTTATTTTTATTTTTGAGACAGCTGGCTGCCAGCTTCCCAGTATGAAGTGAGATGCTTGAGTTACACTAGTATTCACAGATTTCTAGCATCTTTCATATGAATGATTGAAACAACTATTTGAGAACTAACTCTTCTTTATGTGTAACTCTATTCTGTATTCTGAAAACTATGATATAAACAACTTCAAAGTGTAAAACAGGCAAATCAAAGGATATTTATAAGTTAACTACAAAGGAAAGGATTACTTACAAAGTTCCTTTAAATGGCCAGGCATGGTGGCTCACACCTGTAATCCGAGCACTTTGGGAGGCCAAGGCGGGTGGATCACGAGGTCAGGAGTTCAACACCAGCCTGGCCAACATGGTGAAACCCCGTCTCTACTAAAAGTAGAAAAATTAGCCAGGTGCAGTGATGGGCACCTGTAATCCCAGCTACTCGGGAGGCTGAGGCAGGATAATTGCTTGAACCTGGGAGGCAGAGGTTACAGTGAGCCGAGATCGCGCCATTGCACTCTGGCCTGGGTGACAGAGCAAGACTCTGTCTCTGGGGCGGAAAAAGTTTCTTTAAGCGTAATATATCTAAATAAAATAAATGTATACATACTAAGCAATATCTCCTCTATAAGGCATATATTATTACTTTTCTTTCTGGGTGTCTCATTATGTCACCCAGGCTGGAGTGCAGTGGTGCCATCTCAGTTCACTGCAACCTCCACCTCCCAGGATCAAGTGATCCTCCCACCTCGGCCTCTGGAGTAGCTGGGACTACAGGTGTGCGTCACCACGCCCAGCTAATTTATTTTATTTTATTTTTGTATTTTTGGTAGAGACAAGGTTTCGTCATGTTGCCCAGGCTGGTCTCAAACTCTTGGGTTCAAGCAATCTGCCTGCCTGGGCCTCCCAAAAAAAGTGCTGGGTTTACAGGCATGAACCACCAGGACTGGCTCCCTGACTTTTTTTTTTTTTTTTTTTTTTTTTTTAGCTGTAGAGATGAGGGTCTCCCTATATTGTCCAGCCTCGTCTTGAACTCATAGGCTCAAGCAGTTCTCTTGCTTTGGTCTCCTAAAGTGGTGGGATGACAGGCATGAGCCACTGTGCCTGGCTAATTGCCTTTTTTAAAACACACAAAAGCTCATGGACTAACTATGGTGAATCAATTCTAACTCCTGATCAGAGACAGATATCAAAATAGCTCATGAAACATGCTTTTTGGTTCTAACATAGGAGAAAAATATTAAGAGTTGTGAAAAGTGTGAGTTAAGTGATCTCTCTCATTCTTCCAGCCAAAATTATTTTTCCTTTGTTTTTTTCACTGAGTATATGAAGAACTATTGTGAAATTCTCAAACTATGTTTACTTTTCTTTTTCTTTTTTCTTTTTTTTTTTTTTTGAGACAGAGTCTCACTCTGTCGCTCAGGCTGGAGTGCAGTGGCGCAATCTCAGCTCATTGCAACCTCTGCCTCCCGGATTCAAGTGATTCTCCTGCCTCAGCCTCCCAAGTAGCTGGGATTATAGGCGTGCACCACCATGCCCAGCTAATCTTTGTATTTTTAGTAGAGGCAGGGTTTCGCCGTATTGGCCAGGTTGGTCTTGAAGTCCTGACCTCAGGTGATCCACCTGCCTCGTCCTCCCAAAGTGCTGGGATTATAGGTGTGAGCCACTGAGCCCAGCCTAATTTTCTTCTTTCTTTTTCTTTTTTTTAAGACAGGATCTCACTCTGTCACCCAGGCTAGACTGCAGTGGCACCGTCTTAGCTCACTGCAACCTCCACCTCCCAGGCTCAGGAGATCCTCCCACCTCAGCCTCTTGAGTAGCTGGGACTACAGGTACATGCCACTACACCTGGCTAATTTTTTGTATTTTTTTGGAGGGGTGAGTAGCGATGGGATGTACCATGTTGCCTAGGCTGGTCTGGAACTCCTGGGCTCAAGCGATCCACCTGCTTGGCTTTCCAAAGTGCTGGGATTACAGACATGAGCCACCACACCTGGCTGTTCAATTTTCATAAACTAATGTTTGGGTAGGGATGAACGTGAGCAGTGTTTTACAGAGGGGAGTTTGGGGCTAGTGAGTAGGAATTGGGACAAAAGGCAAAGGAAATTCATCTATGACAATAAATTGATGTGATCTTAAAATGGTTCTTGGTTAGCTCAGTATCATTCAATAAGTGCATTTGTTTATTGAGAAAGTATTTATTGGTAATGAATAATTTAAAACTAAATTTACTTTATTAAGACAATTTATATTACAAAATATTGTTATTGATTGAGAATTTGTTCATTTATTTATATTTATTTATTAAGAAATTATTACGTGGCAGGCATCTGCTTGGTGGTATAGGTGATATACAAAAGAAGACATAATCCCTGCCCTCAAGAAGTGTTCTGTCAGCCCGGGTGAGGTGGCTCACACCTATAATCCCATCACTTTGGGAGGCTGAGGTGTGCGGATCATGTGAGGTCAGGAGTTTGAGACCAGTCTGGCAAACATGGCGAAACCCTGTCTCTACTAAAAATAGAAAAATTAGCCAGGCGTAGTGGCACATGCCTGTAGTCCCAGCAACTTGGGAGGCTGAGGCAGGAGACTTGCTTGAACCTGGGAGGCGGAGGTTGCAGTGAGCCGAGGTCACGCCACTGCACTCCAGCCTGGGCGACAGAGCCAGACTCTGTCTAAAAAAAGAAAAAAAAAAAGAAGTGTCCTGTCTGGGTTACATACACATATATCAGCAAGTATTTTCAATTTTTCTATCACTGAAATACAAAAAATATTTAGATTTCACTTCCAGAAAATTTTGCTATGGTCTTTTGACAGAAGTCTTCTTTATTTTCTTAAGTTTGTATTAAAGTATAGTATGTTTACAGAAAAGTGCATCTAAGTATAATTCAGATGATTTTCACAAACGACACACCTGTGAATGCTTCCAGATCAAGAAACAACATTATCAACATGGCAGAAGCCCTCTTCATAGTCTTTTATAGTCACTACTCTGCCTCAGTGGGTAACCACTATTTATTCTAACTTCTGACTGTAAATTAGTGTTGCAAACAGTATATTATTTTTTATCTTTTTATTTGGCGATAGTTTCAAACCTACCGAAAAGTTAGAAGAATAAGAGTAGTATAAAGCACTCCACCCTAGGCTGAGCGTGGTGGCTCATGCCTGTAATCTCAGCACTTGGGGAGGCCGAGGCAGGTGGGTCACCTGAGGTCAGGAGTTCAAGACCAGCCCCACCAACATGGAGAAACCCCGTCTCTACTAAAAAAAATACAAAATTAGCTGGGCGTGCTGACGCATGCCTGTAATCCCAGCTACTTGGGAGGCTGAAGCAGGAGAATTGCTTGAACCCGGGAGGTGGAGGTTGCAGTGAGCCAAGATTGCGCCACTGCACTCTAGCCTGGGCAACAAGAGTGAAACTCCGTCTCAAAACAAACAAAAACAAAAAAACCCACAAAACTCCATCCATATACCCTTTACCCAGATTGACCAATTGTTAACATACTCTCTCTCTCTCTCTCTCTCTCTGTGTATATACTTTTTTCTGCCACTAGAAATACTTTTGTGTTTTTCTGTAGAGATGTTCCAGGTCAGATGTGGTGGCCCATGCCTGTAATCCCAGCACTTTGGGAGGCTTAGGTGGGCAGATCACTTGAACCCAGGAGTTCTAGACCAGCCTGGGCTATGTGGTGAAACCCCGTCTCTACAAAAAACTAGCCAGGCATGGTGACGCACATGTGTAGTCCCAGCTACTTGGGAGGCTGATAACTGAGTCAGAGAGGTGAGGCTGCAGTGAGCCCTGATTGTGTCAGTGCACTCTAGCCTGGGCGACAGAGCAAGACCCTGTCTCCAAAAAATAAATAAATAAAAAATAAAACAAAAAAATGAAAATAGAAATATTTTCTTAACATGCAGTTCAGTTACCAACTTTAGTAAATTTAATTTATTAATACACATGCTTTAATCCATATTCTTATTTTATCAAATGACCCAAATAATGCCTTTTTAGCATTTTCTCCCAGTACAGGATCCTAAAATCAGATTTTACATTTAGTTTTCTTTAAATTGGTGCATTTCCACAACTTTCTTTGTCTTTTATGGCATTGACTTACATGTTTGATGACTACAGCCTCCCTTTATTTTAATAGAATGTTCCTCATTGGGACTGTCTGATATTTCCTTATGATTAGACTTAGGATATACATTCCACGCTGTAAAGTAACATAATTGATGGAGTGTCCTTCCCAACATCTCACATCTGGGGGCATATGATAACTATCTCTTTCTCCTTGGTGATGTTAATTGTTTATCACTTAGCTTTTTCTACTGTATAGTTAGTATTTTTTTCTTTGCAACTATAAATAATCTAAAGGGATGCTCATTAAGGCCATGCAGATATCCCCCTACCACCCCTAGATTTACATCCCATTAATGATTCTGGCCTGAACTATTCTTTTTTTATAGACTGGTCAACACCTCATTCCATAAAATGGAAAAAGTGTTCCTGCAACTATTCTTTATTCTGATAGTTGCAAAATGATTATTTTCCAAACCTAGCACTCTCAGAGGAGAACTCTTTTAATGCCAAAAATATGGAGATGGGATTGGCTCTTGCCAACTTTATTTTTCTCTCTCTTTTTTTTTTTTGGAGATGGGGTCTCACTCTGTCACTCAGGCTGGAGTTTGGTCGCAGGATCTCTGCTCACTCTAACCTCCACCTCCCAGGCTCAAGTGATCCTCCCACCTTAGCCTCACCACGCCCAGCTAATTTTTGCATTTTTTTGTAGAGATGGGGTTTTACGGTGTTGCCCAAGCTGGTTTCTAACTCCTGAGCTCAAGCAATCCACTTGCCTCGGCCTCCGAAAGTGTTGGAATTACAGTTGTGAGCCACCACACCTGGCGTTTTTTGTTGTTGTTTTTGGAGACATGGTCTCGCTGCTTTGTAGCCCAGGCTGAAGTGCAGTGGTGCGATCACGGCTCACTGCAGCCTCCATCTTCAGGACTCAAGCGATCCTCCTGCCTCAGCCACCCAAGTAGCTGGGATTACAGACATGCGCCACCAGTCCCTAAGTATTTTTTGCAGAGTTGCCCAGGCTAAATTTAGTCCTTTTTTTTTTATTGTTATGAAACTTCATTGTCTGATTACATTATTTCTGGTTTAACATTTGTGTATTTGAAAAACATCACTGGTTTCTATACCAGGTGTGGTGGTGGTGTGTGCCTGTAATCCTGGCTATTTGGTAGTCTGAGGCTGGAGGATGTCTTGAGCGCAGGACTTCGAGGCTACAGTGAGCTGTGATCATGCCACTTCACTCCATCTTGGGCAACGGAGTGAAACCCTGTCTCTAAAAAGAAACCAGTCAAACAAAAAAAACCACACTGTTGCTTTTTATAATGAATACTGTGTAGTTATTGGCTGGAATTGATATTATCTAAATCCTAGACATTGGTCAGAACCAAACCTTTTTGCAAGAAAACTGCAAATTGAATAGTTTTCAGGCTTATAGCATGTTGCTTAATTTTGTCTACTAGGTAACATTTACTGATAACTGGCTTCTTTTTTTTTTTTTGAGGCGGAGTCTTGCTCTGTTTCCCAGGCTGGAGTGCAGTGGCACTATCTCGGCTCACTGCAAGCTCTGCCTCCCAGGTTCACGCCATTATCCAGCCTCAGCCTCCCAAGTAGCTGGGACTAGAGGTGCCCGCCACCACGCCCGGCTAATTGTTTTTTTTTTTTTGTTTTGTTTTGTATTTTTAGTAGAGAAGGGGTTTCACCGTGTTAGCCAGGATGGTCTCGATCTCCTGACCTCATGATCCGCTGGCCTCGGCCTCCCAAAGTGCTGGGATTCCAGGCGTGAGCCACTGCACCCGGCCATAACTGGCTTGTTTGATCTTGTCATATTGATTTGTTTATTTTTGCTTATTGCTGAAATCAGTGTTAGCATGGGATAATTATGATATAATGGAAAGAGTATTGATTAAGGGTAATGAGTTTTAGTCTAGGATTTAGAGAGTATTATTTGCTTTTTAGTCAACTCATTTAATTTCTTAGAACCTCAGTTTTCCTGTTTGTGAAAGGAAAGAAAAAGAAATATTGTGAATTTGCTTACTTAACAAGTTCTTCTTTCTTACAAGGATGAAATGAAATCATTATAAAGTATGTCTAAACAAATAAACTCTAGGGTTGTAGGCTTCTTTTGAATTGATTAATTTCATATCATAAAATCTTACGTTATTTTTATAGCCACTCACAATGTTATATTCATTTCTTTTTTAGTCTTCGAAGTGTTGAATTTCTCTGATTTCCTAGAGTGGGGAATCTAACTCTCTTTTTGTGTGTGTGTGTGTATATATATATATAAAATTATATACATATATAAAATTATATACATATATAAAATTATACACATATATAATTATATACATATATAAAATTATATATAATTATATACGTATATAAAATTATATATAATTATATATGTATATAAAATTATATATAATTATACACTTATATATAATTATATACATATATAAAATTATATATGTAATTATATATAAAATTATATAATTATATATAAAATTAAATATGTATATAATATTTGTTGGGGGGTTGGCGGAGAGTAGAGAGAGGCCTTACTCTGTCGCCCAGGCTGTAGTGCAATGGCAGGATCGTAGCTTACTGCAGCCTGGATCTCCTAGGCTCAAGAGATCTTCCTGCCTCAGCTTCCCGAGTAGCTAGGACTACAGGCACATGCCACCATGCCTGGCTAATTTTTTTTTTCTTTAGAGACAGAGTCTCACTATGTTGCCCAGGCTTGTCTTAAATTCCTGGGCTCGGCTGGGCGTGGTGGCTCATGCCTGTAATCCCAGCACTTTGGGAGGCCGAGGCGGGTGGATCACGAGGTCAGGAGATCGAGACCATCCTGGCTAACATGGTGAAACCCCGTCTCTACTAAAAATACAAAAAAAAAATTAGCTGGGCATGGTGGTGGGCACCTGTAGTCCCAGCTACTCGGGAGGCTGAGGCAGGAGAATGGCGTGAACCTGGGAGGTGGAGCTTGCAGTGAGCCGAGATCGCGCCACTGTACTCCAGCCTGGGTGACAGAGCCAGACTCCGTCTCAAAAAAACAAAAAAATAAACAAAAAAACCTCCTGGGCTCAAGCCCCTAAACACTTTTTGAATACCTTTTCTAACCAAGCACCATGCTTTACACAACATATGCTTTTTCTTTTTCTTTTCTTTGCTTTTTTTTCCTTCTTTCTTGTTTTTTTTTTTTTTTTTTTTTTTTTTTTTTGAGACAGTCTTGCTCTGTCACCCAGGCTTTAGTTCAGTGGTGCCATCTCGGCTCACTGCAACCACTGCCTCTCGGGTTCAAGCAATTCTTGTGCCTCAGCCTCTTCAGTAGCTGGGACTACGGATGCAGGTCACCATGCCTGGCTAATTTGTGTATTTTTAGTAGAGACGGGGTTTTACCATGTTGGCCAGGCTGGTCTCGAATTCCTGGACTCAAGTGATCCAAAGTGCTGGGATTAGAGACGTGAGCTACCATGCCCAGCCTGTATGCTTTTTAAATGTATATAACAGGAGTATAAAAGATATGTCCCATGTCACAGATTGGAAACACGATTCAGAGAGGTTTTATTTTTCTTGAAGGAACATGCTAGTTAAGTGACAGGACTTAAATCCAAATCTGTCTAGTTCTAAAGTCCTGCTCTTTGGAGTTCTCGATCTTTTCAAATAAATCATTCTGAGTTTCTCTCATTATTTTCTCATGTCTTCTGTCTACTTATTTGGAGCAACAGTTCATCCTCTTTTCACTCAAGTATATAATTTTCATCCCTTGAAATAAGTAGCTCAAATGTATGTCAAAATTCTTGAATCATTGCAATGTGGTTTTCCCGTCACGATGGTACCTCTTTCCACTATGGTGTCTTTCCTGAGTATCTAATCCTGGAGTGTTGGGCTTTTTTCTCTCTTTCATCTTTTTTATGTTGTATACAAAGCAGCTATTAGAAATGATTAAATATTGAAAACTAAAACTCTCAAAATATGAGATTTTGGACAATTGGTACTATCTAGTTGAAAAATAGATACTGTTGGCTGGGCATGGTGGCTCACACCTTTGGGAGGCCGAAATGGGTGGATTGCTTGAGCCCAGGAGTTTGAGACCAGCTTGGGCAACGTGGTGAAAACCTGTCTCTACAAAAAAATACAAAAATTAGCCAGGCTTGGTGGCACACACCTATAGTACCACCTACTTGGGAGACTGAGGCGGGAGGGTCTCTTAAGCCCAGGGGGTTGAGGCTGCAGTGAGCCGTAATCGTGCCATTGCACTCTAGCCTGGGTGACAAGACCCTGCCACAAAAATAAAGCGAAAGAAAGGGCTCTTTAGTTTTTTTTGGACAGAGTCTTGCTGTGTCACCCAGGCTGGAGTGCAGTGGCGCGACCTCAGCTCACTGAAACCTCCGCTTCCCGGGTCCAAGCAATTTTCCTGCCTCAGCCTCCTGACTAGCTGGGATTACTGGCACAGGCCAGCATGCCCGGCTGATTTTTCTATTTTTAGTAGAGACGGTGTTTTACCATGTTGGCCAGGCTGGTCTTGAACTCCTGACCTGGTGATCCACCCACCTCGGCCTCCCAAAGTGCTGGGATTACAGGTGTGAGCCACTGCGCCCATCCAGGGCTCTTTAGTTTTTAATATTTTTTACCAGGCATTTTCAACTCACCTAGAAATATTTGGTTTTTGGCCGGGCGCGGTGGCTCAGGCCTGTAATCCCAGCACTTTGGGAGGCCGAGGCGGGTGGATCATGAGGTCAGGAGATCGAGACCATCCTGGCTAACAAGGTGAAACCCCGTCTCTACTAAAAATACAAAAAATTAGCCGGGCGCGGTGGCGGGCGCCTGTAGTCCCAGCTACTCGGGAGGCTGAGGCAGGAGAATGGCGTGAACCCGGGAAGCGGAGCTTGCAGTGAGCCGAGATTGCGCCACTGCAGTCCGCAGTCCGGCCTGGGCGACAGAGCGAGACTCCGTCTCAAAAAAAAAAAAAAAAAAAAAAGAAATATTTGGTTTTTAAAAGTTTTGTACAGAAACCTGTCATCTCAAAAAAACAGTGCATTTCTGTTAGGCAAGGTATATTGGAAAATATCCCCAGCTGGTATCATAATAAGTGTCTTGTATTGCAACTGTCTCTTTAAGACCTGATTTTAGATAATCTGCAGGAAGATCTCACAAGGCTGTATGACAAGAAAGTGACAGCTTCAGACTAAGCAAGTGCAAGGTAGATACTTGTAGAGAAAAATGATCTACAATCTAGTAATACTGTGCTTTCTGGCACACTTAATCTACTTACTGGCTTGAGGATATGAAAAGATTTAAAGCTGCTTTTTGAGAAAAAAAACCTGTGTTTATAGATACTTTTGCAGACCCCTCCTTTTTTTTTTTTTTTTTTTTTGTTTTTGAGTTGCGGGGGGTCTTGTCCTCTTACCCAGGCTGGAGTGTAAGTGGCATGATTGTGGCTTACTGCAACCTATGTCTCCCAGGCTCAAGCAATTCTCCTGCCTCAGCCTCCTGAGTAGCTGGGACCACAGGCACATGTCACCACGCCTGGCTAATTTTTTGTATTTTTGATAGAGATGGGTTTCACCATGTTGGCCAGACTGGTCTTGAACTCCTGGCTGCAAGCAATTCACCTGCCTCGGCCTCCCAAAGTGCTGGGATTACAGGCATGAGCCGCTGCACCCGGCCTAGATTCTCAGCTTTTTTTTTTTTTTGAGGTGGAGTCTCATTCTATCTCCCTGGCTGAAGTGCAGTGGCGCAATCTCAACTCACTACAACCTCTGCCTCCTGGGTTCAAGCGATCCTCCTGCCTCAGCCTCCCAAGTAGCTGGGATTTCAGGTGTGTGCCACCACACCCCACTGATTTTTGTCTTTTTAGTAGAGACAGGGTTTCACCATGTTGGTCAGGTGACCTGACCTCAAGTGATCCTCCTGCCTTGGCCTCCCAGAGTGCTGGGATTACAGGCATGAGTCACTGTGCCCAGCCAATTCTCAGCTTTTAAGTGTGCACTCTTTCCTAAAATTGATGTAAAATTGTGGAATTTTAGAGAGTAGTTCTTTCATATCTGTTCTCCAGTGGATCATGATGGCTGTGAAATTGCTGTGGTGTTTAGAGTCCACTTTGAAGAGTGCTATAACATGTTAATTTTCATGATAGTATTAAATATACTGGAGGCTGGGTACGGTGGCTCACACCTGTAATCCCAGCACTTTGGGAGACTGAGGCGGGTGAATTACTTGAGGCCAGGAGTTCGAGACTAGCCTAGCCAACATGGTGAAACCCCATCTCTACTAAAAATACAAAAATTAATTGGACATGGTAGCAGGTGCCTATAATCCCAGCTACTGGAGAGGCTGAGACATGAGAATTGCTTGAACCCAGGAGACGGAGGTTGCAGTGAGCTGAGATCGCACCAGGGCACTCCAGCCTGTGCAATAGAGTGAGACTCGGTTTCAATAAATAAATGAACAAACTGGAAATGACATTTTTTCCAACCATTTAAATTCATGTTGAAAAATTTTAGATGTCTGTTTAAATGTGTGAGGGCATATATAGTTTATAAAAATTTAATTTATAGCAGGTATATGTGCAGAATTTTTTTGAAGATGACTAATCTATAGCAGGGTTTCTCAACCTCAGTGCTATTGATTTTTTGGACTGGGTAATTCATTGTTGTGGGGAGGCTATCTTGTGCACTGTAGGATGTTTATGAGTATCCCTGGTCTGTACTCACTATATGCCCCTAGCAGCTCCCCAGTGACAACTGAAAATGTTTCCAGACCTTGCCAAATGTCCTCTGGGGAGTAAAAATGCCCCAGTTAAGAATTACTGATTTTACTGAGTTAGGGCTAGTTACATCATGGTGGCTCACACCTGTAATCCCAGTACTTTGAGTGGCTGAGGCAGGAGGATCTCCTGAGGCCAGGAGTTCCAGCCTGGCCAACATCAAAACCTCATCTCTTAAAAAAAAAAAAGAATTAGTGATCTAAAACCATGTTGATCTCCTTTCAGTGACATAGAATTTATATCAACATTTCAGACTTTTGCTGACCTCAACTTTGAGTTGTCTACTATATAACTAATCAAAAGCATGATCCAAGATGGAAGATTTTCAAGAGATATAATCTAAAGGATGTCACATTAATTCATTGGCAAAAGTCAATAAATTTTATCCCTGTGCCAAGGCAGGTAGCCAAATAGCTACATACCAATTGCCTGTTAAGTTCTGCCACATCTCTTTGTATTTTTTTTTTTTTTGAGACGGTCTCACTCTGTTGCCCAGGCTGGAGTGCAGTGGCATGATCACAGCTCACTGCAGCCTTGACCTCCCAGTCCTGCCTCAGCCTCCTGACAACAGGTGAGCACCACCATGCCTGACCAATTATTTTATTTTTTGTAGAGATGGGGATCTCTCCATGTTGCCCAGGCTGGTCTCAGACTACTGGGCTCAAGCAGTCCTCCCTCCTCTATATCCCAAAGTGCTGGGATTACAGGCGTGAGTCACTCTTCTGTCCACATCTCTTTGTATATTTTTTTTTCTTTTTTTTTTTTTTGAGGTGGAGTTTCACTCTTTCACCCAGGCTGGAATGCAATGGTGCGATCTCGGCTCACTGCAACCTCCATCTCCCAGGTTCAAGTGATTTTCCTGCCCCAGCCTCTCATGTAGCTGGGATTACAGGTGCCCGCCACCATGCCTGGCTAATTTTTTGTAGAGATGGGTTTTCGCCATGTTGCCCAGGCTGGTGTCGCACTCCAAACCTCAAGTGATCCATCTGCCTCGGCCTCTCAAAGTGCTGGGATCACAGGCTTGAGCCATTGAGCCACCGCGCCCGACCGCCCTTTGTTTTATTAAAATGGTTCTCAGTTTTATTGAATCTGTGCGTTTTATTATAAACACCACCTTGTTTTAGAAATTTCCATGCATTAAATAAATACAATTTATGGGGTAATGTAGTTAGAACTATCAGTAACCTGACAAATAGGTGTAGAAGTCATTATAGGGTTTGTTTGTTTTTTTAACCATCGTTTTCTCAGTGTACTATTCTTGCCTAAAAGAGGACAATGATTTGTTGGAAATCTTAGGATAATTATAAATGATAGAAAATACTATCTTTCTTTCCTAATCAAACTCTAGGTTCTCTGTTTTTACTTTATTATACACAGTTTTATTTTAAAAAAATATGTAATTCTTGATGCTAAACATAGAGGTAAGCTTTTTCTGAAACTAATCTAAAAGTATTAGTACTTTTCAGTCTAAAATGTTGATTTATTGAATACCTGCAATATACTGTGCCTTCTGCCAGGTACTTTTATATATTCTTACAATGGTGCTATGAGGTGGGTAGTCGTATATGTGTGTGTGTGTGTGTGTGTGTGTGTATGTGTGTATATGTGTGTGTGTGTGTGTATATATATATATGTATATATATATATACATTTTTTTTTTTTTTTTTTTTTGGGACAGGGTCTTGCTCTGTCACCCAGGCTGGAGGGCAGTGGCACAATCTTGGCTCCCTGCTATGTCTGCCTCTCAGGCCCAAGTGATCCTCTCACCTCAGCCTCCCAAGTATCTGGGATCACAGGCACAAGCCACCATGCCTGGCAAATTTTTGTATTGTTTTGTAGAGATGGGGTGTCGCCATGTTGCCCATGCTGGTCTTGAATCTGCCCATCTCAGCCTCCCAAAGTGCTGGGATTATAGGCATGAGCCACTGCACTTGGCCCTTTGGTACTATTTTTACCTACAAAGAATCGAAGGTTCTGAAAGGAGCAATGTCCAAATAAGTTGTTCTCATTCCAAAGGTCTTGTTCTTTACACTATGAGGTTATAAAGCTGTTAAGGCAGTGCTTGTCTGGGTCTGTAAGTGTTACTTCTTCTTCTTATGTCATCTGGTTATGAGGAAGGATCAAGATTGCTTAAATTCTGAAATAATCTATATCAAACCCCAGAGGGAATCAAGAAACAAATACATTTAGAATCAATGAAAATAATTTATGGCAACAATTATCTATAAGCGTTGGTATATGCTAAAAATACAAACTCAGATTATGTTAAAATAATTTAATAGATAAATTGCCCAACATATTACCAACAAAAATTTGAGAGGTATTCTTAATTCTGGAGATGAAGTAAAGGGCAGTAATGTTGTGCAATTCTTCCCTTGGTACCTTTATCAGAGGCAGGAGATTGAATTATAGATTGGCCATGCATCTAGTCCAGTGTGGCAACTCTTATATTTTTGTGTTAAGAGACTACTATACAATTTTATGTTTATCTTGCATGTAAGTACATACGTAGTGTCACTTTTCCCACCTAAAATTAAAGGCTTGTGTCATGTTATATTGGGAGGTAGTTTGTTATAACATATTTGCTAGTCTTAGAACAATTACATACTGTTTCTCCAGAAAAAAAAAATAACAGTTTCTTGACTTTTTCTGCCTTCAGTTTCCTGTTTTCCAGCACCCAACATAACTTGTAAGGATTCCAGTGGCAATGAAACACATTTTACTGGGAACGAAGTTGGTTTTTTCAAGCCCATATCTTGCCGAAATGTGTAAGTACATTACTGAAACTTAAATTTTCAGATTACTTGCCTATATTATATCTTCATTGCATGAAGAGAGGAGATAATTTATGGGGACTATCCTGAAAATGTATCTTTTATCTTTTTGCTTGTGTCAGAAAACCTTTATTTTAAGTGTTTGTTTTTTGGTTTTTGAGATAAGGTCTTGCTTAGTCACTCAGGCTGGAGTGCAGTGGCATGATCACGGCTCACTTCAGCCTCTGCCTCCCAGGCTCAAGCAATCCTCCCACCTCAGTCCTGTAAGTAGCTGGAGTACAGGTTTGTGCCACCATGCCTGGCTAACTTTTAATTATTTTGTAGAGATGAGATCTCTCTATGTTTCCCAGCGCTGGTCTCGAACTCCTGGCCTGACATGATTCTCCCATCTCGGCCTCTCAAAGTGCTGGGATTTACAGGCATGAGCCACCACACCCAGCCAAGTGTGTATTTTTTTTTTTTTTTATAAATGCAATTCACCAATCAAGTAGAGCTGAGTAGTCCAGTATGTGGGACAAATAAAGACTATAAATGGCCTCGTGCCATGTTAATTCAGGTCAGTTAGTTTATGCCACTAATTGAGTTATGAAAAAATTGTCTTCAAAATGTGGGAGATTTCTAGAGTACAAACAGCAATTGTGTACCTATTGTATCAGAAAAATGCTAATTAATTTTTTGCACATAAAGGGCATTTTAAACTTGGTTTTATTCTTTGTGATAAATATGGATGATGAATGGTAATGTTAAACAGAATTCAAAAGTTATCAGTTTGGCTAGCCAGACACAGTAGTATATGCCTATAGTCCTAGCTACCCAGGAGGCTGAGGCCAGAGGAGCCCGGAAGTTCACGTTTAGCCTGGGCAGCATAGTGAGACACTGTCTTTTATAAAAACAACAGCAAAAATGATCAGTTTGGGATAGTAAGACAAATGGCTTTCTTTTGTTAGGAATTTCTCTATTTAAAGGACTTTTAGGCCTAGAGTGGTGGCTTACACTTGTAATCCCAGCACTTTGGGAGGCCAATTGCAGGAGAATCACTTGAGGCCAGGAGTTGGGGACCAACCTGGGCAAAGTAGGGAGACCCTGTCTCTACAAAAAAATACAAAAATTAGCCCAGTGAGGTGGTGCTTGCCTGTGGTCCTAGCCACTGGGAGGCTGGGGTGGGAGAATTACTTGGGCCCAGGAGTTTGAGGTTGTAGTGAGCTATGATCACAGTAACAGAGTAGAGACCCTGTCTCTAAAAAACTTAAAATTAAACATTTTTTAAAAAGGACTTTTAAGTTTGATTTCTCTTTCTGCTAAAGCTTATTATTCATTCTTATGTTCCTGCTTTGTACTAAAAACATGATTTAGTGTTATCTATTTTTAATTGTTGGCATTATATTTTCAGCCTAAAACTGTATATTGTTACATTCTATTTGATGGCACTTAGTTTTGGTTGTTTCAAGAAATAAGCCACTGTACAGATGCATTGAACCTTAAAAAGGAAAAAGAAAAAAAAGAAATAAACCACTGTTAGACTATTGCTACAAGTTGTTGGAATTCTTAGCAAGAACTCTTAGCGTTCTTTCTTTTCTTTTGACCCTACCTCATTGAGTTAATGAGGGGCTTTTGATTCTATCTTGCTGTATAATCCTAAGCCTACCACTGATCTTCTTGGGTTCCAAGATTTTGCATTAGTCAAGTAAAAATTATTAAAAAAGAATAGTTTGCAATGTACTTAGATATGATTTCTTTTTTTTTCCATTACAGGGGTAAGTTTAAAAAATAGGGTTTAGTCAATACCTAAATTTATAGATATTTCTACCTTAAACATTCTAAACAACTAATACATTAAATGCTGGTCCAAGATATAGGTTACAGTAAGAAAATCATCTGTTGAGAACAGCTAACCACTCAGGCTGGAACTTACAGGTTTATATTATCTGTAATGCTAACACCAGAATGGTCTGTTACTTAATTTCCAAGTTAATGCTGATTTTTCTTTCAGTGTCTCAAAATGGATTAGGCTGCATACAACTGAGCTACACTAATCATACTCATAAGCATTTTTTATTTTATATTTTTTGAGACAGAGTCTTCCTCTGTAGCCCAGGCTGGAGTGCAGCGTCACAATCATGTCTCATTGCAGCCTCAACCTTCCTGGTTCAAGCCATCCTCTCATCTCAGCCTCCCAAGTAGCTGGGACTAGAGGTGCATGCCCCAAAGCTCGGCTAATTTTTGTATTTTTAGTAGAGATGGGGTTTCACCATGTTGCCCAGGCTGGTCTCAAACTTCTGGGCTCAAGCGATCAGCCCGCCTCGGGCTCTCAAGGTGCTGGGATCACAGGCATGAGCCACCATGCCTGGCCCTTATAAGATATTGATATCAATTATGATAAGAAATATAACCATCAGGGAAACCAGATATTCCAAGGCTACTGGCCAGCTTATTCCCTTCTTACAATAAAGTTTACTATTTCTTTCTTTCTTTCTTTCTTTCTTTCTTTTTTTTAAGACAGAGTTTTGTCCTTGTTTCCCAGGCTGGAGTGCAATGGTGTGATCTTGGCTCACTGCAACCTCCACCAACCTCCGCCATCACTGAACCTTCCCGGGTTCAAGCGATCTCCTGCCTCAGCCTCCCAAGTAGCTGGGATTACAGGCATGTGCCACCATGCCTGGCTAATTTTGTATTCTTAGTAGAGACGGGGTTTCTCCATGTTTGTCAGGCTGGTCTCGAACTCCTGACCTCAGGTGATCCACCTGCTTTGGCCTCCCAAAGTGCTGGGATTACAGCTGTGAGCCACCGCGCCTGGTCTAAGTTAACAATTTCAAGACAGAATTTGTGGCTCGGCGTGGTGGCTCACACCTGTAATCCCAGCACTTTGGGAGGCCAAGGCAGGCGGATTGCTTGAGCTCAGGAGTTTGAGACCAGCTGGGCAACATGGTGAAACCCCATCTCTACCAAAAAATACAAAAGTTAGCTGGTGGTGCATGTCTGTAGTCCCAGCTACTCGAGAGGCTGAGGTGGGATGATGGTTTGAGCCTGAGAGGCAGAGGTTGCAGTGAGTCGAAATCATGGCTACTGCACTACAGCATTGGTGACAGAACCAGATCCAGTCTCAAACAAATAAAAGAAAAAGAATGAGCATTGCTCAACAGAACAATGGGAGTTAGACTGATGGGTAATTTTGATGGTAAGAGTGGCAAAGCTAAGATAACTGGATAAATAATTTTGCTTTATCGAGATATTAGGTATGTGCCTACCAAAAGGCCAGCTGCTGTGCAGCTACTGAATAAAGACTCAGCGATACATTCTTACTCATTAGGTGTCCCTTTTCCAGTTTCATATTTTCTTTGTACTCCTGTTAGCATATTGTTTTTCAAACTATATATAATAGTTTAATACTTGATTAAAATTTCATCTTAGTATTGCAAATATTCTATAATGTATTCTCCAGAAACTGAAGTCTGGTAACCATGTCTGATTGATGACCAAGCCACCCACCTATTTACACTGGCCATCTATGTTAGTATTACATCATTGCTTCATTTGGGTTAACTTGGAGGTCTGGGTGGTGGTGGTGAGGCCATAGTTGTTCCATGTAGTCATGAATGGGCCTTGCTCCTTTCGTCTTTTGGCTTTGCTTTCTGTAGTCCTTAGAGTCCTTTCCACTAAGGCAGCAGATGGGAAAGAGGAGAGGGAAACCTTTGTAGGAGTATTTTATGGGCCAGACTTGGAAATGGTGTACACTTACATCTTCCTTCCATTGGCCAAAACTCAGTTATGGCTGCACTTAACTGCAAGGTGAACTAGGAAATGTAGGTTAGCTGTATATTCATAAGAAAAAGAGAAATGAGCCAGGTGTGGTGGCTCACTCCTGTAATCCCAGCACTTTGGGAGGCTGAGGCGGGCAGATCGCTTGAGGTCAGGAGTTCAAGACCAGCCTGGCCAATATGGTAAAACCCCGTTTCTACTAAAAATATAAAAATTAGCTGGGCATGGTGGTGCGTGCCTGTAATCCCAGCTACTCAGGAGCTGAGGCATGAGAATCGCTTGAACCTGGAAGGTGGAGGTTTCAGTGAGCCGAGATCAAGATTGTGCCACTGCACTCCAGCCTGGGCAACAGAGAAAGAGAAATGGCTCGGTGAATAACTAATCTCTGCTATACTACCAGTTTTCAGATTATTCTTTAGGGTGATTTACTTACATAGATAATTGCTTTTCTAATTTCATTTCCCTTCCCAGCCAAGCTTTTTGAAACTTGTTCTGATAATACTTATCTGTTACAAGATTTTCTGTCTAATGCAGTATGGCTTTTGGCCATGCTGATATTCACCAGCAGTCTTTGTCAATATATCAAAGGAGTGTTTACAGTTCATATCTTAATCTTTCTGCAGCATTTGGCTATTCCCTTCTTTCTCTCTCTCTTTTTAATATAGAGACAGGGTGTCACTATGTTGACCAGGCTTTTCTGTCTCAAATTCATGGCCTGAAGTGATCCTCCCACCTCAGCCTCCTAAAGTGCTGGGATTACAGGTGAGAGCCACTGTGCCCAGCCTGGCTGTTTCCTTTCTTAAAATACTTTCTTGGCTTTCTTAAAATGCTTTATTGGCTAGGCCCAGTGGCTCAGCCTGTAATCCCAACACTTTGGGAGACTGAGGTGGGTGGATCACCTGAGGCCAGAAGTTTGAGACCAGCCTGGCCAACAAGGTGAAACCCTGTCTCTACTGAAAATACAAACATTAGCCGGGAGTGGTGGTGGGCACCTGTAATCCTAGCTACGCGGGAGGCTGAGGCAGGAGAATCACTTGAACCCAGGAGGTGGAGGTTGCAGTAAGCCGACATTGTGCCATTGCGCTCCAGCCTGGGTGACAAGATTGAAACTAAATCTCAAAAAAACAAAACAAAACAAAACAAAAAACCAAAAAAACTTTCTTTTTTTGGCTTATAGTGTAAAACACTCTTCTGTGTCCCTTCATTCCTATTTCTTTGCTTCTTCCTTAAGTCTTGATATGCTTGGTCCTTTTTCCTTTTTTCATTCATCCATCCCTTTGGCTTCTCTCATCATCTTTGTATATATATATGTGCCATATAAAAAGTTGGTGATACGTTTTATATTCTATTCAGTTTTAGACCTTAATATATATAAATAGCCAGGCGCAGTGGCTTATGCCTGTAATCCCAGCACTTGAGGAGGCCAAGGCGGGCAGATCACCTGAGGTCAGGAGTTCGAGACCAGCCTGGACAACATGGTGAAAACCCGTCTTACTAAAAATACAAAAATTAGCTGGATGTGGTGGCTGGTGCCTGTAATCCCAGCAGTTGAGGAGGCCAAGGTGGGTGGATCACCTGAGGTCAGGAGTTCGAGACCAGCCTGGACAACATGGTGAAACCCCGTCTTACTAAAAATACAAAAATTAGCCGGGTGTGGTGGTGGGTGCCTGTAATCCCAGCTACTCAGGAAGCTGAGGCAGGAGAATCGCTTGAATCCGGGAGGTGGAGGTTGTAGTAAGCCGAGATTGTGCCATTGCACTCCAGTCTGGGTGACAAGAGCGAAACTCCATCTCAAAAAAAAAAAAAAATGCATATATATATATATATATATATATATATATATATATAAAGATTGGCTAGGTGCAGTGGCTCATACCTGTAGTCCCAACACTTTGGGAGGCCAAGGCCCACAGATAACTTGAGGTCAGGAATTTGAGACCAGCCTGGCCAACATGGTGAAATTTTGTCTCTACTAAAAATACAAAAATTAGCTGGGTGTGGTGGCACATGCCTGTAATCCCAGCTACTTGGGAGGCTGAAGCAGGAGAATTGCTTGAACCCGGAAGGTGGAGGTTGCAATAAGCCGAGATCGTGCCATTGCATTCCATCCTGGGCAACAGAGTGAGACTCTGTCTCAAAAAAAAAAAAAAAAATTATGTGAAACATATATATATGTATATATAATATATACTAGTATATTATATATAGTAATATGTCATATATAACATTACCATCTTATATTAAATATAATAATATTTAATGTAAAACATATTACCATCTTCATATATAATATATAAAATATAATTATATATTTTAGATCATATATAATATATATAAATATGGTAATATTCATTAGGCACAACAATGGGAGAGCTTTGCACAGTGACATGTGCCTGTAGTCACATGCCAGTGTGTCCAGCTCTCCCTTTGTTTTTTCTCTTTTGTTCTTTTTTCTGTTTTTTGGAGACAGTCTTGCTCTGTCACCCAGGCAGGAGTGCAATGGCGTGATCTTGGCTCACTGCAACCTCCGCTTCCCAGGTTCAAGCGATTCTCATGCCTCAGCCTCCCAAGTAGCTGGGACTACAGGCATATACCACCACGCCCGGCTAATTTTTGTATTTTTAGTAGAAGTGGGGTTTTACCGTGTTGGCCAGGCTGGTCTCAAACTCCTGGCCTCATGTGATCCAACCGCCTCAGCCTCCCAAAGTGCTGGGATTACAGGCGTGAGCTACCACAGCTGGCCCCATTGTTTCTTAAGCTCTCTAATATCTAAAATATATTACCATCTTTATATATGTTACATATATATATATATAAGGCCTAAAATTGAATTGAATTGAATATCAATATATTAACTATCTTTATATATATTATATAGGTAAGGTCTAAAATTGAATTGGACCAGGCATGGTGGCTCATTCCTGTAATCCTAGCACTTTGGGAGGCCAAGGCGGGTGGGTCACTTGAGGCCAGGAGTTTGATACCAGCCTGGCTAACATGGTGAAACCCCTTTTCTACAAAAATACAAAAATTAGCCAGCTGTGGTGGTGTGCGCCTGTACTCCCAGGTACTTGGGGGGCTGAGGTGGAAGAATCGCTTGAACCTGGGAGGCAGAGGTTGCAGTGAGCCGAGATCACGCCACTGCACTCCAGCCTGGGCAACAGAGTGAGATTCCATCTCAAAAAAAAAAGAAATAAAATTGAATTGAACATCAATATATTACCATCTTTATATATATTATATATATAAGGTCTAAAATTGCATTTGTTTCTTTTTCTTCAAATCCTTTCCTCCTTTGTCTCATTGAATGGCACCAGTTCTACCCAGTTTCTTAAGCAGAAACTTTGGATTCATTACTTATTTTTTATTATTTTTTTGAGACAGAGTCTCACTCTGTCACCCAGGCTGGAGTGCAGTGGTGCAATCTTGGCTTACTGCAACCTCCACCTCCTGGGTTCAAGTGATTCTCCTGCCTCAGCCTCCCGAGTAGCTGGGATTACAGGTGCCTGCCACCACGTCCAGCTAATTTTTGTATTTTTAGTAGAGACTGTGTTTCACTCTGTTGGCCAGGCTGTTCTCGAACTCCTGACCTCAGTGATCCACCTGCCTCGGCCTCCCAAAGTGCTAGGATTACAGGCGTGTGCCACCGCGCCCGTCTTGGAGTCATTCTTGACTTCTCCTTTTCCCTCATTCCCCACATGTAGCCTGTTTGCTTCTGCCTTGTTAGTATTTCCCAATTTTGTTCACTTCTTTCTCCCACTGTTACTGCCCATTAGATTTCAGCATTAGTTTTTGCATTGCCTTCTAAATTATTTTTCTGCTTCTAGTTTGGTGCCCTATTCCATTGTAGATGAGGTGCTCCTGCCCTCAGCATAAAGTTTGACATCCTTATAACGTTAGACACATAAACAGCATCTCTGGGCCACTTACTACTTTTTCTAACTCCCTACAAATATGCAATGCAGTGCAATAAAATACACACACACACACACACACACACACACACACACGAAAGAGAATTATGAGCAGGGATCTTACTTGATGAAATTTGACTTCAAAATGATAGTTCTGGCTGTCTTTTTTGCCTGTGACACTCTTTCCTCAGAAGCATGGCATGGCCATCTCACTCACTTCCCTCAGGTCTCTGCTCAAATATCACCTTCTTAATGAGGCCTACTCTTACCACTCCATTTAAATGGCTCCCGGCATTCTACACAGCCTGCTCTACTTCTTTTTTTTTTTTTTTTTTTTTTTTTGTTAACATTTATGACTTTCTAACATAGTATATGATTTATTTTTTAAATATATTTGTGTTTATTGCTTGTTACCACCAGCCTGTAAGCTACACGGGGATAGGGATCTTTGTTGCTTTTATTCATTAATATATTCCAATAGCCTAGAATAGTGCCTGACACACAGGAGGCATCTAAAAAACATTAACTGAGTGAAAGAATGAACCAATTAACAAGTAGTAGTTAATAATTTTTTTTTCTAAAATGTTCACATTGGAAATATGATACTCAGATTTTAATTTTTTGCAGAAATGGCTATTCCTACAAAGTGGCAGTCGCATTGTCTCTTTTTCTTGGATGGTTGGGAGCAGATCGATTTTACCTTGGATACCCTGCTTTGGGTGCGTATGTTTCATTAAAAAAAAATCCTTATGAAACCTATATTTTAGTTCATTGTAGGTGTTCTTATGGATTAAATCTCTGTGTATTTATTATAAGTTCTATATAATTGGAGTTGAGTAGTTAATGTTCTTCTGTGAGTATAGAGCTATCAATTAGCCCAACAGTTCAGCTTAGGTAAGAAATACTGACTTTTCCTATGTTTTCACCTTTATGAAAACACACACAAGATAGTGGAGGCATTTACTTACGATAGTACACTGGAACTGTCACTGCTAGTGCTGGGCACACACTGGATGTTTAGTTAATGTTTTACGAATAAATGTACATCCTCTACCACTCCAAAAAATATTTCCTTCTGCCCAAATCTCTTTCACCATTGCCCTGGGATTAGAAACTATGCACTTCTTTCAGAACAAGTTGGGGTTGGAACTTTGGTGATCCACTTGAGCTGGGGTGGGAGCCTGACTTCTATCACCCTTAGCCCCCCTTTCTATATCTTCCTTCTGGCTGTAATCACATTTACTATAGTTACTAATGCTTATGAAAACTATTTACATTTTATGATAGCTTTTGTTTAAACAGTACTTTCACATGCCTGCCCTTATTGAAGACTTACAACCCTCTGAGTTTATCATCCTCTTTAAATCCTCTTTAACAGGTAAGGAAACTGTCACCAGAGAGGTTAAGGGATTTACTGAGTCTAGAGGCTTTCCTTTATTCTGTGACATATTTGTTGTTATCATCTTTGTTTTATGGATAGGAAAATTGTCACGAGATTAAGAGATTTACCCAAGGACACTCAGCTAGTGACCTCAATTTGAACCCAAATTTTCTGGCTCCAGAGATCATGCTTTATTTACTGTAGTACTCTGCTTCTATATTAGCCCTTCACTGAGCAAATTTAAAGTTTTTGAATGCTCTGCCTACTAGCTAGCAAAGCTAACCTTATTTCTTCCATGTTGCTACCCACAAAAGATGAAAGAGAAGTCTTCACTGTGGGGTTGATGGTAGATATATTTCTGACAGCTATACTAAAACTCAGTGTTGTAAGTTCCTAAGTAAAAGTCATGAAGTACTATATATACTTGTTTAGTTAATTAAACATATATTCAACATTTAAATAACTAAGTGATATGGAAATAATGATGAAGGTCACAGTGTATATTGGTTAAAAATAAAATAAATATGTTAGTAGGCCAATTTATGGTACAGCGCTGTAACAGAACCATAACCGTGCTGTGAGAGTACAGAAAAGGGACTGATGCAGTTGACTTAAGGAAGTTCTTAGATATGGTGACATTTGAGCTAGGGTTTGAAGGATGAAAAGATTACAGAGGTTGAAGGCATTGCAGAGAACAGCATGTGTAAAGCATATAGTGTACACTGGGAGATTAGGGGACAATTTAGCTGATCGTGTAGGAAGAACAATGCAGGAGGTGACACTGCCTACAGAGGTAGTCTATGGTCCGATTATAAAATGCTTTGAGTATCTTGCTATGGAGTTGGGTCCTTTAGATATCAAAAGTTATCCTTTTAGGTATCAGAAGCAATAGAATATTTTTTCTTTTTCTTTCTTTTTTTTTTGTGTGACAGAGTCTCACTCTGTTGCCCAGGCTGGAGTGCAGTGGTGCGATCACGGCTCACTGCAACCTCGACCTCCTGGGCTCAAGGTATGCTCCGTCCTCAGCTCTGCCCCAAGCAGCTGGGACTACAGGCATGTACCACCATGCCTGACTTATTTCGGTATTTTTCTGTAGAGATGGGATTTTGCCGTGTTGCACAGGCTGCTCTAGAACTCCTGGGCTCAAGCTGTCCTCTCACCTCAGCCTCCCAAAGTGCTGGGATTACAGGGATGAGCCACAGTGCCTGGCCAATTTAAAATTTTTAAGTATTTTAAATAAATTGTAATTTCTATTAAGAATTCAAGGTTAAGGAATTTAGGCATTTTTATTTTAAATGATCACTGCCTCAAAAAAAATTCTTAACTACGTAATACAATGTTGACTGCAATGAAAGTAGTTATAGACAAAATCTAAAATTCAATTTTTTGCTGGGTGCGGTGGTGTGTGCCCATAGACTTAGCTACTCAACAGGCTGAGGTTGGGGGATTGCTTGAGGCCAGGAGTTTGAGGCCAGCAGAGACAACATAGTGACATAGTGAGATCCCATTTCTACAAAAAAGAAAAAAAAAAATCCCATTTTACAACTAACCTTACTTAGTCTTTCTTCATGGTTATGAAAAGCAGTGGTCCTACTTATATTAGCTTTTTTTTTTTCCTTCATAGTGCTAATTATAAATCTGTTAGCCTCGGGGATTTGTTTATTCATTCATTTCAGTCTTCCTCTGGAATATACATTCTTTTTTTTTTTTTTTTAGGCGGAGTTTCACTCTTGTTGCCCAGGATAGAGTGCAATGGTGCGATCTTGGCTCACCGCAACCTCTGCCTCCTGGGTTCAAGTGATTCTCCTGCCTCAGCCTCCCAAGTAGCTGGATTACAGGCATGCGCCACCATGCCCAGCTAATTTTGTATTTTTAGTAGAGACAGGGTTTCTCCATGTTGGTCAGGCTGGTCTCGAACTCCTAACCTCAGGTGATCTGTCTGCCTCGGCCTCCCAAAGTGTTGGGATTACAGGCGTGAGCCACTGCGCCTGGCCTGGAATGTACATTCTTAAAGGCAGAGGCCTTATCTGTCTTAGGCAAGTTGGTATCCTGAACAGAACCTGACAGTAAGACTCTGATAAATATTTGTCATATGAATATCAAAAAAAACTAGAAACAGGCTAAATGTTCAGTAGGGAGGAACTGTCTAAAAAAATTAAGGTACAGTGCGTAACACAACAGAATACTATGCAGCCATTTAAAACAATCACATAGAAATATGTTTATTGGGAAAGTAATGTAATAACACCCATAACAGAGTAAGATGATAAATTTAAGAAAATCTAGATACTTTGCTACAGAACACTTTCTTAGGGATGCTTCACAAAAATGAACATGAGAGGTTTCTGCTAAGATAAAATATTGGATAAGGGAATAATATCTTTGTTTGGAACTGGTAAATATTACCTACTCCTGGAGTAATACATTTAAGGAAACTAGAGAACAGATCAGAGATAATATTTAAAAGTTTAAGGAACTAACAAATTTATAGTGACAGAAAGCAGATAAGTGCTTGCTGGGGAAAGACGGGGGCAAGGAGAGACAAGAAGTAGAAATTACAAAGGGGCATGAGGAAACTATTGGGTGTGACAGATATGTTCTTTTTTTATTATAGTGATTGTTTCACAGGTGTTTACAAGTGTCAAATTTATCAAATTGTACATTTTAAATATGTACAGTGTATGTCATTGCATGTCATTTAGGTCATTGTATGTCATTTTAATGTATGTCATTTATAACTCAATAAAGCTGTTTTAAAAAATCAAGAGGCTGGGTGTGGTGACTCACACTTGTAATTTCAACATTTTGGGAGGCCAAGGCAGGAGGATCAGTTGAGGCCAGGAGTTCAAGACCAACCTGGGCAACACAGTGAGACCCTTGGAAATAGTGAGACCCTGCAAAGGAAAGAAGGAAGGGAAGAAGGAAAGAAGGAGAAAGGAAAAGAGGGAAAGAAAAAAAGAAAAGAAAGAAACTCCTGGAGTAACACATTTAAACTTACCAGTTCACTGTTAAAAAAAAAACTTGAAGGTTTAATCATTACAGTGACTTACAGCATATCTTACTCCAAACGTGTGATGTTAACTATGGTCCATCTATTTCTAGAAATTTAAGGCAAAGGATGATTTTAGTAATGAAGTTTCCAATAATGCCATCTTAAACTTGTTTTAGGTTTCCAAATATAAAAATACTTCATGAACACAGACAGGAAGGGCAATAAGAATTAAACGAGATAAGATACATTTGATAAATGTTAGCCCAGCAACTACTTTTGTTGTCACTATTTCTGCTACTACAGTTATTATAATCAAAAACTTCATTCATTCCTGAGAGGTATGAGAAAAAAAAAAAAATTTAGGCCAGGTGTGATGGCCTGTAATCGAAGCATTTTGGGAGGCCAAGGCAGGAAGATCACTTTATCCCAGGAGTTCAAGACTAGCCTGGGCAACATAGTGAGACCCTGTCTCTACAAACAATTTTAAAAACTAGCCAGGCATAGTGGGTTATGGGGCAGGGATAGGGTGGCATGCTGCTTCAGACAGGCAGGTTAGGGAAGACTTCTCTAAAGAAGTGGTCTAAAAGGAAGAACATCCTTGGAAAATGGCACAAAAAAAGCCAAAGCCCTGATGTGATTACCTATTCTTCATGGATTAGCAGTTAAAGATATAACTTTAGAGGGACTATACTTAATATTCTCTCTTTTTCTTCTTTCTTTCTTTTTTTTTTTTTTTTGAGACAAGGTTGCCCCGGCTTTGTTGCCCCGGCTGGAGTCCAGTGGCACAGTCTCAGCTCACTGCAACCTCCGTCTCCCAGGTTCAAGTGATTCTCCTGCCTCAGCCTCCTGAGTAGCTGGGATCACAGGCGTATGCCACCATGCCTGGATAATTTTTGTATTTTTAGTAGAGACAAGGTTTCGCCATGTTGGCCAGGCTGGTCTCTAACTCCTGACCTCAGGTGATCCACCTGCCTCGGCCTCCCAAAGTGCTGGGATTATAGGCATGAGCCACCGCGCCTGGCCAATATTCTTTTTTATAAACAAATTGAAGAAAAAGAAACTATGACATTCTCAAGTTTATACTAACATGCTTTGTGAAGAGGAATACATTTCGGAAATATGAAATACGCTGGATAAAACCTCAGCAGACAATTTTCTTTGGGCAACTAATAGTACCATGCAACTAATGAAAAAACTAAAGGAGTTTTTATTAAGGTAATGGATGAAATGATGGGAGTGTTTGGGAAGCAGAAATACGAGAATATTTATCAATTTATGCAACAAATATTGAGCATTTACTATGTGCCAGGCAATGTTGTTGGCACTAAGGACACAGGAGTAAAGAAAACAGATAAAAGGCCCTGCCCTAATGGGGCTTCTGTGTGACAGATAGTAATCAAAGATAAAATGTTAGGTAAGTGAATGTTTTGAGGAAAACTAAAAGCAAAATTTTTAATTATTTCTGTATTTTAATAGTTATTAACTTATTGCCGCCATGTTATTTCTGTACTTGCAACATTATTCTGCTATATGTGGGGGAAAAAGTCATCTAATGTCCTTACATAGTTCAATCTTATTTGTGTATTCTCAGGTTGTGGGAGAATCCTCTGTGTGATCCTCTGTGAGATGTGTGATCTCATCCTCTCTTAGGATTTTTAGCTGGCATCTATTTGTAGTTGATATATGGAACTACATTTTCACAAAGAGTCTTGTCTTATACCATTTTTATATCTCATATGAGATGTCTTGTAAGAAACTCAAGTTTAAATTCATAAGAGATTAATCATCCCACCCCCAGCCCACCCCCAATCTGCCTCTTACAATCGTTTTTGGGTTATATTATTGTAGATGTCCCATATTAGATACTCTGTTATCATCTATTTTAGCATCTTAGCTCTTGGGTTGGGACCAAGGACAAAGCTGTATATAGTGCTCAGCACAGAATTGTTGATTTTGACTATAGAGCTAATAAACAGGTGATCCTTAGGAAAAAGAAATATATAAGATAAAGGTAATTGGATTGCTAATAAAATTTTGCAATTTTACAACAAGAGCAGTGTTTTTTCCTGATTTTTTTTTTGGCATGACAATTTTTATATTTTAACTCTCCAAATGTATAGTAAATTTTGGGTCACATAATGTATGAAGTCTAAATAAGTAATTAAGGATTTTAGGACTAAAAGATGTAACTCTGGTGTACTGAGATTTAAGGATTATTTCCTTAGGCCTTTTCTCTTAGAAATTTTATTAGATTATATTGAGGTTTTTTTCAGTTACTAATATTTATTTGTTAAGGGAATTAAATTATTTTTTGGCATTTCTGTGTAGAGGGTTCCTTTAAACTCTTCTCATTTTCAAGTGAAGATTTGATTTCTTTAAGTGTTACTTTTATGTTCTTGATATAAAGAGTGTGATATATATATATAATAATGGTTTATTGGAAAATGGAGCAGTTTGTTAATATTTAGAAGACCTTCCAGATTATAAATGACTTTACCTTCTTTTCTAGGTTTGTTAAAGTTTTGCACTGTAGGGTTTTGTGGAATTGGGAGCCTAATTGATTTCATTCTTATTTCAATGCAGGTAAGTTTCTCAATCTAGAATGTAAACTACTTTTACATTCAAAATTGAGTTCTGTGATCTCCTGTTCTATTTAAAATGTTTAGTATACGAGGAAGCAGAGAAGAATGGTTGTTTCCATTTTTCTTCATGTACTAGATCTAAGGAATCCTGGTCATGTTTCCAACTAGCATTTCTCAAACTGTGCTCTACCAGTTAGTAGTTCTCAAAGACATAAGAAGTTCATTAAAAAATATCCCGTGCTCAAATATGATTTGTAAATGTGAGTTCAATTGAGTTAAAGAAGTTTCTTTACTGAATAAGTTCTCAAAATCTTTTTAATATATGTTGTCTCTAAGAGGGATTGTGGTTATTTTTCAAACCCGTTTCTTTTCCTCATAGTCACTGTCACCTTGTCAATTACCATAAAAGCATTGATAGGATTCTGTTATACATATGGGCATTGTGGAAGCAGAGACAAGATTTTCTTTTGCACTGGACAGGCACTCCATACTAGTATTGTGTTGTTTGCAAATTACAGAAACTGAAATCCAGCTAGCTTAAGCTAAAAAGAAAAAAAAAAGGGCGTTCTTTAGAAAATCTGAGAATGTAGAACAGATATGTATAAACAAATGATATACATGTTTAGGGCTCTCCTGATAACTCATCTTGCTTTTCTCCATAGCCTTATTTTCTCCTGCTGCAGTGGGACTGGGGGCGGGCATAGTTTGTGAAATGCTGTCCTTAAACATTTAAAAGTGCCACCAGATGTTTTCTGTTAAATTATGTAGAACTGATTGTGGTTAACTCATGAGGATTCTTAGAGAAAGAGATGAATTTTTCACAACAAATGTTGACAAACAGCATTTCAACAAGCATTTATGGAGCACCTAACGTCTTTAGCAAGTGTGTCAGTTGCATTTAGAGCATCATCTGTTTTGCTCTGCTTTCTCATATAGTATTTCCACTCTTCAATTCTGTCTGCTTGATGTTATCATTATGCTTTAAAAGAAAGTCACAATCTAGGAGATTTGGATACCATACTGTGAGGAGGAGGCAGCATATGGACCAATAAGATACCAGAATTAAACAAGGAAAATATTTGGTTTTAAAGTTGGAATTTTCCTGTCTGTACTCGTAAACATATGCCTAACCAAATATCCTGCCTTCTCTAACTGTGGGACAGGCAAGCAGGCATGAAGAGGCTAAGGTACTTGTGCACATATGCTTAGAAATGAGCTTCTCACTTTCAGTGAGGATCCAAGGAATTTAATATATTATTGGGATTCTTTGAGTTAAGATATCCAGAATTCAAAGTGTCTTTGAAACTGAACCATTTAGTTAATATTTTCATGCTAGGTTCTTTCTTTGGTGATATTATTGAATTGTAGCTTTAGTTATATCAAATTATAGAGCTAATTTGATTCAGTCACTGCTTTCTGATTCATTTATACCTGAACTTTTTACAATAAATAGTTTTTTTGAGACAGGGTCTCACTGTGTCACACAGGCTGGAGTGCAGTGGTGTGATCTCAGATCACTGTCAACCTCTGCCTCCTGGGCTTAAGCGATCCTCCCACCTCAGCCTCCCAAGTAGCTGAGACTACAGGTGTGCGCCACCATACCTGGCTAATTTTTGTATATTCTGAAGAGACAAGGTTTCCCCATGTTGCCCAGGCTGGTCTCCTGAGCTCAAGCAATCTGCCCACCTCAGCCTTCCAAAGGGCTATTATTACAGGCGTGAGCAACTGCACCTGGCCTCTAGTTGTTTAACTTAAAGATCTTCTGGGATTAGGAGTCGATCACATTAAGAAATTATTGAGGTGTAGAGTTAGAGTGTGTGAACATCTGCAGTAAATTCCCCTAAATAAGACATTTTCACAGATATGATCAGTTTAGACTGCTTTCAAATTGAGGGAGATTATAATAAATCCATTTCAAGCATAGCCAAATAAGATGGGTAGCCTTATTCTTCATGTCATTTAACATATTTAACATTTGATGTTGACATCATCAGTTTTAGAGGAGAATTCCTGGGCTTAAGCGATCCTCTCATCTCAGCCTCCCAAAGTGTTGGGATTACAGGCATGAGTCACTGTGCCTGGCCCTGGCTCATCTTTTTGTTTATTTTTCTTTCCTTCCCCATTCTTGCCATGACTTTCTCTCTTTCTTTTTTTTCTTTTCTTTCTCTTTCTTTCCTTCTTTCTTTTCTCTTTCTCTTTCTTTTTCTTTCTTTCTTTCTCTCTTCTTCCTTCCTTCCTTCTTTCCATCTTTCTTTCTTTCTTTTTTGCCATTAAATATTATTTTCCAGTGAGTAGCAATGTGTTTCTGTTGGACTGT
The DNA here is from genome assembly GCF_000001405.40 of Homo sapiens. NCBI lineage: Eukaryota > Metazoa > Chordata > Mammalia > Primates > Hominidae > Homo > Homo sapiens. Next base: position 61,692,380 of record NC_000001.11, on the reverse strand, counting down.
GATCCCATAAACGTATCGGGCATGGATTCAAGACCTATAAAAACATACTGTAGTCTAGTTATAGTTTGTCTTTGAACAGAAACAATACAAAGTATAATGCCCATATTGCTAAAGTAAGCTTTACATGTTGCTATGTTTCCTGAAAATACTTTTATGAGTTTGTCTATTTGTTATTAAACTTTGGAATTTTCTATCTTTTGTTCCTAAAAATATACAGATAATATGAATGATGATGCATGGCATGAAATAATACATAGAATACAGTCCAGAAAATCTAAATCAGTGATACATGTATAGCATACCATCTTTCAGCTGTGGGTAACTATTGTATATATAACTACTATATATATATATATGGTTATTCATAAGGTAGTTTTGAATATTTAAAGACACTCATTATTTTGTGCCATATATATATACATATATATATATATATATATATATATATTTTTTTTTTTTAAGTTTTTTTTGAGATGGAGTTTTCGTCGCCCAGGCTGGAGTGCAGTGGCTTGATCTCGGCTCACCGCAACCTCCACCTCCTGGATTCAAGCGTTTCTCCTGCCTCAGCCTCCTGAGTAGCTGGGATTACAGGCACACACCACTACGCCTGGCTAATTTTATATTTTTAGTAGAGACGGGGTTTCTCCATGTTGGTCAGGCCGGTGTCGAACTCCTGACCTCAGGTGATCCACCCACCTTGGTGTCCCACAGTGCTGGGATTATAGGCATAAGCCACTGCACCCAGCCTCCTTATATTTTTATATATGTCATGAAGGATAGATTAGATAATACGAGTTTTTTATCAGAAAAATGAGATTGTTTTGATTATATTTAAACCTCTTTCCTCATTCACACAATCTGGACTTTTTTTTTTTTTTTTTTTTTGAGATGGAGTTTTGCTCTTGTCGTCCAGGCTGGAGTGCAATGGTGTGATCTCAGCCCACTGCAACCTCTGCCTCCCAGGTTCAAGCGATTCTTCTGCCTCAGTCTCCCAAGTAGCTGGGATTACAGGCACGCACCACTATGCCCGGCTAATTTTGTATTTTTAGTAGAGATAGGGTTTCACCAATTTGGTCAGGCTGGTCTCAAACTCCTGACCTCAGGTGATCCGCCCGCCTTTGCCTTCCAAAGTGCTGGGATTACAAGTGTGAGCCACCATGCCTGGCCTGGGCATTTTTAATTATACCAAAATCACTGACGTATATTCTGCAAAATAAAAAGAAAATAAAGTCTCTTATATTAAGTGGAGACAAACAGCCACGAATCAGAAAGATGAGGATATGTGGAGGGAAAATGGAAATAAGTATTACAATACAGAAAGTTATTGGAAGTATGCTGGGTTCTTTCTTTGTCACAATTTTTTAAAAATTCTGTTCATCATGGAAGAAATTGCTTTTACTTTCATTCCTATTAATATGACAGAGTGGATTTCCTTAAAGAACTAATAACCATACAAGCAGCAGAAATTTAGCATAATGTCTGAAACATTTATGAATTTTATAAATACATTTAACAGACTGGTAAAGTATGTTTCATGAGTTTGATATTTATTATAAACCACTCTAACACTGGGTTATATACTGCTTTGTATTAGTTTTTAACTTTTAAACAATGGATTTGACTTTTCACACATAAATTTTTTGAGGAAAAATGACTTTTATTAATCTGCTATAGTACCAGTTATGTTAAACAGAGTATGCCCTTAAAAATTTTTGCTGATTTGAAACTGTATGCAGTATGCCTTATACAAAGTGTGGCTTTGTGCCTAGTGCAAGCAAGATGAGATGCAAAATGTAGTTTTTAAAAAAGTGATTGTTTTTATGTAGGACCTGTTTTAGTCCATTTGGGGCTATAACAAAATACTTTAGACTGTATTATTTCTTTTTGTTTTGTTTTGTGTTTTTTTTTTTTTTTTTTTTTTTTTGAGACTGAGTCTTGCCCTATTGCTCAGGCTGGAGTACAGTGGCGCAATCTCGGCTCACTGTAATCTCTGCCTCCCGGCTTCAAGCGATTCTCATCCCTCAGCCTCCTGAGTAGCTAGGATTACAGGTGCCAACCACCACACCTGGCTAATTTTTGTATTTTTAGTAGAGACAGGGTTTCACCATATTGGCCAGGCTGGTCTTGAACTCCTGACCTCAAATGATCCACCCACCTTGGCCTCCCAAACTGCTGGGATTACAGGCATTAGCCACTGTGCATGGCCTAGACTAGATTATTTCTAAACCATGGAAAATTACTTCTTATAGTTCTGGAGGCTGGGAAGTCCAGTATCAAGACACCAGCAGGTTCAGTGTCTGGTAAGGACTCTCTGCTTCATAGATGGTGCCTTCTATATGTGCCCACATGGTGTAAAGGGTAAGGTCATTAATCCCATTAGTGGATGGTGGAGCCCTAATGACTTAATAACTTTCCAAAGGCCCTACCTCTTAATACCAACACATTTGGGGTTAGACTTCAACATAGGAATTTTGTAGGGACACAAACATTCAAAACATAATAGGGCTAAATTCCTGAATTGCACAGTGTCACTTGAGAGGTAATGAATAAAAATGAAAGTTGATATGATAAACTATACATTATGGCATCAGTGGAAATCGGTTTAGTGAGCATCAACTTAGGTATGATAACATGGGGTCCTTGCCCTAGAGGAACCTATTATCTTTTCCAAGAATAGTCTGATAATAGATTCCATTTATTTTTAGAAACAAAATATTTCCAGATGAGTGCCTATAGTTTCAGCACTTTGGGAGGCCGAGGTGGGAGGATCACTGGAGCTCAGGAATTTGAGACCAGCGTGGGCAACACAGTGAAACTCCTTATCTACAAAAAATTTTTAAAAAATTTGCCAGGTGTGGTGGTGCATGCCTGTAGTTCCAACTGCTCAGGAGGCTGAGGTTGGAGGATCACTTGAGCCTGAGAGATCGATCAAGGTTGCAGAGTGAACTGTGATTGTAGTACTACACTCTAGCATGAGCAACAGAGTGAGACCCTGTCTCAAAAAATAATAATAATAAAATAAAATATTTCCTTGGGGGCTGTAGACCTAATAAACACTTTTCTTAATTTTTATCTTTTAAAAAATCTTTGCATTTTACGAACATTTTTAAAAGCCTAAGCTTTTCAGTTTAGACCAAAGTGTGGCCAAGGCTATGGAATCACGTCTATGTGAGCCAGTTTGTTTGGTCAAAGACATAGCCTATGCCTTTTTGATCAAAAGAAGGACTAAAAGCATAATTGCCATAAATCTACTACCAATGCTGGAAAGGTGGTATACTTGATAGTTTGCTAGATGTAGGACAACAATATATACAAACAGAAGACATTTTTTTATTTTTATTTCTGAGATGGAGTCTTGCTCTGTTGCCCAGGCTGGAGTGCAGTGGCACGATCTCAGCTCACTGCAACCTCCACCTCCCGGGTTCAAGCAATTCTCCTGCCTCAGCCTCCTGAGTAGCTGGGATTACAGGCATGTGCCACCGCGCCCAGCTAATTTTTAGTAGAGATGGCGTTTCACCATGTTGGCCAGGCTGGTCTCAAACTCCTGACCTCAGTTGGTCTGCCTGGCTCAACCTCCCACAGTGCTGGTATTATGGGCATAAGCCACCACACCCAGCCACAGAGGAGTTTTTTTTTTTGGGTGGCGGGGGGCGGTGGGGGGACAGAGTCTCGCTCCATTGCCCAGGCTGGAGTGCAGTGGCACGATCTTGGCTCACTGTGACCTCCGCCTCCTGGGTTCAAGCGATTCTTCTGCCTCAGCCTCCTGAGTAGCTGGGACTACAGGCATGTGCCACCGCGCCCAGCTGATTTTTGTATTTTTAGTAAACACGGGATTTCACCATGTTGGCCAGGATGGTCTCGATCTCTTGACCTCGTTACCTGCCCGCCTCAGCCTCCCAAAGTGCTGAGATTACAGGCGTGAGCCACCGTGTCTGGCCACAGAGGACATTTTATAGACATCAAATCTTTCAGATAGCTCCCTGTATCATTATTTAACCCTGGTGTGATATATTGGGAAAATAAATTGGAAAACCGAAGTGACTGATCATTTGAGTAACTTTTACTCTGTCATGTGACCTTAATTAGGTAGATTTCACTTAGTTCACTTACCCTGTGGGTAGATTTTTTTTTAGTGCCTTTAAGAGGATTTTCAAAACAAAGAATATCTTAAACTGGTTCTGAGACGAATCCCAATGCTATGTTTTCCTCAGGATATAAATGGTGACTCTTATTCATTCCTTAAAGAATAGTGTTTATATTGGTCATTTATGATTAATACTAAGAATTCTTTAAGTCAAATGAAGTCAGGTGTTCTGAATGCATAAATTCTGGCACTGTGTAGGAATTTTGATGCTTAATTAAAATGTGACTAATCAGATGGTTTTAATGGCATCATCTTAAAATTAGTCACACACAGAAGTGAAATATGGATACAAAAATGTAGTCTGACTTTTAAGAAAGTATTAGTTATTTGGGGGAGTTGGGATGGATACAGGTTGCATTAGCCTTTACTTGCAGACAGCTGAATCCTTTTACTTTTATCACCAGATTGGTAGGTTTGCAGGAGATGATCTGATCTTGCTGATGTTACTGTTGGCATTCTTTGTATGGAGGAACTCAGAAGTCTTTTAGATAGAGAAAGCATAGATTGATATAAAATGGTCTTTTTTTTTTCTTTCACTTCTTCATTCATTACATTTGAAATTTATAAAATACTTGAGTTACCTAAGAAACATGACTTCACTGACAATGCTGTTAAATGAGGGGTCATATCAATTGCCAAAGTTGGGGTGATAAAGTACTTACTGGTAACCACATTTTTTTTCCTTTATTCTTAGTAGAATACCACCTAAGTATATACAAACAAATTACATTTTACACTAACAAGATCAGAAGTTTATAAATTGCAAACATTAATACTACAACATTAAGTGCAAATAAGATACTAGCTTTTTGTACAGTAAAATATATATAACATAAAAATTGCCACTTTAATCTTTAAGTGTACAGTTAGTGGCATTAATTGTGTTCAGAATATTTTACAACTGTCACCACTATCTATTTCTAAAACTTTTTCATCACTCCAAAAATACCGTACCCCTTAAGTAATAGCTTCCTTCCCCTTCTCTTCCCACCTTCTGGTAACCTCTAATATACTTTTTGTCTTTTTTAATTTGCCTGTTCTAAATTTTTGTTTTTACAAATAGAGACAGGATCTCACTTTGTTCCCTAGGCTGGTCTCAAACTCCTGGGCTCAAGCTATCCTGCCTCGGCCTCCCTAAGTGCTGGGATTACAGACATGAGACACTGTGCCCAGCCAGCTTCAGGATATTTCTTAGCAGAGAAATAAACTCATAATTTTGGGTTCCATACTCTGTTGCCTATGGACAAATGGACATGGTCATATTTACTGAGGAAAAAAATTCCCAGTATTGGGGTAATTTACTTTCTTTTTTTAGAGACAGGGTCTTGCTCTGTTGCCCAGGCTGGAGTGCAGTGGCGTGATCATAACTCATTGCAGCCTCGAATTCCTGGGTTCAAACAATCTTCCTGCCTCAGCCTCCCATCCAGTATGGGATATTTTAAAAGGTTTGTAATTTTATAATTAATAATACAATCATATACTCATAATGACAGATGTTAGAATTGGCACATTTATTATATATGTGTATGTGGGTGCTTAAAACAGGTTTTATTATTTATTTATTTTTTCTTTGAGATAGAGCCTCACTCTGTTTCCCAGGTTGGAGTGGAGTGGTACAATCTCAGCTCACTGCAACTCTGCCTCCTTGGTTCAAGCAATTCTCATGCCTCAGCCTCCCTAGTAGTAGCTGGGATTACAGGTGTGCACCACCGTGCCTGACTAATTCTTGTATTTTTTTTTTTTGTAGATACTGGGTTTTGCCATGTTGGCCAGACTGGTCTCGAACTCCTGGCCTCAAGCAATCCTCCCACCTTGGCCTCCCAAAGTGCTGGGATTACAGGCATGAGCCACCACACCCTGTCTTAATTTGGCAAAGGAATGTGGATCTAAATAGTTGACATCTTTATAGCTGATCTTTTTTTTTTAAAAAGTAAATAAAACAGTTTCTTCTGTGACCAGATAGTTCATAGAAAAGTGTGTTGATGATACTTTGTAGTGGCTTAAGCTGAGGTGTTTGTATCTAAATCTTATAGAAGACATTAAAACTTTAAAAATACTGTACAGATCAGCTTATTCTATTCTTCATTATAATCAATAAGAAAAATTGAGATCCAGTAAGGAATAAATTATTTGATTCTACAGCTAGTTATAGAAAGAGACAGCTTTCTCTTCCAAGTTTTCCTTTCAGTTTAGTGCTTTACCACACCGACTTAATTTGGTTATTTAAATAGGGTTGCATTTTGTCACCCAGGCTGGAGCGCAGTGGTGTGATCATAGCTCACTGCAACCTTGAACTCCTGGGCTCAAGCAATCCTCCTACCTCAGCCTCTCGAGTAGCTGAGACTACAAGCGCACACCATGGCACCTGGCTAATATTTTATTTTCATTTTTTTTGGTAGAGGCAAAGTTCTTGCTTTTTTGCCCATGCTGGTCTCAAACTTCTGGCTTCAAGCAGTCTTCCTGCCTTGGCCTCCCAAAGTGTGGGATTACAGTTAATTTTTATGTAAACTCATAAATAAGTGTCAAGCCAAATCAATTTAATCTTTGACAAGTAAGTCAATGTGCATAACAGCACCTGACATGGTGTGTGGCACACATGTGCTTTGTAAGTACTACTTGAATATTAACATGTGTAGTTCACTGGAATAAGTTCCCTGTTGGCAGAGATGGTATTTTATTCACTGTTAGTGTATAATGTCTAGCATAGAACCTGGAATATCACAGGAATTAAGTATTTGTTGAATAGTTTTAAGATCAAATTTATTTTTAAAATGAGGAATGCTTTATAGCAATGTCCTTCAATTTCAAAAACAAAGTCCATACTCTCCACATATTTTTAAATTGACATTTAAGTTTTCTATCATAAGTTTAAATAGTTGCAAAGGATATAACTTCTAGTTTGCAAATATTTACATATTTAAATAAAAGTGTTACATCAATTTTGAAATGTATCCAACAGAATATAAATATCGTAGGATTTTAAATATCACCTACTTAAAAAAGATGTGCATGAACTCTTCACTAACCATTATAATTTTTACATTGCTTCTTCCTTGAATTTTTATTTTTATTCCTCTTCTACAGAATTTTATCCTAATATAATATATTTTTAGGTTTAAAAACTTCCTACTAGGCTGGGCACATTGGCTCACGCCTGTAATTCCAGCTCTTTGGGAGGCCGAAGCAGGCAGATCAATTGATGTTCTTAACCATCATCCTAGTACTAGGAGTTTGAGACCAGCCTGTTCAACATAGTGAAATCCTGTCTCTACAAAAAAATACAAAAACAAAATTAGCTGGGCGTGATGGCGCCCACCTGTGGTCCCAGCTACTTGGGAGGCTGAGGTGGGAGGATCGCTAGAGCCCCGGGGGGGAGGTTGCAGTGAGCCAAGATCATGCCATTGCACTCCAGCCTGGATGACAGAGTGAGACCCTATATCAAAAAACAAACAAACAAACAAATGAAAGAGAGAAAACTTCTAGCGAATCATCTTATTCATTAAAATTAAAATATTTAAAAATTTTCTGTGATTTTTTGTTTGGATCAACTTGTTATAATAATGATACACAGTTGATCAAAACAGCATAAACATGTTGCAAATTATTTTTAAACAAAAAGATGTAAAATGTTATTGGAAATGCATCTTTGGAACAGATACGGTAGAATGTATTTTTGGACCTTTGAGTAAAGGATAGTTCCCTAAATCCAATATTTTGAGCTATCCCTTTGTTTGGCACTTCAGAGGCTTTCACACCTCAGGGAAATATGCCATCATAAGACTCGGGGTATCCTGGATGGTAGGTATGCTTTACTGTTAACAAGTGGGAGAAATGACCACAGTGAGGAGAAGTGGGAAGGGAAACTGGTAGGATGCTTCCAGTGTAGCATGGTATCAGGCAAATTTGTTTTACAAAGAGTATTTAGGGAATTAAGCTCTCAGGATTGATTTCTCCTCTGGGCCCACATACACCTTGGTAAATCTTTGTCCACCTTTAATGCTACAGTTTGAAGATTGCTACCTTAGAGGGTAATTTATAGAGATTATGTTAACTAGATTGTCACATATGTGATTAAGTGGACAAGATGATTGTAGCGAACATGTGTTGTTTTTTTCTACCTCTTCCTTTTCCATTCCAGGTGGTTCTGGCAGGACTGTCAATGATACAACCTCATCTCCTACAGGCAGCCTGGCCTGGCCAATCATATTAAATCTATTCCCATGGATATAGTAGTTTGTCCACAGTACGCATAAAAACCAAGCAGATCGATAAAAGTCTTTCCCTGGAATTGGTATATAAACATTGGGGAAGAAAAGTTTACTTTCTTTGTATTAGGAGCTGCTGAGCTGGGAATATGTGACTCTAGAGCTGTTGGCAATTAGTTAGAGTGCCACTCTGCAGAATGAAGACAAGCAGAGCTAAGCAAGGAGGCAGGGAAGCCAAGGGCCTCAGGGAGCACAGAATTCAGTCCTTGGTTCCTGTAGCTTTTCTTTTGATCCTTTGAGCTATCCCAGTATATCCCAGTAGTTGTTTTTAGCTACATGAGCCACTAAATTACCTATTTTTGCTTAGGTTAGAGCTGGATTTTTGTTGCTTCTGAAATACTTTTATTAACAACTGAGAAAAGTAAACAAAGTGCTGTGAAATATCTTTTGTAAAATGAATAATTTTGAAATTTTGTCTCTTCTAGATTGTTGGACCTTCAGATGGAAGTAGTTACATTATAGATTACTATGGAACCAGACTTACAAGACTGAGTATTACTAATGAAACATTTAGAAAAACGCAATTATATCCATAAATATTTTTTAAAAGAAACAGTAAGTGATATATATATATATGTAATATCTTATAGTGGTATATTATTCATATAAAATTATGAGAATTTTAGGACCATAGAAAATTTTAAGAAACCGTATAAACCTCTCAGGTACCCCTATGCCTGAAACATCTCCAATCCTTTGAAAAGCATTTTAGTCCACGCTCATGGCTCCTTCGGTTCCCACTTCAGACTCTTTGCAGTGCATATGGTTAAAGGACAAAGTTCACAAGAAAAAAGTAACATCAAAGCAAAAAGGCATTTATTATTTGATGGTTATGATGAAAGTATGTGCCGTAAATAGCTCAATATAGCAGATATTTCTGCTGCCCATCCCTCTAAGGGTCAGTATAATCTTTAACTTCCTTCTTTGCTTCTCCTTCCCTGAAACTGAAAATAGATACTGAAAGAGTCCAAAGCCTGAATTCCCTGTAAGTGCTTCTTCTAACCTAAAGTTTGGCTCTGGCTGTAAGAATTATTGGCCTCAGCTTTATCTTTTTCTTTTTCTTTTTTTTTTTTTTTTTTGAGACAGAGTCTTGCTCTGTTGCCCAGGCTGGAGTGCAGTGGCTCAATCTTGGCTCACTGCAACGTCTGCCTCCCAGGTTCAAGCGATTCTCGTGCCTCAGCCTCCCCAGTAGCTGGGACTACAGGCACACACCACCATGCCCGGGTAACTTGTATTTTTAGTAGAGATGGGGTTTCGCCATTTTAGTCAGGCTAGTCTTGAACTCTTCAGGTGATCCACCTGCTTCGGCCTCCCAGAGTGCTGGAATTACAGGCGTGAGCCACTGTGCCTGGCTGGCCTCAGCTTTAAATAAGTGATAAACCTGCTGAAGTCAGAGATACCATCCTTTTTCCTGGTTCAACTCTCTGGTTTTCTAGGACTCTGCTACTACAAGGTTTTTTAAATTTCAATTACCATACATTAGTCTATTCTAATAATCTTCCAATAATGCAAACTTTTACTCAGGATTTTGGTAGAATATCAGGAAAACCATTTCCTGGTATAATGATTCTCTGTAATAGAGAAATCCTATATATCATGTAGGGTGAAGGGTAGTTTTTATGTAATAGTTCACTTTGAGCTGTCTAGCAGCTGTCTAGAAGCTTTCATAGACACAGACAGGTAGAGAGAAAGACAGGGTAGATGTCTTAACCATTATCCTTGTTCTAGGGTTTTCAGTCAACTCTATCTCAAAGGACTGCTTCTAGAGGCCAGCAAGAGAATAGACATTTGTTTTCTGTCTTGTAGAACAGAAACAGGATATGAAGTATACTTTTGCCCTTTAGGTGGATTTTTTTCTTTTCTAACAGTAAAATTATGGATATGCCTTGTAGTTATTGTCATGGGATTGAACAGTGACACACCCTCAAGATGTAAGGAATTTATTCAACTGATTGTCCAAAAGGTTTTCCAAATCTTATAAACTGTAAGTCATTGAGCCTTAAAATTAGAATAAAGCTTAGAGATCCATCTACCTCTTCTTACCAGGAAAAAAATCAAGACCTAAGGAAGTTGAGAGTAAGATACGCAACTAATTAGTGCAAAACTGAAACTAGAATCTAGGTCTTCCATACATTCTGTCACATGGTTGTTCTCTTCCTCCCATCCTACCCCAGCTCCAGTCAACTGTATCATTTTGTATTAGGCATTTTTGTTTTGGAAATTGTTTCTCCTATTTTATGAGAAGGATTGTGTAGTTTCATGTAACTTTTATTATTCATACTGTAAATTGTGTCTCTTTCAAAAGTAGATTGTTTCTAAACCATAGTGTGTAAAAATTAAGCAAATGTAATTTTAAGAGGAATCTCATTCTTGGTAGCCTATTATGTAAACATTTAGGTGGGATTCCAGATTCAGATTTGAAACTTAAAACCTGAAAGGCCCATTGAGAAGGCCAGTATCTGCATTATCATTCATGTAATCTCTCTACATTATACAGAAGTGCTCCAAGAATGAGAAAAAAATACATTGAGCAAATGAAATGTTAAAATGTACATCTGCAATAACCTCATTGGACTCTTAAAAAATATTGTGTTTTAACGTATTTCTTCTTTCTGTTTTAGGATTTGAGCCTCCTTGATTTTAATAGAGAACTTCTAGTGTATGGATTTAAAGATTTCTCTTTTTCATTCATATACCATTTTATGAGTTCTGTATAATTTTTTGTGGTTTTTGTTTTGTTGAGTTAAAGTATATTATTGTGAGATTTATTTAATAGGACTTCCTTTGAAAGCTGTATAATAGTGTTTCTCGGGCTTCTGTCTCTATGAGAGATAGCTTATTACTCTGATACTCTTTAATCTTTTACAAAGGCAAGTTGCCACTTGTCATTTTTGTTTCTGAAAAATAAAAGTATAACTTATTCACATTTTTAGTGCTTTGTTATTGAGAAAATCTTCTTAAATGTTGAATGTAGCTGTCTTACCCATTTTGATCCTTCAAAGCAGTTAATCCATGGTGTGAACAAATACCATTTATATTGCCTGGGGCTTCAGTCTTGTGTATGACAACCCACCTGTTTTTCTGCAGCTTTCAGATCTGTCTTTGCCTTGGTATCCAGGGAGCTAAAGATCATTAGGGAGTCTGTGAAACTTTGAGGCAACATGTACACTTCTGGCATTGATTCAGGCCTCTGAGGTGTGAACTTCTTCCTTTTTTGCTTTGGGAGTGCTACACTAGCTTTTGGAAGACCAGATGCTGACTCATCTAGCTCACCGCAGTTATATTTGAAGCTGGATGGACAAGGTGGGAGCACCAAACAGATGATTAATGTCTTCCATCTGTGAGCACCACCAGGCAGATGCCGGCACAGGTGCCTTAAGTGATGTACCAGTGTCTGAAAAAAGCAGCACCTGTATGTTAGCACTGATTTTTCTTACCATGTTTAGAGGGGTTTTAAGAAGATGGAAATACATGAAATGTTATGTCCCCAGAATACTATCCCACTTTTTCTTCAGTAACAGGCATACCAATTTCAAAATTACTAGTGTCGGTACTCCTCAAGAGTAAAAACCATAATTTTTTGTCACACATTTTCCTCAAAAGTGGACAGTATAGTATAATTAGCTTCATAACATGTAAATCATTCAATAGCTTCTCAAGTTGGTGGGAGATTATTAAATATTAATATATGAAATGAATTTGGGTTGACCCCCAGTGTACACCAGGAACATCTCTTTGATTTGTTCAAAGAGACGTTTGAACAAGTTTGATTGTCTACTGAGTGGGAGGCCTGATCTATATGGGGGGATGCAGGAGTGAACAAAATCCCTGCCCTTTAGAAGCTTATATTCTCTTGGAACTTACTTTTTCACCGTGATATTTTTGGTCACAGTTAAACTAGTTGGTAGATACTCATTTTCTAGTGTCCCTGAGGTTCCTTTAGGTTGCAGACAGTGCTTTGTAGTTTACTTCGGTATCATCTAAGCCCAGATTGTAAGTCATGTTTCCACAGTCAGGTTAGTTCAACTATATAAGAAATACCTACTTGGGAGGCTGAAGCAGAAGAATCACTTGAACCCTGGAGGCGGAGGTTGCAGTGAGCCGAGATTGTGCCACTGCACTCGAGCCTGGGTGACAGAGCGAGACTCTGTCTCAAAAAAAAAAAAAAAAGAACCTGCAGTCAAATTTTGGAAAGTAATCTTGATCCTTGCATAATAGCTATAGTCATTAACTTGGCCAGGTAGTAAGTCTGTTTCAAAGCAGGTGATGCTAAAAAGTATTTGTTCAAATAAGCTATACTCTTAAAGGGTTGTTGATGAAGCATAGAAACAAAGTCCCTTCACAACACATTATTAAGCCTTTAGACTTTATTTTCACTTTAGTTTCCTGAATTTGCATGACAAGAACACTTCTAGTTTGCCTAATTCTGTTGCCTAATACGTAATTCTTTAACAGATTTTTTAATAAACTCATGTGAATGCATTTAAATTCTATTTGTCAGCTTTTTTTCTTTCACTGAGCACTATTATGACAATTTGTTAGTAGTGTGTATGAATATGAATTATATGTTAAACCCTCTCTATCAGATGTTTTATATGTCAAACCTGCTTTTATATGAGTGACCAAAATTGTGAGATGCATTAGCTCAGTCATTCCTTATTACTGCTAAATCCTTTTAAGGCAGAATGGAAAGGATTCTTTCAATCCTATAGAGATGTTTAGTGCCTTGTAGCAGTGATGTACAAATGATACTACTTTTGCCTAAAGGATTGGTATAATTTCCAGAAGTACCTATTTACCCAGAAATATTCCTTACTTCAAAGATTCTGTTATGTCTGTGGCCAGCATTTGTTCATGGAACTGCCAAGAGTATAAAAGAAATATTGGTTGGGGGTTATTTTATTTTTTTTTTAGATGGAATTTCACTCTTGTTGCCCAGGCTGGAGTGCAATGGCACAATCTTGGCTCACTGCAACCTCCACTTTCCGGGTTCAAACGATTCTCCTGCCTCAGCCTCCTGAGTAGCTGGGATTATAGGCACGTGCCACCACGCCCCACTAGTTTTTGTATCTTTAGTAGAGACGGGATTTCACCATGTTGGCCAGGCTGGTCTTGAAATCCTGGCCTGAAGCAATCCTCCTGCCGTGGCCTCCCAAAGTATTGGGATTACAGGCATGAGCCACCGCACCCCACCTGATAGATACATTTAAAAGGAAAAGGTAGGATGCCATATTAGAGGTCTGGCATCCAAGCAGCATGGGATGATAAAAGTATAGACTTATTCTGAGTCCTGAGTGCATTCTGTTTCTCATCCCTTAATTTGTGACTGAGCACGTAACCATTCTTAATCCCTCTGTCTTCATATAAATAGAGGTAGTGACACGTGTCAGGTAATGTTGAAAGATTAAGTGGCAGATACTAATTATGTATTGAACACATTTTAAAATAATGGGATAATGGCATCAAGTACTGGTGAGGTCTGTCTGGAACTTGCAAGAGGTTCTGCACAACTGGGCTATAGCATGGTTATTTCTTAAATAAAATGCCAGTGGGCTCAAAAGTCTCTTTTACAAAAGGAGGGTAAGACACTTCGTTTGGACATTGTTTACCTGTTTTTCTTATTATCTTTATCCGTATCTGTAGTTACTGGATGTAATATGGGCCAAAAGTGTCTTTTTTTTTATGAAGAATTAGTCTTATTGGCACCTTCACTCTTTTAAGACTCTATGTAAGAAAAAGCCGAAATGTTACAGATTTTGTTTTTGTTGCTTTTTCATCTAAAGTTCGCTGGAGATAGTTAATAAGTTTTAAAATGTTGCTGTGAGGCAGCTGATCAGCCTACTTTCAGCCTAAATTATGGTTAATTGCAAGCAATCACTATGCATACAACAGTGTTGCTTTTAACCTGTCAATGTTATCAGAATATGCCAAGCATGTGGAGATTAAAACTTGAAAAATGATTAAGGATAGAGCTATTTGGGCTGCATATGCCAAAGAAAAACGTTTTACCAGAATACTCTAGCAAGTGTGGTGTTTGGAACTTTTTATCATGTGAGCTAATTTTGTGTTTAAGAAGGTATGATTATGAAGGCTCAAGATCCTATCTTTGATTTTTAGAAAAACCTCAAGATTCGACTAATTCTGAATAGATTATGAAATTCACCTATTATTGCAATATGAGAAACATTAAGGAGAATGGCATGACTTCTCTGTGTGATTTGTCACTGAGGCAAACTATTGGAATGAAATGGTTCAAGACATAACAAAAGTTGTTTTTAATAAGTGTTTTGAAGGCTGGGCCCGGTGGCTCACGGCTGTAATCCCAGCATTTTGGGAGGCTGAGGCGGGCGGATCATGAGGTCAGGAGATCGAGACCATCCTGGCTAACACGGTGAAACCCCGTCTCTATTAAAAATACCAAAAATTAGCTGGGCATGGTGGTGGGTGCCTGTAGTCCCAGCTACTCGGGAGGCTGAGGCAGGAGAATGGCATGAACCCAGGAGGTGGAGCTTGCAGTGAGCCGAGACGGCGCCACTGCACTGCAGCCTGGGCGACCGAGTGAGACTCCGTCTCACACACACACACAAAAAAAGTGTTTTGAACCTTTTAAAAGGTATTCAAAAGAAGCAAATTTATTGTTTATTAATTCTCAACTATTTATTGACCTACTATGCACCTCTTCTGCTCTTGTCCTCCTACACTATATTCTCCACACAGCAGCCAAAGAGATAAAAATAAATGAGAAAATGCTACTGTTCTGCCTATTCTCCAGTGGCTTCTGTCATGCTTCAAATATGCCATATTGATTCCTTTTTGTTTTTTTTTTCATAGAGACAGTGCTTCACTATGTTGGCCAGGTTGGTCTTGCACTCTTGGCCTCAAGCATTCCTCCTGCCTCCGCCTCCCAAAGTGCTGGAATTACAGGCATGAGCCACTGCACCCAGACCAATTTCTACCTGAAGTGTTTTTTTTTTTTTTTTTTTTTGAGACAGAGCCTTGCTCTGTTGCCCAGGCTGGAGTGCAGTGGCATGGTCTCGGCTCACTGCAACCTCCACCTCCTGGGTTCAAGTAATTCTCCTATCTCAGCCTCCCAAGTAGCTGGGATTACAGGCACATGCCACCATGCCTGACTAATTTTTGTATTTTTAGTAGAGATTGGGGTTTCACCATATTGGCCAAGCTGGTCTAGAACTCCTGACCTCAAGTGATCCACTTGCCTTGGCCTCCCAAAGTGCTGGGATTACAGGTGTGAGCCACACGCCCAGTCTACCTCAAGATTTTTTACTTAATCTTTCCTTTGCCTGGAGTTCTCTTTCCCACGTTGTTACATGACTTGCTTCCTCAGTCAGGGCTCTGCTCAAATATTTTATAAACATTAAAATTCTCTCTTTGAATGGGTGGTTTCTAGAGGTGGTTCCTGAGAGAAGATCAGGGAGTAGATTATTAGAAATAATTAAAGGAAGCTACTAAATTGCCTATTATTTGCTATGTACTCTCCTGACCTGATTATCTCACTTAATCCCTATAATCACCCCGTGAGACAGGACGATTAGTTTCCCTTCCAGTGATAAAGGTCTTTTATGCTATAGATATCATTGGCTAGCCTTTAATACGTTAACGGAAGCTTTAGTTAAATATTGTGCCCCTCTGCGGAACCCAGGCTAGTTTCTGATTCAATTTTTTAATATCCACCCACCTATTCATCCAAGTATGCCATAAAGGGTAATGCTTAAATTCATGGACTTTAGGATCAGACACACCTGTCACTTCTTATGACCAAACTCTTAGGCCCTTGGTTTCTTCATTCTTAAAATGGACATGTTAGTATCTTTCTCATGCATTTGTCATAGGGTTAAGTAATATATTCCACGGTGTGTGGCACATGGTAGGTATTTAATAACTGATTGTTTTTAAGATTTTTGTATTTTTTATCTCATGTACTTCCAATGCTCCTACAAGGTCAGTACAGCCATTTATATATCCATATTATATACATAATTAAAGAAGGTTAGAGAGATCAAATATCTTGACTAAGATTACACAGCCAGCAAATGATGCTTAAAACCAGGTTTGTGACTCCTAAGCCCGTCCTCCTAATCACTATACAATATCACTTCCCTTTTATGCCCTCAACTGGCCATATATCTGTCTCATGTTTTAATAATTTCCCCACTGGAGTTTTTCATCAAAAAGGAAAGACAATCTTACAAAAGCCTAATGGCTTCATTTCAAAAAGAATATTCTGGGTGCAGTGGCTTATGCCTGTAATCCCAGCACTTTGGGAGGCTGAGGCGGGTGGATCACCTGACGTCAGGAATTTTAGACCAGCCTGACTAACATGGTGAAACCCCGTCCCTGCTAAAAATGTAGCCAGCCGTGGTGGTGCATGCCTGTAATCCCAGATACTTGGGAGGCTGAGGCAGGATAATCACTTGAACCCAGGAGGCGGAGGTTGCAGTGAGTCGAGATTGCACCATTGCATTCCAGCCTGGGCAACAAGAGCAAAACTCCATCTCAAAACAAATAAAAAAAATATTATATTGAGGCATGTATAAAATGCCCAAATCTTAGTATAAAGCTTGATAAGTTTCTGCCTATGTATGCACCCATTTAACCACCATCCAGTTCAAGATAAAGAACATGTCTAGCACTCCAGAAAATTCTATAGTGTTCCTTCCTAGTCAGCATCCACCCCTCATGGATATCACTCTTCTGTGAGTCTATCACCATAGATTAGTTTTGCCTGTTTTTGAACTTCATGTGTTTGGCTTCTTTCACTCATTATTACAGTATAGTATTCCACTGTATGAAGGTGTCAAAAATATTTATCCAGTCTACTGTTGCCAGAGCTGTCAGATAATAAATATGTGTTGTTTTAAGCCACTAAGTTTATGGTAATTTGTTATAACAGCAATAGGAAACTA